>NC_000005.10:159094657-159397687 GCF_000001405.40 Homo sapiens
CAATCAAGTAAATAAATTTTAATCCTCTTGCTAAATTGCTGGTTAGTACACAATGGATAACTTTTTTCTTTGTTCTAATTTCTTTCCCCCACCCAATAAAGCTGTCTTCTTTTTTCTGCTACTAACTCCTCCAACTACCTAACCAGCTACTTAATTCTGAAACTAAACTTTTTCTTAAAATTAAGAAGAAGGGGAAAAAGCTCCTGTGCCTCATTAAAACGTCAGGCCTCTTTTCTGACTCGGCTCATAATTGTATCTTTTAAACCATAACTCAACCTTAATGTATACTGCTTGACACCCGCGTGTTGGGAGCTTAAGAAAATGCCGTCTATGTACCTTTAAGACCACAAGCTCACTCATGCTGCCTGGCTTCCTGCCAAACTTGGAGGCAAAAGCAGGAGGGTTTTTGCAAAATATCCTCTAACAATTGTCGCTCCCTCTTTCAACACTACCTTCACCATCATTCCCTTTGAAAACAAATCTGCAGAATGGTCATCTGCGCTCTCAGCCCATCTCATCATTCCTGGGGAAGCCGCCTCTGCCACCCCTCCTCCGCCCCCTCAGCCCCTCGCCCCTCTGCTTCCCGGGGAGGCCTGGCTTGCTTGGGTTTCAAAGGTTCAGCCCACTCCGCACCAGGGTCCCTGGGCACCTTTGAGCCCTTCGGGGCTCCCTGGCCGGGTCAGAGGAAATTCAGCCCTTTTTCTCGCCACTCAGCACCCTGCAGTCTTAATTCACAAGGCCCGAGTTCCCTTGGAGGGACGCGCGCGCGTCGAGCCCTCATCCCCACGCGGCGGTGCAAGCGCATGAATGGACACTGGAAGGCCGTGCAAGTTTGGTCTGAGCCGCCCCCGCTGGCTTTTAGAGTTAGAGTCCCAGCCCACCTGCGGTGGAGCAACTAGCTTCTTGACTGCCCTGAATTTTGTGACATAGAGCCCCCCGTGGCCCAAAATCAAGAAACTTACTTGTTTTGTCATGGAGTCAATGAGGCGCACGTAGAAATCCTGCTCCGTCCTTATCCCTAGGGTTGGAAATGGGGGAAGGGAGGAGAATTAAGTGAGAGGTTACGGAGGGTGGGTGGACAATAATTAACAACAACAAAAAATAACAACAAAACCCCCACACACATATCACGAAAGGGGCTCCAAGGCTGATTGGAACTCCCACTGTCCTGGAAAATACAGCCACGATCTCCCTTCCCCAGTGTCCAGAGAGGTGCTGCTGGCCTTGCCTTAGCGCTCCTGGAAGCCAGACGCCAAGTTCTGCAGCTGGGACTGGGATGGGGGTACCCCGACTTGTCTGTTCTCACGGCAAGAGTCCCTCTGCTCTCGCACACAGCCTTCAAGGCCATGACCCTTCAGCCCCTAAGCCCAAGGGGCCATGGGCCTGCAGCCTGGGCCAAGCCAAAGGAACAGGCCTCAGGAAGGGGAGGAAGAATGAAAGTGGCTCAGGGAGGGATGAGGCACTACACCTGGCCCCAGGTAAACGCGAGACCGATAAGGCTCTTGGGCCACTAGGAGCCTCCTCAGGTGAAACCTCCTGGGGCGAAATTTAGGAGAGGCTGGTTCACCTCAAATAAAGCGGATGACTGACCTTCGCTGGAGGATTTCGTCCACCTGGAGCTCCCTGCGCCCCCTGCCCAGACCCGGAGCCCCAGGGTGAGGCCATAGACCCGACCCGGGCCTCACCATTGCTGTAGAGAAGCTGAAGCCGGTAGTGAATTCCGTTATTGGTCTTTTCGCTGTTGGCTTCCTGGGTTGCATCAGGACGCAAAGACACAAGAGATGCAGGAGAGAGGTCTGCGTGAGCGAGTGGACCAACTTTCGAGGCAACTTTCCCCAAGCCGGGACCCCCGCTGGCGAGCCAGGCAGCCACGGTAGCAGCAGAAATTGTGGCCAATTGTGATCCCTCCTCCGCCCCCTGTTCCTGACTGCTCCCTCTCTCCCAAAAGAAAATTCCGTCGGGCGCACACAGGCTATCCTCTTTCCAGGGCCTAGGGGCTCGTGCCCCGGCCACCAGAGGCAGGCGGTGCGTAATCTGGTAGTGGAGGGCGGGTTCATTCCGGGTGCCCATGGCTGTGGATTGTAGAGCCAGGCTTGCCTCTCTCTAGCTCTGGGGGCTCCGTGCGAACTTTTCTGGAGAAGGAGCCAGTGGACCAGGACCCTGGGTTCGTCTGGGATGGGAAGTGGCTTGGGGGACCCCCACATAGAAGTGTGTTATGGATGCTTTGCACTCAAGGAAGGGCGCGCTGCCCAAGGCTCCCGGGCCTGCTCCCGAGCCGAGCCGGGGACGAGGGGCGACAGCGCTGCGCCCACTTACTTTTTCCTTCTCCACGAACCCCACAAACGCTGTCCTCTCGATCTCCACGGGCTGGCCCTGTCTGTCGTAGAGGGCCAGGACGAAGTGGAAGAAGTTGGATTTCCGCAGATTGGAAGGCGGCTGCTTCTCAAAGTGAGCCCGGGCCAGACCCACCCCGCTGCGGCCAAAGACGCAGAGTTAGATGGCTAAACCGGACGCCGACCCGCGCCCCTTGTCACCCTGTACACACACTCGAACCCTCAAACACCCACCTCCTCTTCCCCCAAAACATCCAGTGGGCGCTCTTCACGCCCCTTCAGGCGACATAGACCCAGCTGACAACGGGACACACATGTCCCCTCATGTCCTCGTCCTCTCCGCCAAGGACGGGTGCGTCCTCAGAACTCGCTGAAGAGGTGTGAAAGTTTTGTTTGGGTTTTGCGCGCGAGATGAAACTCTATAAGCATTTACTCCTACCTGACACGCACTGCGTGGGGAGGAAGAAAAGTGGCGGTGGATGAAGTGAACCCACCTTCGCGGAGTAGAACCCACAGTTATATTCCGGCACCCCTCGAATCTCACGTCTCAGCTAGCAGGGCAGGTGGGAATGGATGGAAAACATGCTCGGCGTCTCGCCGCAGCAGCCACCCTCCAGGAACCCCTCAAGCTCTGGCCAACTGCGAGTGCCCGGCCTTGGGAAGCCACATCCCCCCACCACCAAAAAGCATGTGGAGAAGGGTCCGAGGGCGGGGCTCAGAACTGTCGCGGGTGGTCGCTGTGAAAAAGGGAAGAGGGGTGTTTTCTTAAAGACCTGTCCTAACAAAGTTTCGCTGTTCCGCAGAAATCCTCACACTCATTCCAGAAATCCTAAAGGCCAGGGCTGCTGGCTCAGTGCGCCGGCCGGCGATGGGAGGCTGGAGCGCCTGGGGCGCCAGGCGGCCACTGACAGCCGGACCTGCCCAACACAAGCGCGCACAGGCACACACACACACATAGAAGAACACACACGAGCGCCCCGCGCACACACTTTCACTTCCAGCCCAGTTACCCAATTCACTCTCACTACCACCCACCCCCATCCTAATACTCAGTGGGGATGGGAACAGTGTTGGGGACACTTGTCCCCAGCCCAGGGAAGCTGGAGATGATGTAATTAGTCATCTTCCTTCTTCCCCTTCCGCACTCTGAGTCCGATAGGGCCTGGGGCCACCAGATCTCCCACTGTCCCAAGCTCAGCTGGTGGCTTAATGGGGGGAAAAAGGCCATTTCTCACTTGGGACCAGGAGCCTGGGAAAGAGCCTTGGGTGTGCCCAGGAAAGTTCCCTCAGGTCAACCTCCAAGGGCAATGCCTCCAGGCCACACAGTCTAGTGTCTAGGGAGCTGCGAGTGAGAGAAGGGCTGGAAGGGGCCATGGTGACAGGGGCTGGAGAAGACTTTTGGGAGATATCAGAATTAAAGTTGGGAGTTGCTATTCTACCGGTAGACTAAGAAAAAACTGAAAGACAGAGAGGGAGGGAAGGAGAACGAGATAGCAGAAATAAGAGAAGACTCAGGGGAGAAATGGGACGAAAAAACAGGAAAGCCAGAGAGGTAAGGAAAGGAGAAAGAGGAGAAAGGAGGGAAGCTGAAGAAAGAAGAGAAAGAAAATGGAGAGAGGAAGGGAGGAAGGAAAAGAGTGAGGGAGAAATTAAGGGAAGGTGGGGGAAAGAAATGAGAGAAGGAAATGAAAGAAAGAAGAAAGAAAAGAAGGCAGGAAGAGAGACAGGAAAGAACGAAGAACGAAAGAAATGGAAGGAGGGAAGAGGGGAAGAAAGGAAGAGGAAGGAGAAGAGAAGAAAATAAAGGGGGGAGAAAGGAAAGAAGGAAGAAAGAAAAAAGAAAGGCAGGAAGAGGAAAGAGAAAGAAAAAGGAAAAAGAAAAGGAGGAAAGAAAAAAAGAAAGAAAAAGAAAAAAGAAAGAAAAAGGAAGGAAGGAAGAGAAAGAAAGAAAGAAAAAAGAAAAGAGGGAAAGGAAGAGCGAAGGGAAAGAAGAAAAGAGAGCCGGCCGGAAAAGAAAGAGCAATCACATAAAAACATAAAACACAGATCTCCAACATGCTGTGTTGAGACGCCTCTTCTGGGTTAAAACAAAATGAAAACAGTCACAGACGAGGCAGGGGAAAGTGCTGGCAAAGCGTGGGCTCCTCGCAGACAGCTCCAGGTCCTCCGGCCGCAGGCGACGAAGGCAGAGCGGCTGGAGAGCGCGGAGCCCCGGCGGAGAGCGGAGCGCAGCGGCTGCGGACTCACCCCGCCGCCCGGCCCCGCGGCAGCAGCTGCCGCTGCCGCTGCCGCCTCCGCCTCCCGGCTCTCCCGCTCGCGGCTCACCTCGGCCGCGGTCCCCGCGCAGTACCCACCTCTGCGCCGCCGTGTTGGCGTCCAGCACCCCGGCGCCCTGCATCCACGTCCGCACCGCGTTCATGCCGCTGCCCAGCGGCTCTTCCTTCATGCTGCTTCCACTCCGTTGGATGCTTTCCTGAATCCCAAACATGAAAACAACCTTTTCTTGTGGAAAATCTCCTCCCCCTTGAAAAAAATTAAAAAAAAAAAAAAAGGAAAGAAAAGAAAGAAAAGAAAAGAAACAAAAACGCCAACCAGAGATTTTTTTTTTTCTCAGACGATGAACTCGCACTTAGAAGATCAAGGCGGGCTGGAAAGCAAATTTTTAAAAAATGTAAACCTCTGCTCAAAACTGAGCGATAACCCGAAAAAAAGAAGAAAGGGAAAATCCAACGAAAAGACCAAAATAATAAAATTAGAGATGTATGCTTGGCTGTTGGGGGTTGTTTGGTTGGTTGATTTTTGGTTTGGGTGCTTTTTTTTTTTTTTTGCTTTTTTTTTTTTTTTTTTGTAATGATCACAGGCCGGTGGAGGACAGGAGGGGCTGGAGTTTCCTTTTGTAGAGGTACCCTTCACTTGAAGAAGCAGGAAGAAAAAAAAAAAAAAAAAAAAAAAAAAAAAAAAAAAACCCTGATGGCAATTTAAGAAACAATAGACTCAACTCGCGCTGCCGGCTTTGCTACTTCAAGTGTCATTTTCCACAACCAGGCAAGTTTTTTCCTCTCTCTCTCTTTTTTTTTCCTCCTTCTCTCCCAACCAAAGATGTTTCTTTCCTTTGCGTGTAGATGAGGAGGACGCTGGTTGCCGTAGACAGATACACCAGAGAGGGTGGGGGGAAGGGGAGAGAGGGAGAGAGGAAAGGGGGGGAGGGAAAGAGAGATAGAGAGGAGAGGGAGAAAGAGAGAGGGGTGGACCCTGCTGGATGGAGATTCTGTTTTCTCCTTGCTAAAATAGAAGTGATTTGCAGGCTTTCCCTATGGAATCCAGTTTGACTTTCCCCAGAGCTAAACACAGGCACACTAACCCCAAAGGGAGGAGGCGGGGCCCGCGCATCGAGGCCCCGCCCCTTCATTTGCATAACGTCATCTTTCCGCCCACCGCAGCCAATCGCGGCCCGGGAGCCGGCTCGCTGGCGGCGCCAGGCCACGCTCTCTCATTAACATCCCGCTCCCGGTGGCGCAGGGGAGCCGGCCAAAGTTCCTCGCAAAGTGGCGAGCGAAGGAGCGCTGAGCACTGACGTCTGGGCTGGGGAGGAGCGGGTCCGAGCGAGGACGGAGAGGGGACAGAGGGAAAGGGAGGCGGGTGTCTTCCTCAGGAATTTGAGCTGGGGATCTGCATCCTGGCCATTGCAGTCCTTTAGCATCCTCGCCGCGCCCTGAGCGCGCTGGAGGCTCGCAGGCTGCGCCCTCCCAGGGCTGATGCCGCGTCCTGCTCCGCCGTTCTGGGACGTCGGGGACAAAAGTGGAGGAGACGGGAGAGCCCGGGCAGAAAAAGCAGGACGCGCGTCCCAGGTGCCCACCTCTTCGCTTTGAGGCGGGGGCGGTGGGATGGAATATGGGTGCGCGAGGTCGGGGCTGGTAACTCTCGGAGGGGCACGGCCTCCACGCTGGGAGGGATGAATGGACGCTGGGCCCCGGCAAATGAGGCGCTGTGGGTCCCCAGGAAGTGGGGTACCAGGCTCTACTCCCACCCCGGCCTCTGAAACGCTTCTCTCTCGGCCGCTAGCCTAGAGGCTGCCAGGGTTGGGCACTGTTCTCACTCACACGCTCACCTCTCTCGGGCAGTCCTCGAGATATGTGAATGGTGGAATGAATGCTCTCACTGGGGCTGTGTCAGGATGCGTTTTTAAATTTTCTCAAATTAAATGCCAACCCCTCATTCCCCACCCCAAGTAGTTGGTTCGTTTGTTTTTAGAGTAACTACCAAAGCAACAGCAATGTTAACCGTCCTTGATTAGCTGGTTATTTGGTGTAGGGTTTTTCTCATCCTCCTTTATTCTTCCTGTTAAAAAGGAGGGCTTGAACAAATCCTTCCTAACTCTGTCTCTGCCATATGAAAAGGGTGGGGGGAGAAGAGAAGGAAGGTGGGGAGAAAGGACAAAAAAGGAAGAAGGGGAAGAGAAAATGGGAAGGAAGGAGGGAGAGAGAAAGGAGAGAAGGAGAAGGAACGAATGGAAATGGGAGAGATGGAAGGAAAAAGGGAAAGAAAAAAGGACGAAATTGTCTCCCTCCTCAGGCTTTTCAGCATGTATCTTTGTGGCTGGCAAAGGAAATAGCTAGAAGTTTCTGGGTAATGTACCCCATCATTTTTTAGCAGGTTGTAACCTCTAATAAGCACATGGTGAACTTCTGTTTCATTGCCCTCAAAGGAACTCCCTGACTGCAGCCAAATCTGCTAAGGACTCCTTCGGGGAAATTATCTGCCAGAAATCCAGGTCCCCTTTCTGCTGGCCTTCCTTGGTCCTTTGATTTAGGAAGCTCATGGGGTCAGTGATGGAAAAGTACACATGCCCATGTTGAATAGAGACAGGCAAGAGTTATGCTTTGTGCTCTTGGCAGAGCAGTGGAGCCACTTCCTGATTCCTAAACTGGATGAAAGAGTGTGGTCCTGGCCTGCAGTGCATGGCCACTGTCCTCAAACACTGCTTTATCTCCTGTGCACGAGGCCTGCCCAGCTCTCACACATGTAATCTAGACTTCTTGTGTGCTGAGCACTTTCCCCTGGTACCATAATTAATGCCATCTCTTCCAGGACTTCCCTGAAGGGATTGGTCTGATCTTTTGGGATCCCCATAGCATTCACAGGGGTTCCTAACATAGCGTTCATGTCGAAGAAGAGTATAATGGTGGAGAGACTTGAAGGGCTGTAGGTTTTTGGGGATAGGTATGTGAACATTTTCAGTCTCTATAGTATTTAAATGCACAATTGAAACTTGGCCTGCTAAAAACTTTCTAAAGCTCCAAACTTAACCTTATGCTCCAGGTCCAAAGGGGTCCCCAGAGTCAATCCCTCCCCCTGCCTGGGCCATATTCTCCAGCTCAGAGAGGATCCTTGAAGGTAAGGAGATGAGGAAGCAAAGCCCACCCATCCTATCAATGGGTCCCATATAGCCCTGGCAAAAGGCCTAGGCCTCCTTCTCTTTATCTGCCTGAACCTCCATTTTACTCTCCAGTAAACAGTCCTCAACTGCAGGACTCCCAGCTGAGTCTGGTGGGGTGTCTCCAGTGGTGAGGGACACAAAATAAGGGAGCAGATCACTGCCAAAGGAAGGTGACAAAAGTGCCAGGGAAAAGAAAAGCATAGACACCCTCAAGTCCAGGATCAGCAAGAGACACACAGCAGATAGATTTCTGGGGTTGAACAGAGTCTAGAAGCATCTGCAAAGGATGCGTTTGTTGAGAGCCTGAAGCTGACTCACCCAAATGAGAAAGTGGCACAAAGCAAGAAGTCCTGAGCAGCTCAATTTCTACCCCAGAGCCAGTCTCTCCAGGAACTAAATATGAGGGAGGCAATTTCCATACCTGCCAGGCTAGAGAAGGAAGAAAAATAAAAGGGGGCAGAAATATTTTGATAAGACTAATTTCCTTTGGCTGTGCAGAGGCAGCACATACCTCACCTGGGGTGGTGAGTGTGCTTTATTTTAATCAAGCCGAGTGTATTCATAGCTTTTCTTCTTGGTGTCCTTGTGCTTTCAGTCTGGCTTTCTCATCCTGTAATAAATGTTTAAGTAGGAAGGAGGCTAAAGAGAAGGTGGAAGAGAGACAGAGTGAGTGACAGAAAACTGGAAATGACACACAGGCCAGCAGAGCAGTAGTTTTTTTTATGGATTTTCTCTGGTGAATATTGAACCAGCAATTGTAATTTTAAACTTTGAAAAAGAGCCTCTTAAATACTTCTAAATCTTCATGTGAGGGTAGCACTACCTCCAGAGACAAAGCATGTGTGTAGAGGGTGATTGCCATCATACCTGAAAGCAGATACTTCAAGCACTATCCATCACAATTACCTTAGGTATATACTTTATGGTAAAGGTATCCTGTAATGAGATATTCTAGTATGTACAGCATTGCCTAGGCTTTATGGCATATGAGTGATTTGACTTTAGGGTAGTTTATAATAGTAATCCCCAAACTGGGTTCATCAGGCTAATCACATGGGGAAGGGTGCAGGCACTTGTTAGAAATGCAGATTTCCAGGCCTTATCCTGACCCACAGAATCAGAACCTCCTGTGTTGGTGCCTGGGATCTGTATTTAAAGTTATTTGGAAACTCTTGATTTTTGAATATATATCATCTCTGAGAGAAAGAAGGAAGGGAAGGAAGGCGTGAGGAAAAAAGACTTTTGCATGGGGAAAAAATACAGCAGAATGAGTTTACACCTGGAAAGAAAAACTAGAGAGGTTTGGGGTTTCCCCTGGAGCCTAGTTTCCCTGATGAGCTCCTCAAAATTTCTGCAGCTGTGGGAGTTCAGGATACACAGCCCCTCAGATGCTCCCAGCGGTAGGCAGGGCTGTCCAGCTCTCGGGATCTCTTGACCTGGGCCTGGAGGAAGCCCAGGGCAGTGTGCAAGCACTCCCTACCCACCCACTCCCACCCTGACCTTCTGCTCCTTGGCTATCCCAACCCTCTTGAGGCACAGGGAAATCAATTCCCCTTTCTGAAAGGCAACATCTACCAGTAATTTCTGGGGACTCCAGTAGAAACATACCGGTCTCCCCAAAGAGAAGAGACTAGATAAATACAGCCAAACTAAGACCCGTGGAAAGGTCCCAGCGGAAGAGGGAATCGTCTCTGTTCGTCCGCCCCCAGGAGGCCAGACTTGGGACCTGTCACTTGGAAAATTCTCTTGATCTCCATTCCCCTTGTGAGGGCGGGCCCACAGAAGGGCAAACCGTCCCGGGACGTGCCCCCTTCCCTCGCCACCTGCCAGGGACAGCTTCGAACGAGGCGGGAGGACAGATGCCTACTTCAGTGTTGGGAAGGGAAAGGGGAAAAGAAAGATGCAAGGACCTAAGCCAAGGCGCAAAGTCCCTCAGATTGCGGCCGCTCCAGAGGAGTCGACCAGCAGCCTGGAGTCGGGGTTGAGGTGGAGAGGAGCAGGGGCCACGGCGTTGCCCGGTGGACGAGAATAGGAGTGGGTGGCGGCCCGGGGACCTGGGAAAGCCGGGACCTGCGCGAAGGCTCGGCTCTGCGGGGCCCCTGAACTGCACCCGGAAGATGGCGCGAGTGGCCGAACACCGTGACACACCGCCAGCCCTCAAAACCGTGGCTCTTTTCCTCGGTGATCTCCATGCGCAGTCCTCGGGGAACGCGTGGGAGTAGCAGGCCAGGGGTCCACTGGAAATCCAGAATCTGATTTCTGTTTCCGATTCCCTACGCTCCAGAGAAGGCCTCCTCTGCTGGCCCAGTATGACCGACACTTCCCGGCTCTGGGAGCGCACCTCCACCTCCCACCCCCCATGGTACATACAGGGAAACTGAGGCCTAGAGAAGGACAAAGACACCCACAGACGGCTAGGAGATAGAGACCAAGCAAACAACACCGCGGGGCTCCGTCCCAGGTTGGGAGCGCTTAGTCTGATACGGCCAGAAGCCTGGGGCAAGGGGTTCCTACAGGTCTTTCTGGGGCGAGCCTGCCAACTCTCTTGGGTTTCCCCCCGGGCGGCCCCAGATAATAATAGATCCCATTTGTTGATGGCTTTACGGGCAGGAACTCACTGAATATCCGCCACAGACCACGGCAGATAAGACCACTCCGGCGTTTTACAGGTGAGCAAACAGAGACCCTGTGAGCGAAGTTGAAAAACTTGTCCACGGCCAACAGCTAATAAAGTCGCCAAGCCAGAATATCGCTAAAGCCTGTCCCCTTAAATATAGAGCCAAACCGTCCACCCAGCTGTGGCGCGAATCTCTTGTCCCCCAACTCTCAAGTGTCCTTTGGCTCTGGAGCTCCTGGGCCCGGGTTCCGCATCCGGGAGGAGAAAGGAGCGAGCGCGCACGGTGCCTCCCGAGGGCAGGGAGCAGAGGAGAGGAAAGGGGAAGACTATGAAACGTCCTAACTAATGCGCGTACTGAATGCGCATTCACGTGGTCAGTTACCGATGTGCTTCTCTCTCTCCTGGCCCGCAGGGACAGAGCGCGCCAGGGACGTGCCAGCCCCGGCCCCGGCTCTGCCACATTTACTATGTGACCTCCTGTCAGTCATTCTCTCTCCCAGTCCTAGATGAGATCTTAGAGCTCACGCAAGCTTGCCTGTTGGAACAGACTAAGTATCTGACTTTGCGGGGATGTTCCTGATGCCCATCGAAGGACAGAAATCTGGACACTTGCGGATGTGCTTTAATGGGGGAGATGCTGATTCTGCCCTGGCGTGACCATAGATAGCTAGAAGCTGAAGTCATTCTGAGTCGGGAGAATACAGTTGGGGGCACTGCCGGAAAGGATCTTTAAGTCCGAGGATGCCCTAGGGCGTGATCATATCCCACCCGGTGGCCCTTGCCCACAGTCCCCTAGTCCACGAGATTGGAATCCGATCTGGGAAGGTCCCTGCTCCCTTGGTAGAAGGAGGCTCTGGGATGGGAGAAGGGAGCTTCTTAGCGATTTGAAAATTAGCATCCCTTCAGTAGCGCAAACCTTATGGAAGAAACCTTGGCCTTAAAACATTCTCAGAGGGGAGACTGGGAGGAACAGGCCTGTTTATTCAGGGGAAAGTTGGAGAAGGGAGGGCGAGTTTAGCAGAAAAGCTCGAGATGCCTGGATAACAAAAAGTTTGCGCTCATACTTCCTTCGAGGGACAATTTGCTGAATATTTACACACCTTTGCGTGCTGCGAGGTCTTTGTTGGCTACTGGGATGCGAGATGTGTATGATGTGAATGTGCAAATATGTTTGCATGTGCGAAAAGTGGCTGCACATTTGTGGGCCAGTGCAGTAAGTGTGTGTTTGTGCCGGTGACAGAGAGCACTTGGCTGAATGTGTGCGTGGGTGCGTAAGGCATTGGTGCACACGGGCGTGAGTGCGCATGTGTATAGTGTGTGCACGTGTCATGTGTAGTGTCTAAGTGAGTGGGCTGTGCATTTGCAAAAGTCCGTGTGTATTGTGCAAGAGCATCGTAAACGTGTGTGAGCCTGAACTCACACGTGGTTTTGTGTGCACGTGTGCGTATGAAATTCAGCAAAAAAAAAAAAAAAAAATCCAAAAAAATCTAGGTCTAGGCAGGGTGCGGACCGAGGGCCCAAGGGCAGGCGTGCAGACCGCTACGACTTTGGCTTTAGGGAGACGCCTTCGGGGCGCAGGGCCCGCCCGAAGACGCGGGTTAGCATACAGCTCAGCTCCAGGCAGGCGATGCGGGTTCCCAATGCGGGCCTACAGATTACGCGGACTGAGCTGGGAACGGTCCCTGCTGGACAGTTCCGTGCTCTTAATCCTTCCTCGCCTACGGTCTCTGATTATTGATGCTTGCCGTGTGTCCTAAAAGGGACCGCTTCCGGTTTATTTGCTTATGTATTTATTATCTTTATCAACGTTATTTTTTGGCAGCTGCCGTGAAGATGCCAAACCCACCAAGACTGCGCTGCCCCACCTCTCCGAGGCTGTCCTGGGAGTGCGGGTGACCCGCGAGCTCCAGAATCTTTCCTTAAGGTGGAGCCACAGCGCCACCTCGCGATCCTCCAGCTTCCCTCCCTCATGGCCACGGAAGGCTGGCCCTTTCTGGTCCAAGCCCCCAGGGTCCCACACTTACTGGTTTTCCATGCACTTTCATTATTTCCCTTTCTCTCTCTTCAATGTTCCCTTATCCTGAGTATTGAGGTCCCCAAACGCGCCTTTCTACCCCACGTTTGGACATAGCCGGAATGTCTACCTCCTTCTCCATCCGGTGAAGCACTGCTCCCCCTAAAATCACCAGCTCAAAAGTCACCTCTATGAAACCTTTTTAGACTTTTCCAACGCAGTCATTCGTGCCTTTCCCTGGTTTCCCTACTGCTCGCATCACATTGGACAGGAAATGCTATTTAAACGTTTTTCTCCTCTCCCTAATCAGGGAGCTCCTCTGAGAGGAGCCATGGCTGTCCTTGCTTATTCAACAATAAAACCTAGTATATATCAAGTGCATACTATGGAGCGTTTAATGCACTGTACTGTGCAAAAACATATTGTCTTATTTCATTTTCCCAGCAAAATCATGAGGAAAGCACGAATATTGTTTCCCATTTTGCAGATGAAGAAACTGAGGTTAGAGAAAATAAGTACCCATCCAAGGTAGCATTGCAGAGCCTCATCCAAGTCAGCCTGTCGGATGCCAGAGCCAACTTTTCTTAACCTCTGACTTGCAGACTTATTCAGCTGTATATCCGTGGGCTTTGTGATAGGAAAAGACACAGAATGAGTACTTGTGTGTTTATGAATAAATGTATCTTTTAAATTATTTCTTCTCCTAGAGAGTTGGGTGTGGGAAGGCACTGCAATTATCAGATACTTTGATTGAAATGTCACCACAATTATTTATCTCTAAAGAGTATTCCTCTGCTAAGTAGCTAGGAGACCTTGGTCAAGTCACTTCATCCTCAGTTTCCTAAGTTCTAAAAGTAGGTTTTCTGTGGAGGATTAAATGAGAAAAAAAAATGTGAATTACATGATATATAGCATTCTAGTCATTGCTCAGTAATTATAATAACTCGAAACTACTGAAACACACACAAAAAAAACAAAACACAAAATTGACTTACCCTAGTCACACAGAATTCCCTGTACCTCTGTATGAAATCATCTTACTGTTATATCTTCATTTTCATCTTAGACATGAATTATATAATAAATATTTTTAGTTTATGGTGGTTAGGGTGTTAATGTTAACCCTGCTCTGTTACAAATATTTAAGGGGTAGTGGGAGAGATATAATCAAACAGTAAACCAGCAAACTTTGCCTCTTGTAATTTCCTCCTGCTTTGTAGATCTTTACCAAGAAAGATTTAAAGAAAGGCTATAAAAGTACTTATTGGCCAGGCACGGTGTCTCACTCCTGTAATCCCAGCACTTTGGGAGTCCGAGGCAGGTGGATAACCTGAGGTCAGGAGTTCGAGACCAGCCTGGCCAATATGGTGAAACCCTGTCTCTACTAAAAATACAAAAAATTAGCCGGGCTTGGTGACGGGTGCCTGCAATCCTAGCTACTTGGGAGGCTGAGGCAGGAGAATCGCTTGAACCCAGGAGGCAGAGGTTGCAGTGAGCCAAGATCGCACCATTGCACTCCACCTGGGCAACAAGAACAAAACTCTGCCTCAAAAAAAAAGAAAAAAGAAAAAGAAAAAGATGCTTATTATTCTGGAAAGTACAAAACTCTATTTTTTAATTTAGGGGAGATTCTGAGCTAGTTTAAGTGTTTCCCTACTTGAAAACATCATTGCTACCAATACATTAAAAGTTTAAAAATATGTGTCTAAGCAAATGATTGTATCCAAATAAAAGAAAACTCAAATAAAATAATGTATTACTACTAATATATTAAAAGTTTAAAAATACATGTCTAAGCAAATGATTGTATCCAAATAAAATAAACAAATGAAGGTTGTCTGAACATATTCTAGACCTTAAGACATTTCCCAAAAAGGTTAAGTTTTAAAGATTTAACATCTCTTTCTAGAGTGACCCATTAAACAAACATTCCTATTGTCAATTAGGTGAAAATGAACTTTTTCCCCTGTTACGGCTATAACTTTCCTACTGTCCAATTATTTTGGAAAGACTGTTGACTAGTATTGTCATGTCATAAACACATGATTTCTCCTCTGAGAAATGAGGCTAATAAAATCCACAAAAGGTATAAACGTGCCTCCACATTTTGCTGGCCCACAGTCCATTTCTAGAAACTTCACTCCAGCCCCAGTTTAATTTACTTTATTGTACTTGCTTCCCATTCTATGCAATTCTCTTGTATAGAGATGAAGAAATGGATTCAGGAAACTCTATAATGTGTTAAGATATTTTATTGTACAGCTGATGGATATTTGGGAATTTGATTCATATTGATGGTGTGAGACACTGGCGTTTTGACAAAGTTGGGGTGTGTTCTGTTTTCCTTTTTTATTCCTATTATGGTGGCCATTAGAGATGTTCACCAAAATTTTGGGTTTTCTTCTTCCAGGTGCATAGAAGGATGGAAGTATTCTGACCCTTCTGCATTTAGCTGTGATCTTGTGATTTGCCCTGGCAAATAATGAATTAGCAGAAGTGACATGTGTCACTTACAGGGGCAGAAGCATGAAGAGCCATAGTGCAATTTACCAAATCCCCTTCCCGGTGGCACAGCTGTTGCTGCCCCCACCAGATGGAGTTTCCATCAGCATCCCACCCCTGGCACAGACGTGTGGAGTGGAGACATCTCCTACACCCATAGACATTTAGCAAGAATGAGAAATAATCCTTTGTTACTGTAAATCCCAGAGATTTTTCTGTACTGCAGTATAACCTAGCCTCTCTGGAAGAATACACTTAGAAAGGAAACTCATCTTTTCTTTTCTTTTGGGGGGCAATTTGAAAATTCTTCTCCTAGAGTGAAAAGTAGACTGCCATGTCTAATTAAATAAAATAATCAGAAAATGAAATCATTCAACTAGAAATCTGAATCTCATTTTCTTAGTCTATTCATACATTTCCCCAGGGTCAAAACATCTGGAACCCTCTGAAATAAGGAGAATAACTAAATTTTACAAATACTTAAAAGGAATCTCAAAATTATTGCTAGACCTCGACAAGAATATTCAGTGGGTCCTTAGTCCACTTGCAGATACATCATGAAGTGAGTTACATAGGTTGTGATTAGAAAATACTTTATTAGCAATTGGCCAGGCACAGTGGCTCACGCCTGTAATCCCAGCACTTTGGGAGGCTGAGGTGTGAGGATCATCTGAGGCCAGGAGTTTGAGACCAGCCTGGCCAACATGACGAAACCCTGTCCCTACTAAAAATACAAAAATTAGCTAGGCGTGGTGGCACACGCCTGTAGTCCCAGCTACTCAGGAGGCTGAGGCAGGAGAATCACTTGAACCCAGAAGGCGGAGGTTGCAGTGAGTCAAGATCATACCACTACACTCCAGCCTGGGTGACAGAGAGACCCATTTCAAAAAAAAAAAGAAAAAAGAAAAAAAGAAAAGGCTTTATTAGCAACTGTATGCAGACATAAAGTAACTTTTCTCTCTGCCTCATGTTCAATTCTATATCAGATTGGCAAAAAGGAAAAATATTTGACTAATCAACTTGAATTTAATAACGTGATCTAGGGCAAGTCATTTAAATTTTCCAGACCTTCTTGTCCTCATGTGGTGTGATGGACTCAATGTTTCTGCCTTGCCCCGCTCCTCTGCCCTGCCAAATTCATATATTGAAACCCAAATGCACAATGTGATGGTATTACTTCCCACAGATAACTAGGAGGTAATTAGGTTAAGATGAGCCATGAGGGTGGGATTAGTGTCCTTAAAAGAAGAGGTAGAGACTAAAGCTAGCAAGCACTCTCCATCTGTCTCTCTCCCTCTCTGTCTCTCCCTGTCATACGAGGACACAACAAGAAGGTAGCTTTCTGCAAGGCAGGAAGAGAACCCTCACCAGAACCTCATCATGTTGGCATCCTGATCTCACACTTCCCAACTTCCAGAATGGTGAGAAATAAATGTTAGTTGCTTAAGCCACCTAGTTTGTGGTATTTTGTTATAGCTGTCTGAGCTGACTAAGACAACTAGAAAATAAGAGTAGACAACATGAACTTCAGGGTACCACTCAGTTCTACTAAGCTAGAATTTTGAGGTATCTGGGTGATAGCAGTTTCAGAGTTGATGCTACAGTATAAAAATCTTCCTGTGTCTCCATCCCCAACACTATTTTGTGAATCTTTTTTCATTTTTTTATACTGATCTCAACTTAAAACAACTGCTTCTTAGGCAAAATAATACTTCTTTCCTTAAGCCTCAAATCTTTTAAACGTGGGAATCTGCTAGAAAAGTGTGCTGTATAGATTTGGGGCCATGTAAAATGCTTTGTCATTTTCTAGCCAAGAGGAGAAATTTGCTTCTATATTGAAGAGCTATTCTCTATAGGTTTCATTATCTGATAACCTAAAGAGTTTTTCTGTGGATTTTCAGGAAACTTTTGTGAGAAAATATTGACTGTGCGATGAGTGCTATAGGGTGAAATCATTACTGTCTATTCTTTATCCTTGGTGTGGCATGATTGACTGCCAAGAATAATATTGTTATAATAATTTCATTTGGATAATAATTTAAATTTGACAAAGAAGTTTCACATGAGTTACTGCCTTGACTTCTCGTAACACACCATGCAACTGACATTTCTGCCCCACTTCACAGAGGAGGAACAGGTTTAGATCCGCCCATACTGTATGGTTAAGAAGCACCAGATTTGGGGTGTAACTCAAAAGCCACAGCTGCCTATGAAATTTAGAAAGCTGTCTGAAGCTTTAGTAGGAAATAGAAAGTGTCGGAACTATGCTATGGAGCACTTTTTTATAAAAAGATGCAGGATGCTTTCTGTTGCAGACATGATCGCTGGTAACAGATGCCTGGTTCACTCTCATCCTGGCCATACCTGAGGACTATGCTCCTCTTCTAGAAGTTCGGTGCAGTCATCTGACTTAATTGATTCAGCGCATTTATCTGCAGGTGAGAGAACCCCCAGAGCACTCGTTCTCCTCAACCAGAAATATTACTGAGGGCAGATCCATCAGTTTGGGTCCTGCTATGATGATCAGTTTGGGTCCTGATATCCATACAGATATCCAGCCCTGGAAAGTAAAAACAAGCTTCTTTTCTGAGCAGTTCATCATGTACTGTTTTCTTTCTGTGAACAGAAGATTTTAACACTAAGACGATTTTATAGGCAGACACGTAGAAGAAGCTAGCAGAGGTGTCTTAAACCCATTTGTGCCTATAGAGCCATACAGTTACCCCGGCGTGAAAAATATTAACCACCTTTTTTTTTCTGAACACTTCATCATGTACTGTTTTTGCTCAGTGAATGGAAGATTTTATCACAAAGAGAAGTCTGTAGGCAAACATTTAGAAGAAACTGGCAGAAGAAGTTTCTTGGACCATATATGCCTACAGGGCCATACAGATGTCCGTCCCTGAAAAGCAAAAACAAGTTTCCTTTCTGAACAGTTTATCATGTACTGTTTTTGTTCAGTAAATGGAATATTTTAACACCAAGAGGAATTTGTAGGCAGACAGAAGAAGCACCATGAGCTCTTTACCAATATGCAATGGATTTAATGTAAGCAAGTGGTTTAAGCCACTCGGATTTCTGGCTTGCTTGTTACTGCAGCTGAACTTAGCTTGTCTTCACTGGCACAGTTTCCTAATTCAAATTTAAATCTTTTGTAAAAGAGAACTATCTCTGTAGGGTAGACACTCTTATACTTCAGCCATAGACACATATCTCTCAAGGAGAAAGTATTCTTCTAGACCTCTCATGTTTTTATTTAAATTAATTTTATTATGTAACTTAAATATGTGCAAGCATAAAACTAGAGATCAATTCTTCATGCATAACAATGCTTAAACAATGGTGAAACTAAATTGCAAACTAAATGAAAAAGAAAAACCCCACAAAACCAAAGATTTATAAGTAAACAATAATAAAATATACTGGATGACATTGTTTTGTGGAAACTGAATTGCCTCTCAAATATCAACATTGTTTTGAATTCAGTGGAGTAGATTCTTTTGGATATGGCATGCCTTTATAGTTATGCCATTTGTGATGATTTAATTCTTCCACCACTTTTCTCTTTTTGTGAACCAGCACAAAACATTCCTTAGTTCACAGTATGTAGGAAAAGCTTAAAGGAATAATTTCAGTATCAAATAAATTTCAGCCCCTTCTTACCAGCCTATGACAATTCAGAATTACCGCTGGCACCAATAAACATAAACTAAAATTTAAGCTCAGAAATTTCATGTCAGTCTTCAGTTTAAAGGTATTGCCCAGACGAATCTGTTTAACATTTTAAGATAATCACTGAAATGAAAACCCTAAGTTTTAAATTTCTTATTAACAACTAGGAAACTTCCCACTCTCAAGAACACATTTCAGATGCCACTGAAGTGCACACTTTAAAAACAGTTAGAGGAGTACATGTCATGTTAAGTATTAATATATTTTACCACAATTAAAAAAGATTTTTTCAGAAAGAATAGCACAAGTATGATGAGAATCTTATTGCTACTACAACTACAAATATTTTGATGCTGGGTGACCTTGAGGCAAGTTGCTTAACCTCTCTGAACCTCAGATAACTCATTTGCAAAGCAGTTCTGTCTTTGGTTTTTGTTTGCTTGATTGTTTTTTTTAGAGACAAGGTCTATGCTGCCCAAGCTGGAGTGCAGTGGCTGTTAACAGGTGTGATCAAAGATCATAGCAGCCTCAAACTCCTGGGCTCAAGTGATCCTCCTGCCTCAGCCTCCCAAGTTGCTAGGACTATAGGCTCAGGCCACCATGCCCAGCTTAAAGGGTTGTTTTGATGAACAAAAAGGAGAGAGTGAATGGAAGAGTCTATCACAGTACCAGTCTATGGAGAACTGCTTTGCATTTTCCTTCTGGGCAATAGCAAGGCTGCATTTCCCGGCTTCTGCTGAAGTCAGGCTGAGGTGGGATTGAAGAAAGCCATTTCCATAGTCCATCAATCCTCCTGCATAATCTTCCACTCTTTTTCTCCCCCTTCTGTGGGCTGAATCAGAGAATCTAACACTGGACTCCGATGCCCTCTGGCAAGACTTAGCAAATTTTCTCTGTAACAGGACAGATGGTAAATATTTTAACCTTCATGGGCCATACAGTCTCTGTCACAACTGCTTCTCTCTACCATTGCAACATGAGAGCAGCTACAAAGCACAGATGAAAGGGAAGTGAATAGGTGTGACTGTTCCAATAAAACTTTATTTACAAAAAAAGAATGTTTAAAAACAGTAGGTTGGCAGAGGCAGGTGGATCATGAGGTCAGGAGTTCAAGACTAGCCTGACCAACATGGTGAAACCCCATCTCTACTAAAAATACAAAAATTAGGCGGGTGTGGTGGTGTGCACCTCTAATCCCAGCTACTCAGGAGGCTGAGGCAGGAGAATTACTTGAACCTGGGAGGCGGAGTTTGCAGTAAGCCGAGATCGCGCCACTGCACTACAGCCTGGGAGACTCTGTCTCAAAAAAAAAAAAAAAACAAAAAACAGTAGGTAGGTTGGAATTGACCCATGAGCCGCAGTTTGCTGACTCCCACTATAGGGTATCTCAGAGTCACAAAATGGAAGGAGTCTGTGTCCATAAACTACTACATGAGGAAATAGACTTTGTATGAGCAAGACATGAACATCTATTTTGTCAAGTCACTGAAATTTTAGAGCTGTTTGACAATAGACTGCTCTAATACTCAAACACATAGATGGCTTTCTGTAAATACTATACTTCCCTTATCTCCCTACAGTTCCTTTAAAGACAGGGACTGTGGATTATTCAACTGTTTACCCTCTCCAGAGCCTTCCCAATACCCATTAATGAAATAATATAATTCCCATCAGAAAAATAATGATGTGTATGAAGAGATTAATGGATACAGCATCTATAACATTCTAAGTAAGTTGTCACTGCCTCCCCCTCCTTCATTCCACTGCCCTATTCCTAGACACATATTTGAGATGTTTTGTGCCCCATCCCAGATAACAAGATACATGTATCTGTGAGATGATTTTCTTTCTTTCTCTCTTTTTTTTTCTTATCGCCCAGGCTGGAGTACAATAGCACGACATCAGCTCACTGCAACATCTGCCTCCCGGGTTCAAGCAATTCTCCTGCCTCAGCTTCCCGAGTTGCTGGGATTACAGGCACCTGCCACCATGCCCAGCTAATTTTTGTATTTTTAGTAGAGATGGGGTTTCACCATGTTGGTCAGGCTGGTCTTGAACTCCTGACCTCAGGTGATCCACTTGCCTCGGCCTCCCAAAGTGCTGGGATTACAGGTGTGAGCCACCGCACCTGGCCTGTGAGATGGTTTTCTTGGGTAGAATGAAAGAAGCTTGGCTACTGGGTCCATTTTATGTGAACATGTTGCTCCCTATTATAGTCAGTCCCTGGAACCCATTGTAAAGTCAGTTCTGGGTTTTTGCTTAGCTACCATGTAGTAACAGTCACAGCCTGTCTCCTGTCACCCTAACACCATCACCATTGCCAGTGGATATTTTTACCCCTAGTTTATAGTTAGGAAGCCTGAGACCCAGAGGGATTAAAGAGCTTTTCCAAAATCATATGGCTGGCAACACTAGTAATCTGGGCTGCCTGAGTCCTAAACATCATTCTACCCCAGCATTGAATTCCGAGGCCTCTAGAATCTTACCTACCTTCCCTGTTTGAAATGTATTTGTGGGGGAACAATTGACCTCAGAATGAGTAATTTGTCACTACTCTGAGAAAGTTTCACCGAGTTTCACATTTTCCCATTACAAAAGGAAAATGAGAAAATATGTCCTAGATACTACAGAGAAAAATACTTCATTGTCTTAATTGCCTTTCTATTTCAATCAAGGAAGGCATTTAATTATTTCTGAACTACATTCAAAACTCTCTCTCAAGAATATTACTCTCCCCAGGTGAGTTAACCAAAGCTGTGCACAACATTTCTCAATCTGAATAATAACATCAAAAAATTTATTGAGCACTTTTTATATGCCAAACTAGTCAATTCTTTCTGTTTATGACCTCATTGATTCCTCATGGCAAGTTTATGAAGTGGAAGCAATCATTCTCTCTTCTAACAAATGAGGAAACTGAGGCACAGAGGGATGAGATAGTTTGTCTAAGATTGTAAGGCATTAGGTGGTGAAGTCAGCATTGGATCCCAGGCCAAGCCCGAGGCCATCACTCCACCATGCTGCCTCTCAAGAGAAAGATTCAGTTTCCCCTTTGAGATATCCATTTATAAGTACATGTGCCAAAGCAATGTGAAGAAACCAACCCAGATGACTTGATTAAGCTACAGAAGGGACATCTGGGGTCTCAAGCCTCTGGAAATCAAGGTGGAGCATGTAGAGGTTATGGGATCAGGAGAGACAGAGTTTGACTTCTTTGTTTTTTCTTTGAGACCAAGTCTTGCTCTGTTGCCCAGGCTGGAGTGCAGTGGTGTGATCTTGGCTCAATACAACCTCCACCTCCTGGGTTCAAGTGATTCTCCTGCCTCGGGCTACTGAGTAGCTGGGATTACAGGCGCACGCCATCAGGCCGGCTAATTTTTGTATTTTTAGTAGACACGGGGTTTCACCATGTTGGTCAGGCTGGTCTCGAACTCCTGACCTCGTGATCCACCTGCCTCGGCCTCCCAAAGTGCTGGGATTACAGGCATGAGCCACCGTGCCCGGCCTGGGTTTGACTTCTTAAGCAACCTGAGGAATGATGTCCTTGCTGCTGAGCACAGCTGCCCTGGGCCCTGGAAAACCCACATGACACTCACTCAGCACCCAATGCTGGCTTCATTGTGGCTGTTGGAAACCATGTGGAAAAGAAATAACTTTTTTTGTGATCTGTACGTTATGGCTATTATTTTTTTACCTCGCTTAGCTTTTCAAGAGAATGAAGACCAGTCGACTTAGTATTTGTACTCTGAAATCGAATGGCATGAACACATGTGTTGTATAAGTGAGAAGAAGTATTCTCTTGTGTGATGGACTATAGCCTTCAGAAAGCACCTACTATTAAACAGAATAGAGATTGGATTTTGAAATATGTAGGCCACATCAGTAGGAAAGTTGACACTTCAAATTGCTCACAAGGACTTTAAACTCTACAATAGGTAAAATGTGGAGTACCTTATGTTTTCAGACCAAATGATTTTGTAATTTGAATTCAAAATTTTTTTAGTCTTCACAGTAGTCTTAGCATTAAAAGCATAGTTATTTTTAATATTTTGATAAAATATTCTATTTCATTAATTTTGTATAAGGGCATGTGTGAGAAGCATTGATATTTTTAAAATATAAAAATACAGCCTCTTTCTAATAAGCAAGAGCAATTGTTGATTTTTAAATTTTGTGTTTTTGGAGGCTTCCATTCACAAATCTGATTGTTTAAATAAATCTGTCTCCAGTAAATATGTTGGCACTTAGACTACGACTTCAGTTTCTTATGTTAAGATTTGTGGACTTCATACTGTCTTGAGATGTGCAAACGATTGTTGTTAAATAAGGACTTGGATAATATTCTTAAATAACTAGAATTAGATAAGGAATCTAAGCAAAGTTAATTTCCCCTTCCTTTTCCTTGATGCTAGTCCATAATCATATGCATAGTACTTCACATGCAGTTAAGCACTCAAATTCCATTATGTTGTGGGGATATCATGCCAACTTGGATATACTCAAGAATGTGAAAGACCAAAAATAGTATCATTGAGCTTCTGGTTTCCAGCCATGGCAGCTAGGTCATTCAAATCAACCCTCTACTACCAACATACACACACACACACACACACACACACACACACACACACACACGTCAAAATAAGTTTGAACTCTCCTGAAAAGGACTGAAAAGAAAAAAACAACAGTCGGAAATTCCCAGGACAATTTGAGGGGACAGATTTGTAACCAGAAAAAGGACTGGAATATCAGACACGAAACCAATTAGGCCTGAAAGCATTTCTGGTTATCGTTCACTTGGGCTCTGCTCAGGGGCTGTATGGGGAGAGGCAGCAAAGGTCAGGACTCAAAGCCATCCAAGGTGGGAAATTTTTAGGAGACCTCCTCAAATTAAGCTAGGATTTCAATGAGAATCCACAGAACCAACAGAAGGCAGAAACATCTGCACTCCACTCCTGTATTGAAAGTATCATACAGACTGAAATATCACCATAGTTAACCATGTGTAAAGAAGTAAATGACAAACTCTACAATATCTGCAGGAAACAGAAAAACTATAAAATTTGTCATACCAGATTTGAAAAAAAAATTTTATAAATAAAGACTAAAATAATGTTAACAATTCAGTGAATGGATTCAACAGCAGATTGGATAAGAGAGAACTAATGAATGGAAAGATAAATTAAACTATCCAACCGAAACATGGAGAAGGAAAAATAAAAACGAGAGTAAGACACAAGGAGGATATAGTGAGAAATCTAACATTGTGTCCTTGGGAGGAGAGGAAAGAGAAGATGAGGTGCAGGAAATGTTTGGAGAGAAAATGGCTGAGAATTTTCCAGAATCGAAGGAACATGTTAAATCTATAAATTGAGGAGATCCAGAGAACCCCAAGCAAGTAAAATAAAATCTGCAACTAGATGCACTATAGTAAAATTGCAGAAAAACAAAAGTAAATAGAAAAATATTTAAAACAGCCAGAGGGAAAAAAGATAAGCTACTTTTTTGTGTGTGTGTGAGACGGAGTCTCGCTCTGTCACGCAGGCTGGAGTGTAGTCGCGCAATCTCGGCTCACTGCAAGCTCCGCCTCCCAGGTTCACGCCATTCTCCCTCCGAGTAGCTGGGACTGCAGGCGCCCGCCACCACGTCCGGCTAATTTTTTTGTATTTTTAGTAGAGACGGGGTTTCACCCTGTTAGCCAGGATGGCCTTGATCTCCTGACCTCGTGATCCTCCCGCCTCCGCCTCCCAAAGTGCTGGTGAGAGGTGACAGCATGCTGGCAGCCCTTGCAGCCCTCGCTCGCTCTCGGCGCCTCCTCGACCTTGGCACCCACTCTGGCCGCGCTTGAGGAGCCCTTCAGCTCGCTGCTGCTCTGTAGGAGCCCCTTTCTGGGCTGGCCAAGGCCGGAGCCGGCTCCATCAGCTTGCGGAGAGGTGTGGAGGGAGAGGCGCGGGCAGGAACCGGAGCTGCACGCGGCGCTTGCGGGCCAGCGTGAGTTCCGGGTGGGCGTGGGCTCGGCGGGCCCCGCACTCAGAGCGGCGGGCCCGCCTGCAAGCCCTGGGCAGTGAGGGGCTTAGCACCTGGGCCAGCAGCTGCTGTGCTTGATTTCTCACCTGGCCTTAGCTGCCCCCGCAGGGCAGGGCTCGGGACCTGCAGCCTGCCATGCATGAGCCTCCCCCCACCTGCCATGGGCTCCTGCGCAGCCCCAGCCTCCTGGAGGAGCACCGCTCCCTGCTCCACGGCACCCAGTCCCATCGACCGCCTAAGGGCTGAGGAGTGCGGGTGCAGGGCGCATGGGACTGGCAGGCAGCTCCACCTGTGGCCCTGGTGCGGGATCCACTGAGTGAAGCCAGCTGGGTTCCTGAGTCTGGTGGGGACTTGGAGAACCTTTATGTCTAGCTAAGGGATTGTAAATACACCAATCAGCACTCTGTATCTAGCTCAAGGTTTGTAAACACGCCAATCAGCACCCTGTGTCTAGCTCAGGGTTTATGAATGCACCAATCGGCACTCTGTATCTAGTTAATCTGGTGGGGACTTGGAGAATCTTTATGTCTAGCTAAGGGATTGTGAATGCACCAATCGGCACTCTGTATCTAGCTCAAGGTTTGTAAATGCACCAATCAGCACTCTGCGTCTAGCTCAGGGTTTGTATGTAAATACACCAATGGACACTCAGTATCTAGCTAATCTAGTGGGGGGACATGGAGAACTTTTGTATCTAGCTCAGGGATTGTAAACCCACCAATCAGCACCCTGTCAAAACAGACCATTCAGCTCTCTGCAAAACAGACCAATCGGCTCTCTGTAAAATGGACCAATCAGCAGGATGTGGGTGGTGCCAGATAAGAGAATAAAAGCAAGCTGCCCAAGCCAGCAGTGGCAAGGGTCTGGAGTCCACTTCCACACTGTGGAAGTGTTGTTCTTTCACTTTTCCCAGTGAATCTTGCTGCTGTTCACGCTTTGGGTCCACACTGCCTTTATGAGCTGTAACACTCACCGCAAAGGTCTGCAGTTTCACTCCTGAGCTAGTGAGACCAGGAACCCACCAGAAGGAAGAAACTCCGAACACATCCGAACATCTGAAGGAAAGCGCTGTCTTTAAGAACTGTAACACTCACGGCGAGGGTCCGTGGCTTCATTCCTGAAGTCAGTGAGACCAAGAACCCACCAATTCCTGACACACAGATTAGAGGCATGAGCCACCGCGCCCAGCCTGATAAGTAACTTTTTAAAGAATGGCAATTAGAATGATTCCAACGAAGAGCTAGCTCTTCTCTCAGCAGCAGTAATGGTAGAGAGAAGATAGTGAAATGGTGTCTTAAGTGTACCAAAATAAAATCGTTGCCACATAGAATTCTACACCCAGTGAAAGTGAAACTAAACCTGACAGAATTTGTTGTCAGCAGATTCTCACTACAGAAAATCACTTGCTGTACCTAGGCAGGAAGACAATGACACCGGAAAGAAGATCTGAGATGCATCAAACTTTGTGGAACAAAGCAAGTAGGTAATGTGGGTAAACAAAATAAGCATCGACTGTATAAAATAGCAATGAGAATTTCTAGTGGGGAAAAGGGGGGATTGATTAAAGTACTGGACAACAAAAGCATATGAGTTTGAAGAAGGGAAATACAGAAATAATAAAAGGTTCTTCTTTGTGGTTTCCCTGTGTTCCACGTTTGTCCAGGAAGGGAATAACATTCTGATCACTTGTAAACTTTGGTACACTAATTATGGAGGTTGGAATTTCTAGGATTAGTTTCCTACCCCTGCCATAACAGAGTACCACAAACTGGGGGACTTAAACAACAGAAATATATTCTTTCATAGTATCAGAGGCTAGAAGTCCAAAATCAAGGTGTTGGCAGGGCTATGTTCTCTCTGAAGGCTCTTGGGAAGAAGCCCTCTTTGCTTTTTCTAGCCTCTAGTAGTCTCAGGCATTCCTTGGCTTGTGGCAGTATTACTCCAATCTCTGACTCTGTCTTCACTGGGCTATCTTCCCCATATGTCACTGCCATCTCCTCTTACTAGGACGCCAGCCATATTGGATTAGGTTGCACCCTGATGACCTCATCTTAATTTGATTACATCTGCAAGACCCTATTTCAAAATAAGGTTACCGAGTGGAGGTGGGAGGTTAAGTCTTCAGTGTATCTTTTGGAGGGAAACAATTCAATCCATAATATAAGGTAACAACTACACATTATAGAACTAGCGTGTGTTACTTCCAAATGAGTAGGGGAAATTTCAGCAGTCCCTCCTTATCCCAGGTTTCACTTTCCTGCGTTTCAATTACCCAGGGTCAACCATGATCTGAAAATAGGCAAGTATATGTCTCTAAAAGAACCATTGAGTTAAAAAAAAATTGAAGAAAATAGATGAGTATAGTACAATAAGATATTCTGAGAGAGACCACACTCACATAACTTTCATTACCGTATGTTGTTATAATTGTTCTATTTTATTATTAGCTATTGTTGTTCATCTCTTATTGTGCTTAATTTATAAATTAAACTCTATCATAGGTAAGCATATATAGCAAAAAACATAGTATTGATAGGGTTTGGCACTATTAGCAGTTCCAGTCATCCACTGGGTGTCTTCAAAAGTATGTCCTGTGAATAAGGTGGGACTACTGTAATGGAATAATGATAAATATTCAGGATTAAAAATCATAATGATGCCAGGAGCGGTGGCTCACACCTGTAATCCCAGCACTTTGGGAGTCAAAGCAGGCAGATCACTTGAGGTCAGGAGTTCGAGACCAGTCTGGCCAATATGGCGAAACCCTGTCTCTACTGAAAATACAAAAATTATCTGGGCTTGGTGGTGGACACCTGTAATCCCAGCTACTCGGGAGGCTGAGACGGGAGAATCGCTTGCACCTGGGAGGCAGAGGTTGCAGTGAGCCAAGATCGCACTACCACTGTAGTCCAGCTTGGACTACCAAGTGAGACTCTGCCTCAAAAACAGTAATAATAATAATAATAATGATATCAAAACCTAACAAAAACAGTGTAAGAGAAGAATATAGGTTAATCCTATTCATTAACCTAGATTTTTAAAAATTTAAACAAAATATTAACAAATTGAATTCACAATATACAGGAAGGACAATAGCTCATGAACAAGTAGAATTTATCCTTTGATTTTAAGGTTGATGTAACATAATGAAAAGCAAGTAATTCACCACATTAATAGGTTAAAAGAGGAAAATCATATTGTCTTCATCACAATAGAAGCAGAAAAAAGTTGTTAATGTAGATAATAATAGTACATACTACTTAGCTTTATTGTGATGATAAAATGAATCTTTATCTAGTAATTAGTGCCTGGCATGTAGTAAACACTCAATAAAATCTTATATATAATCACTATTTATAAACTCTAACAGGCATTTTACACACATGTACAGAAGATACCCAAATGGCTAACCACACATAAGAAGGTGCTCAACTGTATTACAATTCAGGCAAATACAAAATAAAACCAGAGTAAGATAGTCTTATACCTATCAAACAGGCAAAAGTTAGGCTGGGTGCGATGGCTCATGCCAGTAATCCCAGCAATTTGGGAATATGAAGTGGGAGGATTGCTTGAGCCCAGGAGTTAGAGACCAGTCTGGGCAACCACGGGGAGACCCCATCTTTACAAAAAAAATTTTTTTTTAATTAGCTGGATGTGGTGGCACATGCCTATGGTCCCAGATCTTCAGGAGACTGAGGCAGGAGGATCACTTGAGCCCAGGAGGCTGAGGCTGCAGTGAGTCTGTCTGGGTCACAGAACAAGACCGTGTTTCAAAAAAAATAGTCAAAAGTTTAAAAGACTGACAATGCAAGTGTTACTTAATACATGTGAGAACTCTCATACACTGTTAATAAGTACAACCACTTTGGAACCAAGTCTGACATTATTTACAAAATATTTTACCCTATAATCTAGAAATTTCACCTCTAGGTATATACTCTACAGAAATGCCATTAAATCACCTAACATGTCAGGGATATATCTTACTTGGTCGTAGTGTATAATCCTATTTATATATTGCTAAATTCAAATTTCTAATATTTTGTTGAGAATGTTTGTATCTATGTTCATGAAGGAAATTGGTCTGTAGTTTTCTTTTCCAGTGAGGTCATTGTCTGGTTTTGGTAACAGGGTAATAGTGACTTCATCAAGTGAGTTCAGAAGTGTTCCCTCCCCCCTCTATTTTTGGAAAAAGTATTTGAAGGATTGGTATTATTTCTTTAAATATTTGATTGAATTTACCGGTAAAATCATCTGGTTCTGGACTATTCTCTCTGGAAATATTTTTTAATTGCTAATTCAATTTCTTTTAAATTCAAATATTTGAGGTTTACTCAGACTTTTTAAATTGCTAATTCTTCTTTTTATAATGTTTTGGAATGCATTGAGTTTATACAGGTGTAATGATGTGTTGAAATCTTGTGTTCTCCAAGGAAGCTTCTTTTTAAAAAAATTATGGTAAAACTGCATAACATAAAATTTACCATCTGAGTCATTTTTAAGTGTACAGTTCAGTAGTGTTAAGTACAGTCAAACTTGTGCAACCAATCTCCAGAACTATTTTCATCAAACTGAAACTCTATACCACTAAACATCTCCCCATTCTCCCCTCCTCCCGCAACCACCATTCTACTTTCTGTGTCTATAAATTTGACTAATCTAGGCACCTCATACAAGTGGAATCATATAGCGTTTGTCTTTTGTTTTTGAGGCAGAGTACCCCTCTGTCATGCAGGCTGGAGTGCAATGGCACAATCTTGACTCACTACAACCTCTGCCTTCTGCGTTCAAGTGATTCTCATGCCTCTGCCACCCAAATAGCTGGGATTATATGTACACACCACCAGGCCCAGCTAATTTTTTTGTACAGACAGAGTTTCACCATGTTGACCAGGCTGGTCTTGAACCCCTGACCTCAAGTTATCCATCTTCCTCGGCCTCCCCAAATGCTGGGATTACAGGTGCGAGCCACCGCACCCAGCTGTGTTTGTCTTTTTTGTGACTGAAGTAAGTTCAGAGTTTATTTATGTGGTAGCGTGTGTCAGAATTTCCTTCTTTTTCAAGGTTGAACAATATTCCATTACATGTGTACACCACATTTGTTAATTCATTCACTTGTCAATGAATGCTTGGGTTGCTTCTACCTTATGGCTATTGGGAATAATGCTGCTATGAACATAAGTGTTCAATTTCTTCACTTCTAATCTATCCATATTTTCTATTTCTTAGTGTTTGTAATTTACATTTTTCAAGGAATGTTCTCATTTCATCTAAGTTGTCTAATTTGTTGGTATAAAGTTATTCATAATATTTTCATATAATCCTTTTAATTCCCACAGTGTTGGTAATAACGTCCATTCTTTAATTTCTGATTTTAACAATCTGTATCTTCTATTTTCTTTTCTTTGTCAGACTTGCTGAGAATTTGCCAATTTTCTTAATATTTTCAAAGAACCAACTTTTGGTTTCACTGATTCTCTTTATGGGATCCACTGATTTCTGCTCTAATATTTTTTCTCTCCTTTTGCTTATAGTTTCTTAAGGAGGAAGTTTAGATTACTGATTACCTTTAGATTACTTTTGTTCTTTTCTGATATAGACATTTAGAGCTAAAATTTTCCTTCTAAGTGCTTATTTAATGCAATCCATACATTTTCTATGCTGTGTTTTCATTATCATTTAGTTCAAAGTATATTTTAATTTCCCTTGTGATTTCTTCTTTGACTCATGGGCTATTTAAAAGTGTGTTGTATAATTTCCAAATATTTGAGTTTTACTCAGAATTCTTACTGTTGTGGATCCCTAAACCTAATTTAATTCTGTTGTGATCAGAGAACAAACTTTAGATGATTTCAAACTTTGAAAATTTGTTGAGATTTGTTTATGGATACAATATATGATTTATCCTGGAGAATGTTCCATGTGCACTTGAAAATAATATGTATTCTGCATTTATTGAGTTGTTTGTTCTATAAATATTGGTTAAATTGATTGATAGTGTTGTTCAGGTCTTAGTGTTGTTCAGGTCTTCCATATGCTTCTTGTTTTTCTTTCTATTTGTTGTATCAATTATTGAGGGTGAAATCTTCAACTATTATTGTTAAATTGTTTACATCTCCTTTTAATTCTGTCAAATTTTGCTTTATGTGTTTTGAAGCTCTATTATTTGGTGCATAGAGATTTATAATTGTTATATTTTCTGAATGTATTACCATTTTATTATTATAACATGTCCTTTTGTCTCTGATAATATTTCTTATTTTAAAGATTATTTTGTCTGATAAAAGCCATTCCAACCCTATGGTTAATGTTTACATGGTATATTATTTCCATCCTTTTCTTTTAACCTATTTGTGCCTTTGAACCTAAAACAGATCTCTTATAGATAGCATATAATTGGCTCTTGCTTTTTCATTCAGTCTGACAATCTCTGCCTTTTGAGTGGAGTATTTAGTGAGTGTTTAGTCCAATCATGTTTAATGTAACTGTTGATAATCTTTGCATTTATGTTAGCCATTTTGCTGTGTGTTGTTTGTCTCATGTATTTCCTTTGTTCCTGCTTTACTGCCTCCTTTTGTGTTAAATAAATATTTTTAATGTGTCATTTTTAATTCCTCTGTGTACATTTTACTATATGTCATTTAGGTGTTTTCTTAGTGGTTGTATTAGGGTTTACAATATGCACTTCAACTTATCACAATCTACTTCAGAATAATACTAAGTCATTTCTGGTAAAATATAGAAACATTGCTCTAATACAGGGGTTTCCAATTTTTTGACTTCCCTGGGCCACATTGGAAGACAAAGTGTCTTGGGCCACACATAAAATCCAATAACACTAATGATAGCTAATGAGCTTTAAAAAAATTCCATGCATAAATCTCATAATGTTTTAAGAAAGCTTACAAATTTGTGTTGGGCCACATTTAAAGCCATCCTGGGCTGTATGTGGCCCACAGACCATGGGGTGGATAAGCTTGCTCTAATATATCTCTTTTTTCCCCCTTCATTAGTGCTATTATGTTGTATAGATTATGTCTCTACATTAACTCTATACAACTAGATTGTTATAAGTATTGCCTTATACAGTCTTGTATCATTTAAAGAAATTAAAAGAAAAATGAGAAAAACTTATTTCTAGAGACTTTTACAATTTCCCACATATTTGTTATTTCTGACATTCTTCGCTTATTCTTTAGGATTACAGCTATTTTCTGTTGTCACTTTTTTTCAGCCTAACAGACCTTTTCTGTATTTTTGTAAAGCAGCTCTGCTAGTGAGGAATTCTTTCAATATTCATTTATTTCCGGAACATCTTTATTTTTGTATTCACTTTTGAAGGATAATTTTGTTTGATGTAGAATTCTAAGTTTGCAGGCTTTTAAAAAATTTTCCTATCAGCACTTTGAATATAGCTTTCTACTGCTTTTCTGGCCTCCATTCTTTCTGATAGGAAATCAGATGTTACTAGGATTCTTGTTCCTCTGTGTTGTGGGGTTTTTTTATGTTTTTGAGATTTTCTCTTTGTATTTATTTTTCAACAGGTTAATTCTGAGGTGTCTAAGGAGGATCTTTTTGTGTATATCCTACTTGAAATTCTTTGAAGTTCTTGGATCTGTACATTAATATATTTTCATCAAATTTGAAATGTTTTTGGCCATTACTTTTAGGTGTTTTTCTATCTCATTTTCCTTTCCATCTCTTTCTGAGACTCCCATTACACCTAGGTTGGTACATTTAATATTATTCCACAGGTCTATAGGATTGTCTATTTCTCTTTCATCTTTTTTCTCCCTATTTTTCAGATTCGGTAATTTTCACTGCTCTCTTTTCAAATTCCTGGTTCTTTCTTTCTTTCTTTTTTCTTTTCTTTTTTTTTTTAAGGTCTCACTCTGTCACCCTGGCTGGTGTGCAGTGGTATGATCTCAGCTCACTGCAACCTCTGTCTCTCAGGTTCAAGCAATTCTCCTGCCTCAGCCTCCCGAGTAGCTGAGATTACAGGCGCATGCCACCATGCCTGGCCACTTTTTTTTGTATTTTTAGTAGAGACAGAGTTTCACCATGTTGGCCAGGCTGGTCTTGAACTCCTGGCCCGAAGTGATCTGCCTGTCTCAGCATCCCAAAGTGTTGGCATTACGGGCGTGAACCACCACGTTCAGCCCTAGTTCTTTCTTTTGCTAGCTCAGAATTACAGTTAAGCTTCTGTAGTAAACTTTTCATTTCAGTTAGAATTTTTAACTTCAGAATTTTCATTTGTTTTAAATAATTTTTGTCTCTTTATTGAGATTCTCTATTCAGTCATTGTTGTCATGTTTTGCTTCAATCTTTAAAAATTGTTTTCTTCAGCTCTTTGAACACATTTATAATAGCTACTTTGAAATTTTTGTCTTCTAAATTCATTATCTGGAAACACTCAGAGACAGTTTCAGTAGACTCAGTTTGGTCATCCTTTTGGTTTCTTTATATGCCTTGTAATTTTATATTGAATATTGAACATCTTAGCTAATACTGCAGCCACTCTGGATTGTGATTTTTTCCTCCTAGAGTTGTTTGTTTGTTTGTTTGTTTGTTTGTTTTTTAACTTAGTAACTTGCCTGGGCTAAATCTATAAAGCGTGTGGCCACTGTTGACTTTGATCAGTTTTTATCTTTGTTTACATTTTAAAGCCTGGATGCCTAGGAATTGCCCTTGACAGCTTAGAGTTCAGGTTAAGAATGGTCAGCAACAGCACTCAAACCCCTCAAGCCAGTGAGGCTTTCACTCTTTGCTAATGGGCTATGTGTGGAGTGGGGAGTACATTCAAAACTTAGGAAGTTTTTAAGTCAGGCTTGACTTTTATTTTCTGTTGGGCTTTCTTATTTCTCTTCTGTTCATGTGTGCAGGTTCTATTGGCCAGGCATGTGTGAATGGCCTGGGTTCAAGCTTATCTCTGTAGCACATGAGCACAGCCTCTCGTCAACACAGGATATGTGGGGAGATTACCAAGCCCCTGGGGCTATCTCATATCTGTGCGTCCCTGTTAAATCCCTGGAAGCCTCTCGGTCCACCGCTTGTCCCAAATAGGGCCATAATCTCAGACTAGCAGAGCTGCTGGCTCTCCCTATCCACTTGTTACTAAGATTGCCACTTTAACTGACAACATTCCAAATCAAGGAGCACCTTCTGGCAGCAGCAACAAGGCTGTGGGTCTCCATGACCTGGCCCCCGCTGGTTGAACTACCACCACAGAACTGGCAGGCGGGGAGGGAGGGGATGGGAGCAGCCTGGGCAACACCACCACAGACTCATGCTGTTCTTACCCAAACTTCAGGACATTTCATCAGTTTGTGGTATGCTTTTGGTCAACTTTCAGAGCACTGAAATTGTTGGTTTTGAAGTTTTGACCAACTTAATAGTTGCTTTTTGAGGACAGAATTTCTCTGCCTTCTCATTCCATCATGCTGGAAGTTGAAAGTTTAAAATCATTTTTTCTATGTGCTTCTCTGCATGAAAATTAGTGAAATAATTATACTAATTATTATTACATAATTATTTCGCTAATTATTGTAAAAATAATTATTTATAAACATTTATTTATAAAATAATCATATGTATAATTATATGTACTTATACTAATTATACATATAATTAGTATAATTTTTTAAAAATAATTATAAATAGTTTTATAGGTAATTATATAATTATTTTCACTAATAATTAGTAAAATAATTATGCAGATAAGTACATATAGTATACTAAATATATGTGAAATAATTATTGTAATCAGTATTTCCACTAATATAAATAAATATATACTTATATAATAGATAATAATATTATATAATATAATAATAATGTACTAATTATAATATAATTACATAATAGATTATTTTAAATAATTATATGAAGTAATTATTAGTGAAATAATTATTGTGCAGATAAGTGCATATAATACAATTCCATTTATATCTAGTTCTAACTGCGACAAAACTAAACTATATGGTTTAGGGATGAGTGTACAGGTGATAATACTATAAAGAAAAGCAAGTAAATGATTATCATGTAAGTGAAGATAGTAGTCACCTCTAGGGGAAGAAGGGGTTTTGATTGGAAATGGATACATGAAGTGCAAAGATCGTTTCTTGGATTCCAGTACTATTCTGTTTTTTGACTTGGGTAGTGGTTAACAAATCCTCACTTTAGAGCCATCTCTTCAACCGTGCATATAGTCTAATGCATGTTTCTCCTTGCATATTATATATTACACTAAAAAGTTGTATAAAACATGTTAATTTGTTAATTTATTTAATTAATAAATATTTATTGGGCAACTTTAGTCTAAAAGGCACAATTCTAGGCAAGAAGTATATACAGTAATACAAAGACAGAGAAGGTCTCTGTTCTCATGGAACTTAAAGCTTAGTTTCATGGGAAAGATAGACAAAAAGTAAACCCCAAAAAAGTAATTTCATATTGCAATAAAGAGTATGCAGGGTGGCAGACAGAGAGAAGCATTGAGTACGAGGGCCTTGAGCTTGATTTGTCCGATTAGGTCTCATCTAGAAGATGAAATTTGAGCTGAGAACTGAAGGGTGAAATAGAGTCAGGCATGTAAGGATTTGGGGCAAGCGCAACCCAGCAAAATAAAATAGCTAGTTCAGAGCTCCCAAAAATATCTAGAGAAGGAGAGAGCAACTTGCAAAGAGAGTTTGACTTGCAAGCTGACATCAAACATCTGAAAGACGTGCTTTGGATGAGCTCAAGAATGTGTAGCCAGGATCAGTAGAGGAAAGCCATGAAGGGTGTGGGTGGCTGAGCTCTCTTCAAGGAAAGGCAGGATTTGCAACCACCAGATCTTCTCAAGAGGCTACTTGAAGAGTCAGCACAGCCAATATCACTGAAAGTGATTCTCACTCTCTTGGTAAGGTAGTGGCCACATGTTTTTTGGCCATTCTCTTTCCCTTGGGGAACAGCCCTCAATTTTCCCTGTGAAGAATTACCTCTCCTCTATTGTGGCAGCCTTGACTTAAACAGTGACACTGGCCGAAGGGTGGTCACACACCTAAGATTGTCCAGATGGACTTTCTTCCCCAAGACTCTCTTCTCTGCAGTGGTTAAGTATGGGGTTGGGAAGACTATGCAAAGCTGACCACCCCCCGTGGTTGTTTCAATGGCAGCCTTATAATTTCTATGTAGAAGGGATGGGGCTGGCAGTCTGTTGAGGGCAGGATTTGGGGGACCACTTTAACCTATCTTCGTATAGCATTTTGCATAAAGGTAAGAAAGCTCAACTTCTCACACAAAGAATTAGGGTAGGATGGAGGGGTTTAAAGTTCCTCCAAATATCCTCAAATATCTCCTTGGAGTCACCACTGGGTGACACCACTGGTCAGTGCCTGTCACCTAGATCCCCAGAATCTTCATGGTTCCTGAGTCGTCCTAGCCTGGTTCTTCAGCTGCCTTTTTATTTCTGGAGACCCCCTTTCAATAACACAAATACCCTTTTTGGTTTAACTTGCCCAGAGTTGGTTTCTATTACTTGTACCACAGAAGGCTGATAGGGGATGGGGACGGACCCAGGCCCTAGATGAGATGAAGGAATTTTTAAAGCCTCTTTCATTGCTGTGGTTTTAAGATAAGCACAAATATAATTAGGCCTCTCTCATAGGAATCAATAGTTATAGATGTACTGGAAAGACAATACTTGGCTCAGTATCTTAAACAGACATGTTGGCTCTACACACTTGCAAACAATGAAATCAAGTATAATTTGCAGCCCTGGGGATATAGTTCCAGAAAGAGGCTCAAAGTACACTTACCAGTGGTATTCAGAAAGCCACGGAAGGGGACTCTGCCAGAACACCATCGTCCGCAGGCTGATGTCAACACATAATAAAACAATAGAGTGAACATTGGGGGAGGGAGGAATCTGTAACATAAAGAAGATAATGGAATCATCAACACTGATCAGCATCAGGAACAAATGGGGCTGGAGGAAACCTGAAGAATTCTTCAGAAAATCTCAAGTAAGTCTGCCAGCAGAAACTAACCATGCCTCACATTTGATTTCCACTGGTATATTTAGTATATTTCATGAAGTTGTGTAATATCTGCCCACCCTGCTTTGAATTTCAGCATAGTTACAGTGATGAAAACTAACAAAAAACAAACAAAAAACCCCCAAGAGATTCTTACTCTGATTTGGGGGTGGGGCCTGGGGGGTACAGTATAGTTCAACATAATTTGTTATAGAAAAAAAAGTTTCTATTGATTCATAATCAACCTTTTCAATGATGATTTTTTTGGGGGATGTGATCTCTCTGGACTTTTTTTTGGGAAAACATTGTTTCCTGCTAGACAAAGAGCAGTCTGTTTTGAACAGTGAAACTGACCTCTCAGCTTTTGAGTTTCTAATAGCAAATTAAATCTACCTCACCAGGAAAAGAAAATTATGAAGAGGTAACTTTTATAATGCAGGAAATAATTGGTGTATTGATCTTTATGAATTTCCTGATTTCTTTACCTTATAATGGTTTTCCTTAATGGCAACACATGCATTAAGAAAACAAAGCACATTTGATGGAAATTCGTTGTCTTCCCCTTTTTAAATTATTTAGTAACATTGGGCAGCTAAGAAATTGTTTCTGCTTCTATAAAACCCCCTATGCTAATTGTGGCCAGCAAATTAGTAATTATAATAGATGATACAAAGCAGGAAAGGGCTAAACTAATGTTAGGGAGTAAAGAATGCAATTAGATGGCTCAGCCTAACGCATCTTCACTCTGAATCTCTGTGAAGAAGGAAGAAAAAAGCTCTGCACCAAAATTAAAGGGGACTCGTTTTCTGATTGTGTCCTAGGGGATTTGGAGAAAGCTCAAGCAATTTGAAGGATACCCTCAGGTTGTACTCAGCAGAATTCCTGACCTCTGCCACATCCTATCTATCATGAGCCTTTATCAGGAGGAGATGGCACATCACAAGCCATTTGGTGGCACGTAATTGCTTCGACATTGACAGCAGAGGGGTATATATCACCTCCTCTGTTAAAAAGAGAGTGAGTGTTTTAAGTGGAAGAAGACTGAATGTAAAGGCAAATTTAAATAAACATTAAAGGGAAGTTAAACCAATACAAAACTGAAATGGATACCAAAATAAAATGAAAGCTTAAATATATGTTGAAGAAAACATTTAATAATGTATGATTTCTAATCATGCCCTTTAGAAATATTGAAGAATCAAGAATAAGAAAAAAAAAAGAATCTTATAGCTTAGAACAGCTTATAAAAGCATGAGACTGGTTTTGGACGGTACATGAAGTATTGTGGTTGGTTTTGTAAACTGCACAGAGAGAAAGGTCTTCTCAGTCTCAATTCTTCTGCTGACATTGAAAGGAAAGTCTCGGGGCTGGTCTGTCTTCAACTCCTCTTCAACACTGCCAAATCTCCCTTTTAAAAAAAGGAGGAAAAAAGAGTAGACTCATGCTCTGAGCCTTTGGCAAACAATCGCTTGAATTTAATTATATTACGTTGTTTTTATTACATTTATTTTTGTGGTTACCTTTATTTATGGCAAGTGAACTGGTTTCCACTTGTGATGGGCCTATGACATTTTTTTCTTTATTTACATTTTAAAAAGCTGAGTCAACTTAAAAACAAGTACTATATAAATAAAAGCTCTGAGTTTAAAAACAAAACAAAACAGAAAAATCAGTAGTGGGTTCAATGTCGTTGGACAAAAATCTTGTAAGGGGCACTGAAATAATTTTAGTTGAAAAAACATCAGTTTAAAGTCATAGACTACGAGAGCTTGAAGAGACTAAGAGCAGGCAATCCAAGTCTCCTCCACATGTGGAAACCAAGTCCAGAGACGGAGCAGTAACTGCCCGGCTCCCACGGCTTGTAATCGCAGAAACAAGCTTTAAGCCGGCTGCCTCCTTCCTCGTTGCTTTTACCATTATTTAATTTGTAGGCTTCACAAAGGCTATATGTGTTGAAATTGGCTAAATGTGCCCAGTCTAGAAATGAGTCAAAGTCAAGAGGCAGGCCACCAAGGAATTTATGTCTTTACTGATAAAATTTGTGCAACCTGCAAAACCACAGTGACATCTAGTGGTATTCCTTGAAAATGCAACTTTAAAAATATTTTTACATATTTAGAGGGTACAAGCGCAGGTTTCTTACATGCTTAGTAGTGAAGTCTAGGCTTCACTACTGGGTGCCCATCACCCAGATAGCGAACATTGTACACAACAGGTAGTTCTTCAACCCTCACGACCCTCCCACCCTTTCACCTTTTGTAGTGTCCAATGTCTATTCCACTCTGTATGTTCCTGTGTATCCATTGATCAGTTCCCAATTATAAGGGAGAACATGGGGTATTTGACTTTCTGTTTCTGAATTATTTCACTGAGGATAATGGCCTCCAGTTTCATCCATGTTGCTGCAAAAGACATGATTTTATTCTTTTTTATGGCTAAGTAGTATTCCGTGGTATATCTTTACTTCATTTCCTTTATCCAATCCTCCATTGATGGAGACAGTCAGGTTAACTCCATGTCTTTGCTATTGTGCATAGTGCTCTGATAAGCATATTAGTGCAAATATCTTTTTTTATATAATTGTTTCTTTCCCTTTGGGTTTATACCCAGTAGCAGGATTGCTGGATCAAATGGTAGTCCTATTTTTAGTTCTTTGAGAAATCATACTGTTTTCCATAAAGGTTGTATTAATATGCATTCCCACCAACAGTGTATAAGCATTCTCTTTACTTCACATCCTTGCCAACATCTATTGTTTTTAGACTTTTTAATAATTGCTATTCTGTCTGACTGTTGTAAGATAATATCTCATGGTTTACTTTGTGAAAATGCAACTCTTGATGCAACCCTTGACTTAAGCAGGCTTGTCATTAAAAAGGAAACATTGTTTTGTAGAATATCTCGTAGTGTGGGTTTGTCTATTTCCTCATGATTAGATTATTCTTAACAAGAATATCTCAGAGGTGAAGGAGTATCTTCCTTAGTGCATTATGTCAAGAGGTACATGATGAAGGCTTGTTCTATCATTGGCGATGCTAACTTCAGTCACTTGGTTACCGTGTTATCTCCCAGGTTTATCTCCTGTAGAGTTACTGTTCTTCCTTTCTTAATGATTTGAGGGACAATATTTTGAGGCTATATAAGCATCATTTTCCTTTTCAAACTTTCATCCACTAGTTTTAGTATCCATGGATAATTCTTGCCTAAATCAATTATTATTATAATAGTTGCAAAATGATAATTTTCTAATTCTGTCATTCCTTTCTCCATTTTATTAGTTAACATTTTACTCAAAGAGGGGCTTTCCCGATTCGCTTATGCATGTTTGCATTTATTTATTAGAATAAACTCATGAATGCTTACACAATCTACAATCTATGGATCTAGAATTCATGAGTCTATCATGAATAGGTTATATAGTAGATATTATATATCTTTAGATATATTATAGAGTACATATGCATGTATAGATTATGTCTAAATCTATAATCTATTGGTATTGTTATGTATTTCTTTTTAAAAATATAAATGTAGAACATCACACACTGGGGCCTGTTGGGGGTTGGGGGCTAGGGGAGGGAAAACATTAGGAGAAATACCTAATGTAGATGATGGGTTGATGGGTGCAGCAAACCACCATGGCACATGTATACCTATGTAACAAATCTGCACGTTCTGCATATGTATCCCAGAACTTAAAGTATAATAAAATAAATAAATAAAAATATAAACGTTTTGAAAGTCAAAATGGCGTGAAGAATTGTTTCGGATTAAGGAGACCAAAGAGACATGACAACTGAAAACAATGCATAATCCCGGGGTCAATTCTGCAAGGGACCTCAGGGGAGGCGCTGCAAACTGAAGGACATTATTGCGATGATGGGTGAAAGCTAAATAATTCTGTGAAGTAGATACTGCAGATTAAATAATAATACTGTACCTGTGTTACATTGTTTGGTTTTGATCATTTTACTGTAGTTATGTAAGAAAATGTCTTGCCTTAGGAAATACACACTGAAATATTTAGGGTTAAAAGGGCATTACATCTGCGGCTTATGCTCAAGTGGTTCAAAAATAATAGTGTGAGAGTGTGTGTGTGTATTGTGAAGAAATACAATCAAATACATCCTATTGTAATAGGATAATCAAATGTTGCAAAATGTTAACAACTGGTGAATCTGGGTGAAGGGTACATAAAAGTTCTAGCAACTTCTGTAAATTTGAAATTAAATCAAAATAAAAGTTACAAAAAAAGGTAAAATAAGATTTTAAAGAATTTTAAATTGTCTTTTTTTTTAAAAAAAAAAAAAAAAAGAGCAAAATAAACAAGTAAACTTGCACCTAGAAGCTTGAGAATGTCAAAGTCCTGTTAAGTTTCTTTCCACTGCTGCATACAGTTTGAGATAAAGTGCCGCTCTTTTCATTAGGGAATTACCTTGCTAGTCAAGGAAATCTATTATAAATTACTAGTTCAAATTCCCTAGATGCCTGAAAAATTCCTCAAAGGTACACACAATTTTATAAAAATTCACACATTTAATGTCATCACATACAGAAAACTGGCTATCCAGGTTGGGTCCTGGCATTGAACCCAACCAACCAACCATCTATGTTTGGACTAGAGGAAGCTGGCGATGAACAAATAAACAAAAGCTCCTCTGAAATATAATTATCCTCATCTTAAAAGGAAAAGAAACTGGAGTGCTGGCGAGGATGCAGTGGTGAGAGTGAGTCACTGGATCTGGAGTCGCTTCTTAAGGTGGTGCACCAGCCCTACCCACGACCTCATGGTTGTGAGTATGTGTCTAGCCTCCTCTCTCATGATTCCCCCTCTCTGCCCTCTTTCCTTAGCCTCTTCCACCCGCTAAGGAAACTGGAGTGCTGGCCAGGATGCAGTTGAGAGAGTGAGTCACTGGATCTGGGGGGGGGGGGAATTTGATGCAAAAGGGAATGAATTGGTCACCAGCAAAACGTCAATTGACAGGTAATGTGTATTGCATATCCTTAGGTTGTTCTCCTTCATAATAAGCCTGCTGTATGTATTAATAGGCACACTGCTACATACGCCTTGAAAATAAAGGAAATTGAACAGAACTTGGTACCAGGTGTGAACTGAGCGACACAGCACCCTCCCAGACATGACATTTAGGGTGGTGTGGGGTTAGTTTTCCTTAGATCACATGATTGTGATGCAGAGACTCTTTCCTGCCCTCCGGGAGCTGCCCTGCCCAGTTCCACTTCACTCTGCCAGGCCTAGAGCTCCTGCTCCTCTGTCTCTGTGTTCCTTGCTGTCTCTTCTAGGAAGCAAACATTGTATAGAGAAGAAAAGCAACAATAAAAAATATCTGGGCTGGGCGCAGTGGCTCATGCCTGTAATCCAGCACTTTGGGAGGCCGAGGCGGGTGGATCATTTGAGGTCAGGAGTTGGAGACCAGCCTGGCCAACATGGTGAAACCCCGTCTCTACTAAAAAGTACAAAAATTAGCGGGTGTGGTGGTGTGTGCCTGTAATCCCAGCTACTTGGGAGGCTGAGGCAGGAGAATTGCCTGAACCCATGAGGCGGAGGTTGCAGTGGGCTGAGATCACACCACTGCACTCCAGCCAGGGCGACAGAGTAAAACTCCATCTCAAAAAAATAAAATAAAATAAAATTTTATATATATGTGTGTGTGTGTATATATATGTGTATATATGTGTATATATATGTGTATATATGTATATATATGTGTGTATATATATATGTGTATATATATGTGTGTGTGTGTGTGTATATATATATATATATAGACTTTGGAGTTACATAGCTGTGTGTTAGAATCACAGTTCTGGAACTTACTAGTTGTGTGGTCTGTGGGGTTAATGTATTTAACCATGCAAACTTCAATTTCCTCGCCTGTAGGATGAGGGCTATTTTGAGTATATATTCTAGACCTGGCACTTATAAGGGATGACTGTACAATAGGTCCTGGGCAAAGCATTGTGGATCATGGAGGATGTCTGGTCCCTGAGCATCCTCCTCTCTTACCTTGACTGCCACAGTCTCTTGACTGATCTCTGGCATCCACTCGCGTCCTCCTTCCTGTCCATTGTCCACCCAATAGCAGTGTGAGTTTACTGAAAGGCAAATCTTCAGCACCAAGTCCAAACTTCTTAAGGTGGTGTACCAACCCACCCATGACCTCATGGTTGTGAGTATGTGTCTAGCCTCCTCTCTCATGATGCCCCCTCTCTGCCCTCTTTCCTTAGCCTCCTCCAGCCTCTAAGCTCTAGTGCTGTCCAATAGACTTTTCTGCAATAATGGACATATTCTGTATCTGTAAAGTCCAAAGTCATCACTGATCACATGTGCCCATTGGGCATGTGAAATGTGGCTAATGGGACTGAAGGACTGAATTTTTAATTTTTGAAACATTTTTAATTCAAATGTAAAAAGCCATATGAGGAGTGGCTGCCATAGCGGACAGAGCAAACACGTAAAACTTCTTCAAGTCTCCAACCAGCTATGTTCTCTCTTGCCTCTGGGTCCTTGCGTCACTGTTCTCACTCATGTAAATACTTCTTCATCCTTTATGTCTCAGCCTACATGTCACATGCTATATGCGTTCATATGATAGGATGAGATGTATATAAGCTCTGCCACTGACAAATTTTCAACCAGTAAACATTCATTGGTGCAAGTAAGGCTGTGCCTCAGGGAAATAACCCATTAATTGTACCTTTTGCTTTCTACCAACAGATGTGCAGGGTATTTTTCCCTCTGCCCTTGTTTGTTCATTAATCCATGGTAGGGGACACCAATGGATGGTCACAGTTATGATTCCTCCCATCAATGTGTTTTGCTTGGTTTTCATAGCATTTTTAATTATTTATTTTTGGAGACAGAGTCTCATTCTGTCACCCAGGCTGGAGTACAGTGGCGTGATCTCAGCTCACTGCCACCTCCACCTCCTGGGTTTAAGTGATTCTCCTGCCTTAGTCTCCTGAGTAGCAGGGATTACAGGTGCCCACCACCACACCCAGCCAATTTTTGTATTTTTAGTAGAGATGGGGTTTCACCATGTTGGCCAGGCTGGTCTCAAACTCCTGATCTCAAGTGATCCACCTGCCTCAGCCTCCCAAAGTGATGGGATTACAGGGGTGAGCCAACGTGCCTGGCTGGCTTTCGTAACATTTTTTTAAATGGAGCCAACATTTTAAATGGAAAAGACTTCACTAAACATATGGATTGGGTTCCTGGATGATCTGGAAAAAAAAAATCAGTACATCTAACCACACTGGACCCATATCCGTTTCTGTTCAGTGATAAGCAGCTGACTCATTCCAATATGGTAGCCACTAGGCACATATAGCTACTTAAATATAAGTTAATAAAAATGAACTAAAATGTAAAATTCTTCAGTCTCACTAGCCACACTCAACTGCTTGATAGTCACATGTGGCTAATGGCTAATGTATTGGACAGGATAGATGCAAAACATTTTCTTTTCTTTTCTTTTTTTTTTTTTTTTTGAGATGGAGTTTCACTCTGTTGCCCAGGCTGGAGTACAGTGGCATGATCCATGATCTCGGCTCACTACAACCTCTGCCTCCTGGGTTCAAGTGATTCTCCTGCCTCAGCCTCCCGAGTAGCTGGGATTACAGGCATCCGCCACCACACCCGGCTAATTTCGTATTTTTAGTAGAGATGTGCTTTTACCATGTTGGCCAGGTTGGTCTTGAACCCCTGGCCTCAGGCAATCAACCCGCCTTGGTCTCCCAAAGTGCTGGGATTACAGGCATGAGCCACCGCACCCAGCTGCAAAACATTTTCATCACAGCAGAATTTCTGTTGATCCGTACCCCTGGAGGGTAGTTGGGGAGGGCTGCTTCCTGCAAGTGGAGCAAGTGCTCTTCAAGTCTCTGTGGTCCTCAGCTGGCCTCCTTTACCCCCTTATGTCATCTACCTGATCCCTGTAGGCATTTGAATTCTAGAACTTGGTCTGCTACATGCTTTTGGGTTTCTGCTTAGTTTTGTGATGTTTGAAAAACACCACTAACCCTATGCCATCTGGAAGCTACGAAAAAAGCACTGGAAGTTATCTGAAAAAATGAATATGAAAGTAAGGATACCAAACCTGGAAAGTAGTGTGTGTGTGCATGTGTGTGCGCGTGCACATAAATGAGATTGGTGGTTCTATAGTAGAAATTGTTTTGAAGCAAATCATGGTAGGAAAGCACTGTGCATATACAGTCAATATTCAGCAAAAGATAAACAAAAGCAACTACCAGTCCATTCCAAGATGGACGAATAAGAACAGTTCCGGTCTGCAGCTCCCAGCACGATCGATGCAGAAGACGGGTGATTTCTGCATTTCCAACTGAGGTACCTGGTTTATCTCACTGGGACCGGTTGGACAGTGGATATAGCCCACAGAGGGTAAGCCAAAGCAGGGCGGGGCATCACCTCACCCGGGAAGCACAAGGGGTTCGGGGATTTCCCTTTCCTAGCCAAGGGAAGCCATGACACACTGTACCTGGAAAAACGGGGTACTTCCACCCAAATATTGCACTTTTCCCATGGTCTTAGCAACTGGCAGACCAGGAGATTCTCTCCCGTGCCTGGCCCGGCAGGTCCCATGCCCACAGAGTCTTGCTCACTGCTAGTGTAGCAGTCTGAGATCGACCTCTGAGGCTGCAGCCTGGCATGGGGAGAGGCGTTGGACATTGCTGAGGTTTGAGTACGTAAACAAAGTGGCTGGGAAGCTCAAACTGGGTGGAGCCCACTGCAGCTCGGCAAGGCCTACAGCCTCTATAGACTCCACCTCTCTAGGCAGGGCATAGCTGAACAAAAGGCAGCAGAAACTTCTGCAGACTTAAACATCCTTGTCTGACACCTCTGAAGAGAGCAGTGGTTCTTCCAGCATCATCTTTGAGCTCTGAGAATGGACGGACTGCCTCCTCAAGTGGGTCCCTGGCCCCCATGTAGCCTAACTGGGAGACATCTCCCAGTAGGGGTTGACAGACACCTCATATAGCCGAGTTCCCCTCTGGGATGATGCTTCCAAAGGAAGGGTCAGGCAGCAATAGTTGCTGTTCTGCAATATTTGCTGTTCTGCAGCCTCTGCTGGTGATACCCAGGCAAACAGGGTCTGGAGTGGAACTCCAGCAAACTCCAACAGACCTGCAGCTGAAGAACCTGACTGTTAGAAGGAAAACTAACGAATAGGAATAGCATCAACATCAACAAAAAGGGCATCTACACCAAAACCCCATCTGTAGGTCACCAACTTCAAAGACCAAAGGTAGGTAAAACCACAATGATGGGGAGAAACCAGAGCAGAAAAGCTGACAATTCTAAAAACCAGAGTGCCACTTCTCCTCTAAAGGATCACAGCTCCTCACCAGCAATGGAACAAAGCTGGACAGAGAATGACTTTGACGAGTTGACAGAAGTAGGCTTCAGAAGGTCGGTAATAACAAACTTCTCTGAGCTAAAGGAGCATGTTCTAACCCATCGCAAGGAAGCTAAAAACCTTGAGAAAAGGTTAGACGAATGGCTAACTAGAATAAACAGTGTAGAGAAGAACTTAAATGACCTGATGGAGCTGAAAACCATGGCACGAGAACTTTGTGACACATGCACAAGCTTCAATAGCTGATTCGACCAAGTGGAAGAAAGAATATCAGTGATTGAAGATCAAATTAATGAAATAAAGTGAGAAGACAAGATTAGAGAAAAAAGAGTAAAAAGAAATGAACAAAGCCTCCAAGAAACATGGGACTATGTGAAAAGGCCAAGTATATGCTTCATTGGTGTACCTGAAAGTGACGAAGAGAATGGAACTAAATTGGAAAACACTCTTCAGGATATTATCCAGGAGAACTTCCCCAGCCTAGCAAGCAGGCCAACATTCAAATTCAGGAAATACAGAGAACACCACAAAGATGCTCCCCCAGAAGAGCAACCCCAAGACACATAATTGTCAGATTCACCAAGGTTGAAATGAAGGAAAACACGTTAAGGGCAGCCAGAGAGAAAGGTTGGGTTACCCACAAAGGGAAGCCCATCAGACTAACAGCACATGTCTCTGCAGAAACCCTACAAGCCAGAAGAGAGTGGGGGCCAATATTCAACATTCTTAAAGAAAAGAATTTTCAACCCAGAATTTCATATCCAGCCAAACTAAGCTTCATAAGTGAAGGAGAAATAAAATCCTTTACAGACAAGAAAATGCTGAGAGATTTTGTCACCACCAGACCTGCCTTACAAGAGCTCCTGAAGGAAGCACTAAAGGAACAAACAACCAGTACCAGCCACTTCAAAAACATGCCCAATTGTAAAGAACATTGAAGGTAGGAAGAAACTGCATCAACTAATGGGTAAAATAACCAACTAACATCATAATGACAGGATCAAATTCACACATAACAATATTAACCTTAAATGTAAATGTAAATGGGCTAAATGCCCAAATTAAAAGACACAGACTGGCAAATTGGATAAAGAGTCAAGGCCCACCAGTGTGCTGTATTCCTATTCAGGAGACCCATCTCACGTGCAGAGACACACGTAGGCTCAAAATAAAGGAATGGAGGAAGATCTACCAAGCAAATGGAAAGCAAAAACAAGCAGGGGTTGCAATCCTAATCTCTGATAAAACAGACTTTAAACCAACAAAGATCAAAAGAGACAAAGAAGGCCATTACATAATGGTAAAGGGATCAATTCAACAAGAAGAGCTAACTATCCTAAATATATATGCACCCCATACACGAGCACCCAGATTCATAAAGCAAGTGCTTAGAGACCTACAAAGAGACTGAGACTCCCACACAATAATAATGGGAGACTTTAACACCTCACTGTCAATATTAGATCAATGAGACAGAAGGTTAACAAGGATATCCAGGACTTGAACTCAGCTCTGCACCAAGCAGACCTAATAGACATCTACAGAACTCTCCACCCCAAATCAACAGAATATACATTCTTCTCAGCACCACATCACACTTATTCTAAAATTGACCACATAATTGAAAGTAAAACACTCCTCAGCAAATGTAAAATAACAGAAATCACAACAAACTGTCTCTCAGACCACAGTGCAATCAAATTAGAACTCAGGAATAAGAAACTCGCTCAAAACTACCCAACTACCTGGAAACAGAACAAGCTGCTCCTGAATGACTACTGGTTAAATAATGAAATGAAAGCAGAAATATAGATGTTCTTTGAAACCAATGAGAACAAAGACACAACATACCAGAATTGCTGGAACACATTTAAAGCAGTGTGTAGAGGGAAATTTAAATGTCCACAAGAGAAAGCAGGAAAGATCTAAAAACGACACCCTAACATCATAATTAAAAGAGCTAGAGAAGCAAGATCAAACAAATTCAAAAGCTAGCAGAAGGCAAGAAATAACTAAGATCAGAGAAGAACTGAAGGAGATAGAGACACAAAAAACCCTTCAAAAAATCAATGAATCCAGGAGCTGGTTTTTTGAAAAGATCAACAAAATTGAGAGTCTGCTAGCAAGATTAATAAAGAAGAAAAGATGCAATAAAAAATGATAAAGGGGATATCACCACCGATCCCACAGAAATACAAACTACCATCAGAGAATACTATAAACACCTCTATGCAAACAAACTAGAAAATCTAGAAGAAATGGATAAATTCCTGGACACATACACCCTCCCAAGACTAAACCAGGAAAAAGTTGAATCTCTGAATAGACCAATAACAGGCTCTGAAATTGAAGCAATAATTAATAACCTACCAACCAAAAAAAGTTCAGGACCAGACGGATTCACAGCCAAATTCTACCAGAGGTACAAAGAGGAGCTGGTACCATTCCTTCTGAAACTATTCCGATCAATAGAAAAAGAGGGAATCCTCCCTAACTCATTTTATGAGGCCAGCATCATCCTGATACGAAACCCTTGCAGAGACACAACAAAAAAAGAGAATTTTAGACCAATATCCCTGATGAACATCAAAGCGAAAATCCTCAATAAAATATTGGCAAACTGAATCCAGCAGCATATCGAAAAGCTTATCCACCACGATCAAGTCGGCTTCATCCCTGGGATGCAAGGCTGGTTCAACACATGCAAATCAATAAACGTAATCCATCACATAAACAGAACCAAGGACAAAAACCACATGGTTATCTCAGTAGATGCAGAAAAGACCTTCAACAAAATTCAACAGCCCTTCACGCTAAAAACTCTCAATAAACTAGGTATTGATGGAAGTTATCTCAAAATAATAAGAGCTATTTATGACCAACCCACAGCCAATATCATACTGAATGGGCAAAAACTGGAAGCATTCCCTTTGAAAACTGGCAGAAGACAAGGATGCCCTCTCTCACCACTCCTATTCAACATAGTATTGGAAGTTCTGGCCCGGGCAATCAGGCAAGAGGAAGAAATAAAGGGTATTCAATTAGGAAAAGAGGAAGTCAAATTGTCCCTGTTTGCAGATGAAATGATTGTCTATTTAGAAAACCCCATTGTCTCAGTCCAAAATCTCCTTAAGCCGATAAGAAACTTCAGCAAAGTCTTAGGATACAAAATCAATGTGCAAAAATCACAAGCATTCCTATACACCATTAACAGACACACAGAGAGCCAAATCATGAGTGAACTCCCATTCACAATTGCTACAAAGAGAATGAAATACCTAGGAATCCAAGTTACAAGGTATGTGAAGGACCTCTTCAAGGAGAACTACAAACCACTGCTCAACGAAATAAGAGGACACAAACAAATGGAAGAACATTCCATGCTCATGGATAAGAAGAATCAATATCGTGAAAATGGCCATACTGTCCAAGGTAATTTATAGATTCAATGCCATCCCCATCAAGCTACCTATGACTTTCTTCACAGAATTGGAAAAAACTACTTTAAAGTTCATACGGAACCAAAAAAGAGCCTGCATTGCCAAGTCAGTCCTAAGCAAAAAGGACAAAGCTGGAGGCATCACGCTACCCGACTTCAAACTATATTACAAGGCTGCAGTAACCATAACAGCATGATACTGGTACCAAAACAGAGATATAGACCAATGGAACAGAACAGAGGCCTCAGAAATAACACCACACATCTACAACCATCTGATCTTTGACAAACCTGACAAAAACAAGAAATAAGGAAAGAATTCCCTATTTAATAAATGGTGCTGGGAAAACTGGCTAGCCATATGTAGAAAGCTGAAACTGGATCCCTTCCTTACACCTTATACAAAAATTAGTTCAAGATGGATTAAAGACTTAAATGTTAGACCTAAAACCATAAAAACCCTAGAAGAAAACCTAGGCAATACCATTCAGGACATAGGCATGGGCAAAGACTTCATGACTAAAACACCAAAAGCAATGGCAACAAAAGCCAAAATTGACAAATGGGATCTAATTAAACTAAAGAGTTCTGCACAGCAAAAGAAACTACCATCAGAGTAAACAGGCAACCTACAGAATGGGAGAAAATTTTTGCAATCTCCCCATCTGACAAAGGGCTAGTATCCAGAATCTACAAAGAACTTAAACAAATTTACAACAACAACAACAACAACAAGAAAAACAACCCCATCAAAAAGTGGGTGAAGGATATGAACAGACACTTCTCAAAAGAAGACATTTATGCAGCCAACAGACACATGAAAAAATGCTCATCATCACTGGTCATCAGAGAAATGCAAATCAAAACCACAGTGAGATGCCATCTCACGCCAGTTAGAATGGTGATCATTAAAAAGTCAGGAAACAACAGATGCCGGAGAGGATGTGGAGAAATAGGAAGGTTTTTACACTGTTGGTGGGAGGGTAAATTAGTTCAACCATTGTGGAAGACAGTGTGGCGATTCCTCAAGGATCTAGAACTAGAAATACCATTTCACTCAGCCATCCCATTACTGGGTATATACCCAAAGGATTATAAATCATGCTACTATAAAGACACATGCTCATGTATGTTTATTGCAGCACTATTCACAATAGCAAAGACTTGGAACCAACCTAAATGTCCATCAATGATAGACTGGATTAAGAAAATGTGGCACATATACACCATGGAATACTATGCAGCCATAAAAAAGGATGACTTCATGTCCTTTGCAGGGACATGGATGAAGCTGGAAACCATCATTCTCAGCAAACTATCACAAGGACAGAAAACAAAACAGCGCATGTTCTCACTCATAGGTGGGAATTGAACAATGAGAACACTTGGACACAGGGTGGGGGACATCAAATGCCAGGGCCTGTCAGGGGGTGGGTGGCTGGGGGAGGGATAGCATTAGGAGAAATACCTAATGTAAATGACAAGTTGATGTGTGCAGCAAACCAACGTGGCACATGTATACCTATGTATCAAACCTGCACATTGTGCACATATACCCTAAAACTTAAAGTATAATAATAATAAAAAAAAGCAACTACCAAAAAGGAATAATGATCTTCAGGGGTCACGGATAACATAAATGTTGGGATCTGGGTAGGACCTAGTGAACTGGGTGGGTGGGAGGGAGTAAGTGCCTGTTAAAGGGCAGAAGCCCCTGGGCTCCTGATGAATATTATGGTGGAAATGGGCTGAGACCTTCTAATTTTTCCAAAGAATCCAGGAATCCATACTTTTTGTGTGAAATCTCACCTTTTTTATTTTTTCGAGACAGTGTCTCACTGTGTCACCCAGGCTGGAGTGCAGTGGTGTGATCACAGCTCATTGCGGCCTCCCTCAACGTCATGGGCTCAAGCAATTCCCTCAGCCTCCCAAGTAGATGGAACCACAGGTGTGCACCACCACACCAGCTAATTTTTGCATTTTTTACAGAGACCAGGTCTCCCTGTGTGGCCCAGCCTGGTCTTGAACTTCTGGCCTCAAGTGATACTTCCACCTCAGCCTCCCAAAGTGGGAGTTCATACTTAGCATAGTGGTTCATAGAAGTATGAACTACCATACACAGCCTGATTTTTAAATGTTCAATTTTTTTAGAATCACCATCCAAGCAAAACAAAAGAAGTTTGCCAGTCAGATTCAGCTCACAGATGCCAGTTCGCCAGGTCTGAGCCCCAAAATTAGCAGCAGCATGAAAGTCATTGAACTTGCCTGATGCTGATTTAAGAGAAGATTGGTTGTTGAGAATACCAAGGTTCAGAGTGGAGGAAATCATGCTACAAACCAGGCACACTGTCGCGAGAAGATCTATCTCAGGTGTCAACGGCAACAGAACAGCAAAGTGCTGATCTCTTGGGACACTGTGATTCCCAAGCTTTGGTGCACGCTGGAATCACTAAGGGAGCTTCTAAGAATTCCCGTCCCTAGCCCAACAAAATTAGAATGTCTGGGTGTAGGACCCCAGGTGATCTCAATGTGCAGCAAAGTTTGAGAACCACTATGCTAAGGGACTCTCTCTTGAGTCTGAGAACCTGTCTCCACAGTGTTGATAAAGCTGGTTTTGGGGGAGCGGCGGGTATGCCTCACAGAAGGCAAGGCAGTATACTCAGTTGTAAAGATTTGAAGGTTTTCCCACATCTGGTGAAAAGGAATCTGGGAGCGACAAGCTTAAATCCATCCTTAGTGACTGAATTTACGAGCAGTGGACTTTGCCAACAGCCATGGTTAGGTAGAAAAGTTTGGTGCTCCTTTAAAAAAATAATCACACTTTATTGTTATCATTTAACTGTGAGTCTTCCAAGTGCCCCATGAGAGTTCTGTGAGGGCAGGGGTGATGTCTGGTGTTAGTCTGCATCTGGTTCCTAAGGGCTACTTACAAATGTGTATTGGTGAGATGCCATGGAGACGTAGGGAAAGCAAGCTACTAGCTGGGAACAGGGAGGGCTTGCGGGTGGGACTCTGGAGAAAATGCCAGGTGTCTATATCAAAGAACAGGGGTGGGAGGTCTTCGGGGTGGGGGTCACCTTGTGGCAGCTACTGAATGAATGAAACTGGTGAAGTCCCCAGCACATAAAAGCATCCAGGAGTTACTTCCTAAGATGCTTTCCCTACTACCGCCTCCAATTTTAAGTGCAAGAATGAAAAATCCAAAAAATACGTGTCTGTGAATAAACACTGTAATGTATTGCTTAAGTGGATTCTGAAGCCAGACTGTGTAGGTGCAAGAACTTACTGCTGTGGACTTTGAGCAAGACATCAAACTCTGCCTCAGCTTCCTCATCTGGATATGTAGATGATAATGCCTACAGGGGGTTCTAAGGAGTTCATGAGTTATTCATAAAGGGATTAGAAGGCCACAGAGTGTGAGCTATTCTTTTCTTGGAGACTATCAGTAAAAAGGATATAGTTTGCTAATTATCAGATAAATGAAAATCAAAACCACAATGAGATATCATCTCACACCTGTTATAATAGAATCTCTATTATCAAAAAGTCAGAGGCTGGGCACGGTGGCTCATGTCTGTAATCCCAGCACTTTGGGAGGCCGAGGCAGACAGATCACCTGAAGTCAGGAGTTTGAGACCAGCGTGGCCAACACGGTGAAACCCCGTCTCTACTAAAAATACAAATGTTAGCCTGGTGTGGTGGCTAGTGCCTGTAATCCCAGCTACTGGGGAAGCGTGGGGGAGAGAATTGCTTGAACCTGGGAGGCAGAGGTTGCAGTGAGCCGAGATCGCGCCACTGTACTCCAGCCTAGGCAACAAGAGTGAGACTCCGTCTCAAAAAAAAAAAAAAAAAGTCAGAAGATAACAAGAGTTACCAAGAATATGGAGAAAAGGGAGCCCTTGTAATCCGTTGATGGGAATGTAAACTTGCACAGCCATATGAAAAACAGTATGGAGATTCCTCAAAAAATTAAAAATAGAACTACCACATCATCCAGCAATCCTATCTGGGTATATATCCAAAGGAAATGAGATCAGTAGCCCAAAGAGGTATCTGCATATCTGTGTTTATTGCAGCATTATTCACAATAGCTAAGATATGGAAATAACCTGTCTGTTGATAGATGATTTGATTTTAAAAATGTGGTATGTGTGCATACACATATACACATGATGGAATATTATTCAGCATAAAAAGGAAGGAAATCCTGCCATTTGCAACAACATGGAGGAACCTGAAGGACATTATGCTAAGTGAAATAAGATGCATAAAGACAAATACCACATGATCTCACTTATACATAAAATGCAAAAAAGTCAAACTCATAGAAACAGAAGGGATTGGGGCTAGGGAAAATGGGGAGATGTTGGTCAAAGGTACAGACTTTCAGTTATGAGATGAATACGTTCTGGAGACCCAATGTGCAGCATGGTGACTGTAGTTAATGATACCGTATAGTATACTTGATATTTGCTTAGAGTGAACCTTAAGTGTTCTCACTACATATGGGAAAAAAAGGGAAACTGTGAGGTGATGGATATGTAAATTAGCTTGATTGTGGTGATATTTTACAATATATACACATATCAAACATCATGTACACCTTAAATATATACAATTGTCATTCATCAATTATACCTCAATAAAACTAGAACAAATAACTAAATAAATAAATATAAATAGTATGGTTTTAAAAAAGAAAGTAAAAAGGACATAGTGTTTCTTTTGATGTATGTGTCAGATGTTTGGATAACATGGACCATTAGCTCAGTTGACCAGAACAGAGGGTAAATAAGGCCTGGGGGGGTCAAAGCCCAAGGAGGAGAGGAAAGGCAAATAGTTCTCTAGTTTTCAGACTATTTCTCTCTTTAAGTACATGGTAGTAGTCACTGCAAGAATTGGTTAATTCAGTGAGAATGACTAGGCACACACTGATCTCCTCATCCCCATGCTGGTGGGGGGCAGTTGGCGGGGGACCCTCAAAGTTCATGTCATACAATGATGTGTTACTAATTGTCCTTTTTTTTTTTTTTCCAAGACAGGGTCTTACTTCATCACCCAGTCTGGAGTGCAGTAACACAATCATGGCTCACTGCAGCTCCGACCTCCCAGGCTCAGGCGATCCTCCGGCTTCAGCTTCCCAAGTAGCTGGGACCACAGCTGGGAGTACAACTGTGCCTCCACATCCAGCTAATTTTTCATATTTTATGTAGAGACAGGATTTCGTCATGTTGCCCAGGCTAGTCTCAAATTTCTCAAGAGATCTGCCCGCCTCCCAAAGTGCTGGGGTTACAGGCATGAGCCACCGCGCCTGGCCAAATGGTACTTTCCTACTAGATTCTGAATGTATCACATTGCATCTGAGTTTATTGAATTCCATCCAACCATCTTTTTATAATTTTTATTTTATTTCAATGGTTTTTGGGATACAGGTGGTTTTTAGTTACATGGATAAGTTCTTTAGTGGTGAGTTCTGATATTTCAGTGCACCCATCACCTGAGCACCGTACACTGTACTCAATATGTAGTCTTTTATTTCTCACCCCCTTCCACCCTTTCCCCCAAGTCCCCAACATGCATCGTATTGTTCTTATGCCTTTGCATGCTCATAGATTAGCCCTCACTTATAAGGGAGAACAAACGATATTTGGTTTTCCATTCCTGAGTTACTTTACTTAGAATAATGGCCTCCAGCTCCATCCAAGTTGCTGCAAAGGCCATTATTTTGTTCCGTTTTATGGCTGAGTAGTATTCCTTGATATATGCCACACTTTCTTTGTCCATTCGTTGGCTAATGGGCTTTTGGTTTGGTTCCATATTTTTGCAATTGTGAATTGTGCTGCTATAAACATGAGTTTACATGTGTCATTTTCATATAATGACTTCTTTTCCTTTGGGTAGATACCCAGTAGTGGGATTGCTGGATCTAATGATAGTTCTACCTTTAGTTATTTAAGGAGTCTCCATACTGTTTTCCATAGTGATTGTATTAGTTTACATTCCCTAATATTTTCTCCCATTCTATGGGTTGTCTGTTTACTCTGCTAATTATTTCTTTTGCTGTGCAGAAGCTTTTTAGCTTAATTAGGTCTCATTTATTTATCTTTGTTTTTGTTGCATTTGCTTTTGGGTTCTTGGTCATGAACTCTTTGTCTAGGCCAGTGTCTAGAAGAGTTCTTCCAATATTATCTTCTAGAATTTTCATGGTTTCAGGTCTTAGATTTAAGTCTTTAATCCATCTTGAGTTGATTTTTGTATGAAGTGAGAGATAAGAATCCAGTTTCACTCTTCTACATGTGGTTTGCCAGTTTTCCCAGCATCATTTATTGAATAGGGTGTCCTTTCCCCAGTTGATATTTTTGTACGTTTTGTTGAAGATCAGTTGGCTGTATTCGGCTTTATTTCTGGATTTTCTATTCTGTTCCATTGGTCTACATGCCTATTTTTATACCAGTACCATGCTGTTTGGGTAACTATAGCAGTGTAGTATAATTTGAAGTTAGGTAATGTGATGCCTCCAGATTTGTTCTTTTTGCTTAGTACTGCTTTGACTATGTGGGCTCTTTTTTGGTTCCACATGAATTTTAGGATTGTTTTTTCTAGTTCTGTGAAGAATGATGATGGCATTTAGATGGGAATTGCATTGAATCTGTAGATTTCTTTGGATAGTATGGTCATTTTCACATTGATTCTACCCATCCATGAGCATGGGATGTGTTTCCATTTGTTTGTGTTCTCTCTGATTTCTCTCAGTAGTGTTTTGTAGTTTTCTTTGTAGAGATCTTTCACCTCCTTGGTTATGTATATTCCTAAGTATTTTTTTTTGTAGCTGTTGTAAAAGGGATTGAATTCTTGATTTGATTCTCAGCTTGGTTGTTGTTGATGTATAGTGATGCCCCTGATTTTTGTACATTGATTTTGTATCCTGAGACCTTTACTGCATTCATTTATCATATCTAGGAGCTTTTCAGATGAGTCTTTAGGGTTTTCTAGGTATATGATCATATCATTGTTGAACAGTGACAGTTTGAATTCCTCTTTTCCAATTTCGATGCCCTTTATTTCTTTCTCTTGCCTGATTGCCTTGGCTGGAACTACCAGTACTACATTGAATAGAAATGGTAAAAATGGGCAGCCTTGTCTTGTTCCAGTTCTCAGGGAAAATGCTTTCAACTTTTCCCAATTCAGTATGATGTTGGCTTTGGGTTTGACGTAGATGGCTTTTATTACTTTGAGGTATGTCCTTTCTGTGCCAACTTTGTTGAGGGCTTTTATCATAAAGGGATGCTGGATTTTATAAAATGTTCTTTCTGCATCTATTGAGATGATCATATGATTTTTTGTTTTTAATTCTGCTTATGTGATATATCACATTTATTGACCTGTATATGTTAAACCATCCCTGCATCCCTGGTGTGAAACCTACTTGATCATAATGTATTATCTTTTTGATAGGCTGTTGGATTGGGTTAGCTAGTATTTTGTTGAGGATTTTTGCATCTATGTTTATCAGTGATATTGGGCTGCAGTTTTCTTTTTTTGTTGCATCCACACATCTCCTAAGTGGAATGTAATCTATATATACACATACATTTGACTAAGCAAAATGTTTGTTTTTATTTGCATGTGTGATTTAAGAAGTATATTTCGGCCCCATATTACATTAAAAATATTCAAGTTCTGGCTGGGCACGGTGGCTCGCCTGTAAGTGAGGTGGGATTACGCCTGTAATCCCAACACTTTGGGAGGCTGAGGTGGGCAGATCAGTCCCAGCTACTAGGGAGGCTGAGGCAGGAGACTCGCTTAAACCCACGAGGCGGAGGTTACAGTGAGCCAAGATCACACCAATGCACTACAGCATGGGCAACAGAGCAAGACTCGGTCTTAAAAATAAATTAATTAATTAAATTAAATATTCAAGTTTTTTCTAAGTAGTTAATATTGCGTCTCATCTTTTTAAAAATAAAGTTGTTTTTTCCTTTCCCTTGAAATAACAAGTACACTTTGGTGGCAAGCATTTCTTTTCCTTTTTTTTGTTATTATTATTATTATTATTATTACTATTATTTTGAGACAGGGTCTCGCTCTGTCACCCTGGCTGGAGTGCAGTGGCATGATCACAGCCACTGCAGCCTTGACCTCCCCAGTTTGGCAATCCTCCCACCTCAGCCTCCCGAGCAGCTAGGATTACAGGCACATGCCACCATGCCTGGCTAATTTTTAATTTTTTGTAGAGACAGGTTCTCCCTATGTTGCCCAGGCTGATCTCAATCTCCCGGGCTCAAAACATCTTCCCTCCTCAGCCTCCCAAAGTGCTGGGATTACAGGTGTGAACCACCTCACCCAGCTGAGCATATTCATTTATCAGGTATCATTTGTTCAAGCTATATGTGCTTTTTTTCTTCTTAAATGTAGAAGAAACTAAAAAACCTAAACCCATAACAAAAGATAAATGGCAATGGCATGGAGGCAGGCTGTAAGCCTGTGAGATACAGGTTGAAAGTCTAAAATGTTATGATACAAGTTAGCTCAGCGAATTGGCTTCCTTCTCCTGTGAACATACTTTTCTAACATACATGGCCTTTCCGATATCAGTCCCCCACCAGCAACAGCACCAGCACCAAAACACATACAGAGGTCACCATCTCGCAAGTTTATTCGTTTGAGTTGCACAATGTAGCTCATAATTACAAAAATAAACATAATGGCCCCCTTAAAACTTGGGCTTTCTTTTTAGGGGTAGGGGATGAGTTTCAAGGTAATTTTGGGAAGATGACTTCAGAAAAGATTTTCTAATCAACTAGAGAAAAAAAATGGGAATTTACAATGTTTATGTCTATCTATCCCTCACATGTGTTTCTTAGGACGATTTAATACTTATCTTGGGAAGGAAGCAGTTTTATATTTTAAAATTCTCTAAACTAAGGCTTGACTCCTATTTTAAACACAGCCCATCTGTTCCTGCAAATAGTGTGATTACACAGTCTGCACAGATCTGTGGCTTTAACTAATATGCAGAAGGCATTTTTATATTAAATGGTACGTATTTAATATTAAATGTTGGTATTTTGTAGCCAACAGTTTCCAACTCCAAATCTTGATGGGTTGTGGCTTGCCATATACTAAGATTTATTCTACATCCCATATTTTTTTACTGTTTGTTTTCCCTTTTTACATAATTTGCCAGACGTTTGATCTCAAATTGATAATTTTAAATATTATAATATCTCAGAAATTGTTTCAGATTTTCACATCTCTCGTGTAACATCTTTAAAGTTAATATAAGTTTTATTGAATGCAGCAAAATACACATGGGTGTTTGGATCTTTTTGAGGTGAGAAGGTGTAACGGAAAGAGCATTGGACTGGATTCAGGAGACCTGAGCACCCTTCCCCGCTTTGCCATCAATTGTGTGGCCTTGGACACATCGATAATTGGCTCTCTTGTAAAGTAGGACCACTGATCTAGATCTCTGAAGGCTGGTTTGCTTCCAAAATTCTGTGATTCTTTAATTCCATATGCTTGGGAAAGAGGAGGTGGAGGGGGTGCTAACAGCATTTTACCTTCAAATATAAATAGCTTGAGACACTTTTGGGTGGTCAACCAACCAAAAAAGGTTGGTAGATTAGGCCAGATGGCACATGCACACCTGCATAATGTGTCGGCCAGGCTTTGCTGCTTCACTGCAGAAACCCCATCGGTTGTAATGTTTGCTGAAATCCTTAACCACCAATGTTTCCCAGAGGCAAACCTCATGTGTATTTCTTCTCTAAGAATCTTCTTCCATAAAAATGGTAGATCCAAGAACAAGCAGCCCCCTCTCACTGAAATAGCAGGAATATTTAAATGAAAGGTACTCACATTTCCATAGAATCAGAATCATCTGAAAAATTGGAAAAGGTAAGATACCAGGCTCCATCCCAAACCTACCCAGTCAGAATCTATGGCACTGGGTCTAGGCATCGTATTTTTCTTTTTTTTTTTTTTTGAGATGGAGTCTCAACTCTGTTGCCCAGGCTGGAGTGCAGTGGCACGATCTTGGCTCACTGCAACCTCCACCTCCCAGGTTCAAGTGATTCTCCTGCCTCAGCCTCCCAAGCAGCTGGGATTATAAGCATGTGCCACCACACCTGGCTAATTTTTGTATTTTTACTAGAGACGGGGTTTCACCATGTTGGTCAGGCTGGTCTTGAACTCCTGACCTCAGGTGATCCACCCGCCTCAGCCTCCCTAAGTGCTAGGATTACAGGCGTGAGGCACTGTGCCCGGCCGGCATTGTATTTTTCACAAGCTTCCCAACCTGCTTCCAACGCCCATCAAAGGTTGAGAAACACTGCTCATGGAACAACTTGGTGATACCAAAATGCAAAATTCTAGCATAGATCCAAATTGAAAATATCTTCAAATAAAACACTTGCTCATTGATTTTTTTTTTCTTTTACTGCACTCCGGTCATTAAAGAAAAACAAACAGGTTCTATACTTCCATAAATGAATGTCAAATTTATACACATTGCTTCTGGTTTTTAATCTTTTCACTTTAATCAATACCGAATATCTGCACTATACATATTCATATAGGATTTGACTGTGATTAAATGAGATGTCGAATTTGCCCAGTGTTCACTTACGGCATCCTCTAAGCAAACGGAAGAGTCTGATGACAGCAATCTAATTTGCTAGAGCAAGCTGTGGTGGAGACGACAGGGGTGAATTAGAAACTCAGCCCATCCCAGCTTATGCGGACTGTTGCCAAGCAAGGATGAGTGGCCTATGCAGCCAGCACTTCCAATTTTTCACAAGAAAATAGAAATTGAGTTTGTCATATACAATCTTGCAATTTTTAAATGGTTGGCAACTGATTCAAATATTTTTTAAAATATCATTTAAAAATGTACCATTGAGGCTGGGCATGGTGGCTCATGCCTGTAATTCCAACACTTTGGGAAGCCGAGGCGGGTGGATCACTTGAGGCCAGGAGTTCGAGACCAGTCTGGCCAACCTGGTGAAACTCTGTCTCTATTAAAATACAAAAATTAGCTAGGTGTGGTGGCACATGTCTGTAATCCCAGCTACTCGGGAGACTGAGGCAGGAGAATCACTTGAACCCGGGAAACGGAGGTTGCAGTGAGCTGAGATTGTGACATTGCACTCCAGCCTGGGTGACAGAGCAAGACTCCATCTCAAAAAAATAAATAAAATAAAATAAATCTATCACTGAGGCCTAACAACAAAGCAAAATTTATCAGCCCAGATTTCCCCCAGAAGGCCCCAAATTTGTAATTTCTGCTCTAGAAACTGAGTTCAGGATCTGATCAGTTAAGACGATCAAAACCCACTCACAGAAATTACTTCATTTAGTTGCCATGCAATATTATGCTCTCTGCCTCTGGAAAGAATAGAATTCTCTGCCATTTTTAAACTACAGGGTGGATATGAGGAGCCACCTGCTAAGTTCCTTTGTTCATTCTGTAGATATTTAGAGTGCTCCTGCCCTATACCAGACACTGGGAACACAGTGGTGAACCGAATCTTAGGTAAGTTTAATATGTAGCACAGCATATTAAAAAAAAAAATGAAGCATCTGTCTCTAGTTTAAAACTGTTCAAAAATATGAAGCTCATTACTCAGTCAGTGGTGAGGATTAAAAATACAGATGGGCAAAACCTGAAACAGAATGACACTTCAGTGATGATTTTTTTTCAGATGAGGCTGATGCCCAGAAAAACAAAGGCTAATCAAAGATCACAGAGGACTTAGAATTATAATCCAGAGCTCCTGCCCTTAGTGCAAGCCCCTTTTATCCCTCTGTGCTGTCCATTTCCCTAAATCCAAGAGGACTGATAAAGGATTGTCACAGTACTAATTTTGATGGCAAAGTGCATAAGGTGACAGACCTTATTACAAAGTTTTTAAGGGAATATTGATGCGTGAAAATAGGTATGCACTGTCTGAAAACACTGGAAACCATTAAGTAGACAAGAAAAGTGACCTAAAAAGGACTCATAAGGGAACTGATGATTCTCTCAATTTGATCAAGCATAATAGAAGAGGAACTGAATCTAATTTTCTCATCTTCTCTTCAGTAGAACAAACCAGGTGGTTAAACTTTGTCTTCTTCCTAAGTCAAAAACTCTGCAGTGAGTTGGAAGCTATTACAAAATGGCTAGATTTTGAATACGGATGGCATTATACAATGCTACTGTCCAGTATGTAAGGACAAATAACAAATTAAGTCAGAGGTATATTTGGAACCATTCACAGGTGTGCTCCCAAATTTCAAATAATCTGTAAAATGAAGTTGCTCCACCAGAGTGCTGGTCACTGATATGCTCTCTTTCTAGGACGTGGAAGACAACTTCTGTGCTGTTGTGGCTGGTGGGGCCATATCAGTAGTTCCGGCCAAGGGAGTGAGTGGAAGTGACATGTCCATACCAGGGAGGAACGTGTAATTGCTGGTGTACAGCCTTGCAGTCTTCCCTTTGGCATGACCATCCAGAAAGTTCAATAGTGTCTGCACCAAACAGGATAGTGTCTGCACCAAACAGGATATCCTTGTAATGTACGTGCATGACATAAATCTTTGTGGTTTTAAAGCCACTATAATTTTGAGGTTTTCTGTTACAACCACATAATATATTCCTCCTGACACACAGTGACATTTGTCCAAAAGGCTACTAACACACTCATCTGATTTGGCATGTACAGCTGGGATCTATTTGCTATTAAGAAGTAAAAAGTGTATTATAATGTGGAAAGTAATTCCAAAGAACTCTACTTTTATTAAAATCCCAGATCATTACTGCTAGGTCTTTGGATAAGCAGCCTTCCTACCACTAGAGGGAGCTATCTGCTTTGTCTTCTGCCTAACACGGAGCACCAAAAAGATGATAAACTTCCAGCTACACCTGGGGAGAAATGAATTCTAGCCTAGATACTTTCCCCCCGCCAACAAGTCATACTGCCTTAGTGCTAGGCTAGCTGGATAGAAGCTCTGAAATGCTCAGGCACCCCAAAAGGCTGATTCAATCTGAATCAGAAGTAAGGTTCAGAAATGTGTACTTTTTTAAAATAAAAAGCTTCCCAAACACTTCTGAAGCACAGGTAAGTTTGCTAACACTGGGTGTAGAAGATTTCAAAAGAAATGGTCCTTTTCAATCAAAGAGTTTTGCCATCTACAGGGCATTTCTGACAAGGATCAACATGTAAGTCCAACTAAATTAAAAACAGAACCTCCTAAGAACAGAACTTCAAAAAAAGCACTTTATAATGACAACAAACCACAAGAACAAAACATAATTATCTTCAAATTTAAATTTATTAAGACATTCAGCTATGTCTGTCAGTCTACATCCAAATTTGCTACTAAAAATAAAATAAAGTCACATCCCACATTAGGAATACCGAGGTCTGAAAAACACTTTTTGAGCCAAGCCTATTGTATAAATAAATGACTAGTTTCTTTTCATATCAAAATTCCCATAAAAAATTACATTCCCCCCTCCCCAGTTCTACCTGTAGCCATGATGAATGTAAAAATTTAAATATGACACATCCTTGTCAAAGAAAAGGTGCAAAGTCTATTAACAGCTTTAAAAGTGGCATTTGCAGAGTGTGATCATACAGTTATGTACTCATTCCCAAAGTGCAAATATTGCCATAATTTAACACTGTTTTGATTCAGTTGCAAGAATTAAACATTACACAGGATTGAAAAGTACACCCAGGGCCTCTATCAGTGCCCTAAAGCCCTTCCCACTTTGGTCTCCTTCACTAAAGCAGACTCCAAAGTGTTCATCAGAGTTTTAGTTTACTTCACACAGCCAGCGAAGTATACAACATATTTAACAAAAGTTTCATATACATCAAAATACTGAAGACTCCGTCATAAAGTTCAAGAGTCTCAGATTACATGAATGCACCCGCAAGGCCCAAGTGCCCACCCACCCCTTCCCTAAAGCACATACAAAGTATGAGCGTGCTTCAATCTTTGAATACAATCAATGCTTCTTCATCTTTGATTTCATTTCAGTGCTGTACAAGACTCAATAATCACCTGACTGAGCTCCAATTAACTGAGGAGAAACGGGGTGGAGGAGAGGGCTGGTTGCTATTCAGACTTGATAATGAGATTGATCTGTCCCATGGAGAGTGAAAGTTCAGTTCCACTTCTGCCTCCTTCTTTCCATGCTGTCCTCATGCTCTTTATCCTCACTTCCTCAGTCCCTTCAACACTCAAAATCTGATTTTATTTCTCTCTCACACGTATCAGGGGCAGTTTCTGAAGTTGCTGAGGTTGAATTTTCTTCACAAACCTCTATAAAACATCAGCAGAGAACATATAAATACATTTTGATTAGCATACATTGCAAAATTTCTCCCACAATGTCAGGGGATGAAAGCAGGTGGTCCCCACTGAGAGTACTTCCTGGATTAGATCCTTGGAATGTCAGTTTCCTGCCTGATCATCTCATTTTCATTCCTCAAATCAGAACATGAATTCCATCTTGAGTTAACTTCTCCTCCAGAGTATCAAAGCATCATTCCTGCTGCTTCTCCTCTAGGCTGATTCAACAGGATGTGCTTCATCTTTCGCACTGTGAGGATATTCTTTGGGGTCAAAAGCCCCTTCCTGGTTATCTGGTCGTCTGGCAATGTACTCATTATTGTCCCTGGAACCTTCCTGTATCCTGGTCCCTGGAGTATGCTCCTGGCCTGGGGGTTCAGTACCTTCCTGAAACATGACGTTTTGCTCAGCTCCAGCATGAGGCTGTAGAACTGGCTCAGTTCCTAATCCTGGAAGCTGGGAGGAGTTTTTCAGATGGCAGTGGCACAGAGGGCAGGTCTCCTGGACATACAGCCATTTCTTAAGACAGCCTGCATGGAAAAAATGACTGCAAGGCGTGATCACAGCAGATTTCATGTCCTAAAAGAGGGGGAAAAAAGATACCTTATAAATGTCTGTTTTCTAGTATCTTTGGTGCTATCCCCAAAGTTCTGGTTCTAACATCTCTTTCCCACAATAGAAAATTTGTAACATAGATCTTAGAATAAAACTTACTTTATATATCAGTAATAATCCTGCTGCCATCACAGATCCCCCTTATACAAATAATGCAAGAACTACTGGCTAAGTACTTTCTAAAAGTGAAGGAAAAACCAAAAATGAGGAAGAAGCTACCTTTATAACTGGGTTTTGCCTGAGTATGAAATGCAAGTGTTACACAATTGTTGCAGTATGATTACTGGGTCTCCACTGGTATGACAAGAGTATAATTACAACCTCAGAAAATCTGATGAAGACAGGACTTTTTCTACAGTTTTGCTTCAACACAGCTGAACAGTTTATAATGAAATTATTGGCAAAGAGACAAAATCGGCCATATAATACCAGGGTATTGGCAAGGAAGTGGCACTCTCTCATTACGGACAATGTATATACCCAGTTTTCAAGATTTGGTCTATATAAGCCAGTGTTTCTCAACTTGCATAAGAACCACTTGTTAACACATAGTCTTGGGCCACCCAAGACCTACTGAAGTGGGATATGTAACGATGGGATTCATAAAATCTATAGTTACAAGCCACCTGTGTGACTTTTATACACTCACATTTGATAACCACTGGAATAAGGAGTGGTGTACTTTGCATTAATATTCCTTGCATAAGATATATATGAAGAGAGAAGCCTGAAGACATGAAGTTAAAGTTATAAAGACATAACGTTTCGTGAATCAACCATTAATTTTGTTTCAAGTCCCAAAACAAGCAGGTGTGGATATCCCAGAAATTCCTTGCCAAGAACTGGTAACATCTGGGAGTCAACTTTTAAGCAGAAAGCCATCCAAGGAAAAGCAGCCAGCTGGGAAGCTAAGCAGTTTTACTCTCATTTTCGATGTGATATCAACAGGTAGTTCTAGCACCTCAAAAAAAGTGATGTGACAACAGGAAATACAAACAGGACTCTTGAATCCCCGAGATGGAATATTCAGACATCAGCGGCTGAAGCTGAGGTGCTCCGACTCTGTTTTTGATGTGCTTTGTCCTGAGTACAATGAGGCTACCTAGCACAAAAGAGCTAGGGTTCATTTTAATAATAAACACAACTAAGAGAATGGCTACTTTGAAGGGAGGCAGGAACCCTACATTACTCCTCAGACCCCTCAAATGCAAAACCGCCTGGAGAACATTGTTTAGCTAGGATCAAAAAGTATGTTCTAATCAAAATAAAAAATTGATAGCTGTATTTTACTATCAGAAAAAAATTAAATATGCACAAATTTAAATATACACAAATACATACATACCCCACCTAAACTACAAAAGCAATCCTGAAGTAAGAATATCCCCTGTATATTGTTGACACTATCTATAGTTTTATTCTACCAGCCTACACTCTTTGAGTGACTTTAAAAATGGGACATAGTTTCTGCTGTTGGCCATCATCTCTGTCCATTATTTCCAACAGTGCGGCCTCTTGCACAGGTGATTGATGATTAAACTCTAGGTCTTTTTGTTGTTGTTTTATTTCCAAAGTGATTTAAGTACTACCTTTAATTTGTAATAGAAGACAATCATCAGGCTCTTTATGGTGCATGTGCTAAAGACTATAGGTAGGCCAACTTCAATTTTACATCAGTTTGGTAGCCTTTACCATATTCACCCACTCCCACCAAATGCTTGTACCCTCGGATACTTAGCAACCCACAGGTGGGCACATATTCTCTCTACCTATGTTAGGTACATGAATATTTCTTCCCCACTCTGGAAATACTAGAGGGAAAAGAGTCAGAATTTTGGCACACCACTTTTCAGGAGTTGCTGACCCCTCATGGATAGTATATTCAATAGTCCGTGTGAGTGTGTATTCAGGAGTAAATATAAAATGCACCTGACCTGTTTTTCCTTTATTTATGGGTGAGCAATAATGTTGAAAACAACAATACATTAGAACCCAAGGGACTAAATTTAAAACTTAATTTAGAAATAAAATGGAAATATTTTATCAGGTCTTTAATATAATTTCTGAGGTCCATTTTTTTTAATCCAGAAGATAATTTTGCCTAGAAATTTAAGTTGAATTTGGTTAATATGGTTACAGTCCCAAGGGATACACTGTATGACTTACCCAAACACATTCTTATTGAAGGAGTTACCTGATAACAGATGGCACAAATATCATTGTGTTTCTCAAGCTGCTCTTTCGTAGCAATGGGTAACGATTTAATCTTATTCACAGCATCCCTGCGGAGAAGAAAGCTCTTCCACCCCAGCTGGGCCCGAAGCCACACGTTATAGTAGGAATGAATGAAGATGATCATTGAGCCCATCACTGTCCATTCTCCAAAGATGGTCTCTGAGACGCCATAGGCCACCACACAGAGGGCCACAAGAAACTCCAGCAGGCGGTAAGTGCCATTCACATAGTAGATGACATCATCCATGTTTTCCACTGGCTCTTTTCTGAATTCCTCAACCATAAATAAGACATAAATAAAAAGTGTTCCCAGAACCTGAAAAAAAAAAAAAAATGTACGTATCTTGAAATATGATCACTAAGATACTTTTTTCATAGGCTTTAAACAATAACACATTCCTGATGTTTTTAGGGTGCAATATTTCAAATATACAGAAGAGTATCCAGGGGAAAAAAAAGTTTTAATAAATAAAAAATCAACTCTAAAGAGAAGACACTGATGACTAAAATGTGGGTGATCTTAGTAATCCAGGCATAGAAAACAAAAAGCCACACCGTCAGACGTGACTTTCCTAAAATGATTCTGATGAGTAATCAATTTTTTGATTCATCTTTTTCCCTTATTCCTTAGGTCACCAAACCTCATCAACTCCATCTTAATTTTCCTCATACCATAGTCATTCCTGTTCTACAACTCGCAAAGAAGTTTTACTTCTGCAAAAAAATAATGAATAACTCTTCACTGTGTTATGTTTTCCTTTACCTAGGTAGCAAAGATCTTCCTTTAAGTTACAATAAGCTTATCATTTCTAGGGCAATATTTTGTGTGTGCATGTCTGTGAAACATGTATCATGTCTGTATGTGTGCAATACACACACATCATATACATATATATTTATATACATCGTGGAACTATTGGTATTTTTGAGTGGAATTTAAAAAACACACTCCAAATAAGCTCTAACACAAGCTCTAAAAACTTTTAATATTTTAGTTACTTGTCAATTTAAGATTTATATGACACCTCTGTATCATACCATTTTGAAAAAGAGAAACTGAAAGGCTTAATTACCTTCATAAAAAATACAGTGACATCAATAGGTTTATGTAATATTTTCTTTTTTTTTTTTTTTTTTTTGAGACGGAGTCTCGCTCTGTCGCCCAGGCCGGACTGCGGACTGCAGTGGCGCAATCTCGGCTCACTGCAAGCTCCGCTTCCCGGGTTTACGCCATTCTCCTGCCTCAGCCTCCCGAGTAGCTGGGACTACAGGCGCCCGCCACCGCGCCCGGCTAATTTTTTGTATTTTTAGTAGAGACGGGGTTTCACCTTGTTAGCCAGGATGGTCTCGATCTCCTGACCTCATGATCCACCCGCCTCGGCCTCCCAAAGTGCTGGGATTACAGGCGTGAGCCACCGCGCCCGGCCGGTTTATGTAATATTTTCATAACCTGCCATCTAACTCCTGTGCTCAAATAAATGTAATGTGTTCTAGTAAAGAGAGAGAGAAGTTATCACCTGAATAGTCCACTTATAATCATTCATCTTGAAAAAATTTAATTCCTCCTCTGGGAGGAAAAATAACAAAATTGGTTATTATATAGAGTTAATTAATCATAGGCTTACCTGAAGAGAGGTAAGAATGCTGCTGGAAATAATGATAAGAAGCCAAAAATCCATGTGGAAAAACTGGCAAATCATATAAGCCATATAAGCAGGGAATACCAATAAAAATAAACAAAGGCTTACAGCACGGAAGTGTTTCCACAAGCTCCTGGAGAAAGACAAAATTATTCTTTTTAAGTGCCTGCCACCTAGTAGCACAACCACTCACATCAGCAGCTAACATCTCTGGTGCCATGATCAAATTTCACAAATTCCCACTGAACACCCTTCTCCATGCCAGTCACTGTACTAGAGTTCAGACCAAGTCACACAGGCTTGGCATGTCAAAGCCACCACACTCAGTCAATTGCAAAGTACAGCTGATTTTCTTTTGTTCCTCAATAGTTTGCTTTCAATTGCTACTCCTAGCAATTTCAAATTATTTCAGGCTTTTGTAGCCTTAAACCTTAACAATTTCAATAATTTTTCCTGGTTAAGACAGGGAGGGAGTATTAGAATAATTTGTGGTCTTTTTCAAATCTTATGACACCCTCTTCCCACTGTTTCCACTTGTGATGAGAATCTCTGCTACAGAGAGTGCAGTGTGACTAATAGGAATGACTCTCCAATGAGCAGGTATACTCATCCTCACATCTGTTGTGGTCAGGGTAAGTGGGAGACATGACTGAGAGCAACTGTATTGTAAGATCTACTACCTGGTTTTCCTCCCTCCTCCAGCCCTGATCTATCCAGGACACTGCCAGCCAGACTAATCCTCCTAAAGCTCTACTATCGTAATATTTTCAACACTGTCTCTAAATTTTTGAGCCTGGCATTTGAGGTCCTCCACTCCTAATTTTTCCATCCAAGCTTGTCAAATCTGTTCCTCATAAACCAAGCTGCTTATTAACTAACTGCCCTCTCAGCAAAACACAAGCACTCTTACGTCCCACTAGAAATTCCTCCATCATGCTCTCCATTTCTCTAAACCCTTTAGGCTAGTTCAAGCTAAACAACTTTGGCTTTCAATTGAAATAAAGCTCATGGCTACAAAAAAATTTAAGCTGTTTTAATTAAACATCAACATCTGTGATATGTTCTCAAATCCAAGTAAAGCATCTCAAAGAGACACAAATAACATAAATCATCTCTCCTACCTTTAATTATAATATAGTCAGGAAGTAAAAGTTACCACACACAAGGTCAAATGCTATACAGTGTGGTCCTATTATAATCAGTAATTCAGAGAAGAAAGTTAATTATTATGGTAAAAATTAAAGCTGCATACTTTGGAAAGTGTTTTACATTTTTTCTTGCCAAAAACTAATAATAATAATAATAATAATCAGAAATTAAGGAACAAATGTAAACTTGTCAGTAGCTTTGCTTTGAGATTCAGCAATTTTAACTTTTTAAAGAAAGGCAGTAGCTGTACTGTGTTAGATGATGAATTATAGATCTAATAGGGCAATCTGCCTTAAAACCTTAAATATATTTTTTAAAAATCAAGCCAGCTATGATTTATATGAAATATGTACGTATTTATAAACACACATGCATAGATTTAAGCACACACACAGAAATGTATATACAACAATGTTATGTCAAGAGTTTTACATTTATGCCTAATTTTAATACAGGTGGATATATACACACAAACATATACATAGACACACATATATGTCCTTATCTAAATAGTTAAAATTAAATAAAAGCAAATTTCAAATAAAATATAAAAATAAGGGAAAATTACATTGAAACCTCGTGCAATAGGTTAAGTACTATAAAAATGACAACCCATTTCCTAAAATGTTTGCCTTTTGAAAATTTGCTACATAATTTGAATAAGTAGACCATAGTTCTAATATTCCTTGTTAAAAACTGCAATAAAATTTACAGATAAAATAACCAATTATTTCTATGGCTAAAACTAACTCACACATCCTCCTAAGCTAAACGTGGAAATTACCTACAGTTCAAGCAACTCCAAAGACGTATTTATGAAGATTTTCCCTTTAACAATTATTTCATTAATAGAAAAGTTGTTTCATGAACTATTAGTATCATCTCTTAATTGTCCTCTAACTTGAGAATTAGGACGCTTTTCCTTTCCTTTTTTAATTCCCAGTACACTGAATTGAATTCATCACAATCCTTGATTGACGATGTACTGTCATCATTTGTCTGTGCATGTCCCTCCTTTTATTTAGTCAGTAATCTAATTAACTATTGTCAATAATGTAACAAGCATTTATGAACCCACTTCCCACATACAGGTGAAGGCCTGGAGAATAAACCACATCTAACGACAGGGGCAGGCCTGCCTATATATACCATGTTCTCGCCCCTCTGCCCCACGAAACCACTATCTTGAATCCTGTGTGCTTCATTCTCTTCCCTGCTTCCCTTTTTATAGTTTGGTTTTATCTATATGTATTTCTAAGTATTACAAATTTTAAAATTTTGTTTTTAACATAAAAATAATATCCTGGCCGGGCGCGGTGGCTCACGCCTGTAATCCCAGCACTTTGGGAGGCCGAGGCGGGCGGATCACGAGGTCAGGAGATCGAGACCATCCCGGCTAAAACGGTGAAACCCCGTCTCTACTAAAAATACAAAAAAATTAGCCGGGCGTAGTGGCGGGCGCCTGTAGTCCCAGCTACTTGGGAGGCTGAGGCAGGAGAATGGCGTGAACCCGGGAGGCGGAGCTTGCAGTGAGCCGAGATCCCGCCACTGCACTCCAGCCTGGGCGACAGAGCGAGACTCCGTCTCAAAAAAAAAAAAAAAAAAAAAAAAAAAAAAAAAAAAAAAAAAAAAAAAAAATAATAATATCCTACATTATCATCTTTTTGGATTTACTTTTTTACCTCGTGCTGCTATGATCATTCATACTGATTTGTGGGTCACTATTTTTAACATAGCACTGTGACTATTACCACATTTTATCATCTACTTTCTTGTTGCATTGGCATCTGGGTTGTTCCCAGGATTCTGGTGAGGTGAACTGTTCTACGAACATTCTTCTACATGTCTCCTACTGTACACATGCAAGAGTCTTTGAATATATACCTATGAGGAGATCATGCCAAACTCTCTTCCAAAGTGACTACACCACTTTACACTCTCATCAGTACCATGGGATATCCTGTGGAGCTGCAACTTCCCCCATCATAGGTATTGGCAGATTTTTTCCCTCCCCTTTCTATCTCCTTCCTTTTGATTGCATGTAAAACAGTATCTCACTGTAGCCTTCACATTTCCCTTATCATGAATGATGCTGAACTTCTCTTCATGTTTGCATTTTTCTCTTTTCCTAAATGCCTCATCAAGTTTTTTGTCCCTTTCTCTTACTGATGTGTAGGAGCGATTCTTGATCAGGAGTGCATACTAGAAATATTTTCTTCCAGTTTGTAATGACCATTTCTAACTTAAAAACTGCCATTAATTCTAATATTAATCATTAAATGTATTAATCTTTTCTTTCATAGTCATAGTCAATCTCAGTCTTCCACAGTCAGTTCTGTCAGTTTAAGAAATCTTTTCCTACTCAAAAATATACTAATCTCAGTGGAATTTTAACCTTCTGTTTTTGACATTTAAGTCCCTAACATACTGGAGTTATTTTGTTTATAATGCAAGATAGGAATCCAGTGTTTTTCTAGCTTCATTATAGAGTAGCACCTGTCTCCACTCATCTGGCATGCCACTTCTGTCATATACCAGAGTTCCACCCATATGTGGGTCAGTCTGTGGTCTCTATTCCACTGGTCTACCTTAAGCCAACATTACAAATGCCTCGCAATATCTCCTGCCATGAGTGAAATACTTTAAAAATTGTCTGGTTTATTTCAATATTGGGATTACGATGGCTTCACAGAGTGGACTTGGGGGGTATTCCTCTTATAGTTTGAAAGTATTTGTTTTAAATAATCTGCCAAGTGTGGTGGTGTGCACATGTGTCCCAGCTCCACAGAAGGCTGAGGCAGGAGGACTGCTTGAGCCCAGGAGTTCGAGTCCAGCCTGGGCAACATAGCGAGATTCCATCTCTAAAAATAAATAAATAAATAAATAAATAAAATAGGGATAACTGTTCTTTGGAATTTGGTAGAACTTGCCTGTAATATCATCTGGCTCAAGAAGTTTGCCAACTGCTTTAATTTCTTTAACTGTTATAGAACTATTCAACTTTTTAGTTCTTGAGTCAGTTGTGGTAAGTGGAATTTTTCTCTTAACTTTATTTCATTTGTTTTAAAACATACTGGCATGTAGCTGATGGTTAGTCTCTTATTACTGTAGGCAATGGTGGGAGGGAAGAACAGAATAGAATAGTTCATGTCTATTTTTCCTCCCACAGCCAAGAGGGCAGCCTCTCCCGCCTCAGGTTAATGCAGCCGCAGCCACAAGGAATAACACAGACACCAATTCAAAGTACCCCGGCCCACATACAACACTTCTCAGTTTGCTCCTTTTTCTCTAAATCTCCTCTGCATCTAATTTTGGAGAAAGCCAGTAGTGAGGATAGTTCAGTATCCTGGGAAGACCCACAACTGCCATCCACTGATTCTTATACTAGTGGAACAACATATTTTTTCTCTTTTCTAAATATTAGTTTTATCAATATATACTAAATTAATTAGTGTAATTAATAACAGATGACATTGACAGAGATGACAAAATACTAATTGTACTTAGGTCAAAGAAATCTACTTTTCAGATCTACTAAGTGGCTATTTAATTGCGCTCACCCTTGAGTTCAACATTTTAAATGCTTCAGTCAAGAAACCTTAAACCTCACAAACAAATGTGAAATAACTACCATCAACTATGATGATTAAGAAGATCTGAAACATGTCTAATAGTTTGAGCTTATTTAAATTGATTTTTCAGCCATCCTACCACTTGAGAAAATTATATAGAATGTTTGGCAATGTGTGTTATGGGGATACAAAGATGAATCTGATGTACTATAATTAAAATGTTAATTTGGAATGTTTTAGAAATCAGCTGATACAATTCTACCTCCCAAGAGATTAGCTGTTCCCTTACTATAAAAGGCTACCGAAGAAGCAATAAATTCAGATGTATTTCTATAATCAATAATCAGAATGCAGATAGAGAACTAGAAAAAAAACAGTGACATCGAATTTTAAGAAATTCCTTACAGAATTTCCTTGTATCAACTACAATAAAAAGACTGTATCTTTAAGGAACTAAATAATAGTTTGGCTTTTATCCCTCACAAAAATTTCTGGATACCTCAATTATCCTGATTTAATCATTATACAATGTATACAGCTCTCAAAATATCACACGAACCTCAAAAATATATACTACTACTATGTATCAATAAAATATAGAGAGTTTAAAATTTTACTGTAATGCAAGATGTACATGAATCCAACTATTAATTTCATTTGGTCCTATAAGTTGTCAAGAATCCTTATAATCCAGTCAGTTGAAATTGTCTAAAACTCCATCAAATGAGGCTGTTTTTCCATAAATGTCTATTTTATGATTACCTGATAGCCTCTATTTTCCTCTCCTTCATTTGCATTTCACTTAATGCTTTCTCTCCTTTAATTAATTTACACAGAATAAAATTAAATATTATTTGTTACATTTATTATGCTAGACTAAATTTTATGCTCTATGTTCTTAATTTTAAAATTGGACAAATATAAAAAGTATTAACTTCATCTGAAGCAGAAAAAGTTAACTTATAATTACATGGCCTTTGATGTCATTTTTAACTAAAAAATCTTGAGAGAAAAAAACAAAAGTCAAGTAAGTCAGACATCTCATATAGGAAAAATAAAAACATAAACTTGTTGAATTAACCTAAGCTAATACCAATTACCCATATCCATTTTCTGTCTCTAAATATTCCCTAAATATTTAGACAACAAATGCATGTAAAGAATATTACATGAGTTAATTTAAAGAATATTAAGAGGTTTCTTACTTGTCTCTAGATGCTCCCAGTGCCAAAACAATAGGATCTGCAATTTCTAACATAGACTGTAGGATAGAAGCTACGACAATGAAAAGGATAATACTGAGCAAGAATGCCCGATGAACAACCTGCAGTTCTATCAGCCCAGTCTGCACTGCCAGGATTAACAGCGTTACTCCTTCTGTCATGCCCCTAAAAAAAGCATACATTTTCAGAAAACATAAAATAATCTGAATCTCATTTAATTCAAAGAGAAAAATAATCCAAAGGCTTAGACTCTTGTTACATATTTTTAAATCTATTCTGACTTAATCCAGACTAAAAACCTGATCAGTATATTAACTTTGTAACATTAATGAAATAGTCATATATATCACTACATGTGCAAAGGCATAATAGCTATTACTTTACCACACAATGAGGGCAAAAATAATAACTTCTAAGACAAATAGAAGTTTTCCAACCAGATTCTGTAAATGAGCCAGATATTAACATCAAATACTGTATAGAAATCAGATTTTAACAGGGCTAAACTTCAAATGGGAAAAAGCACGCTTCTGAAAATCTCTTAAAGAAATCTAGGGAAGGAAGGTGCCCAATATTCATCATAATGTATTAATACATACAATACAAATACATCTTTAACATGGAAATGTATTTTTTCATAGTATTTTAACCCAAATGTTGCAACCATTCAAAAAAAACCTCTCCAATTCCATTTCTTCTAAAATTCATCAGCCAAAGAAATTCATCATTACTTCCTCAAGTTATCTATAGTATTTACATTTCTAGATATAATCAAGGAAAGAACTTACCGATTCATGGCAGGATCATTCATGAAAGCTCGATAACCCTGCAAGTAAAACTTGCAGAGTGTGAGAACACCCAAGGCAACAAAAGAAACCGTGAAGACCAAACCCAAAAGAGAGTAAGGAGTGCTGCAGCATTCCGCAATACTGGAAAAAAAGAGGGGGAAATTAACAGACATAAACTTTCCATTTGGAGTAAACACATTTGAGGCCTTTAAATAATCACCAAGCTTGATTTGATACTCATTAATTAAAACATCCTAAACCAAAATTTGAGGAGAAATCACCCAATTACTCCATTAATAATTTAACCATCTTATTCACCTTCAAACCCACATTTTTCTATCTCATTGGCAAATATGCAGTACATAGCACCAGATCTGAAACAAGGTCTTCAAATACAGTAAAATTCAAAGAGCCTAAATGTTCACATCTTAAGAAATATATAATTAGCATGCTGACAAGTATTCAAAAGAAGCTTGTACAGTTGCCCACTCTTCTTCCTGAAAAATGATGGCTGTTCAAATTGTTCACTGTGCTACATTATAATATGAATACTTGCTGCAACTCCTTATTTGACCAAACTGCTATGGAGCAGGGTGTATCACTCCTCCTACTCCATCAGTATCTTACATACTACTGCTATTTTTAAATTTAGGTTGAGACAAAGGCATTTTTTAAAAAAGGGTTACTTCAAAAGCATGCCCAATAATTTGCTCCAAGACTATTGAAAAGTAATTTTAATATTAATTTTTAACAAAAGTTTGCTATGATACTATTCATAAGGATAACTGGAAGACATTACACTAGAACTTGGAAATATTTTCATTGAACTTCTTAGATATTAACTTATATGTATTTTATAAATACATGTACTATTATGTACTGAGATAGATTTAGCATTTACACAATATCTATCTTATATATACGTATATTTATTTGAGACAGGGTCTTGCTCTGTTGCTAGGCTGAAGAGCACTGGTACAATCATAACTCACTGCAGCCTTGAACTTCAGGGCAAAAGCAATCCTCTCACTTCAGCCTCCCAAGTAGCTAAGACCGTAAGAGCGTGCCACTGCGCCTGGCTAATTTATTCTTTATACAGACAAGGTCTTGCTATGTTGCCCAAACTGGGCTAAAACTTTCTGCCTCAAGCGATCCTCCCACCTCGGCCTCCCAACGTATTGGGATTACAGGCTTGAGCTAATGCTCCCAGCCCTTATATAGTATCTACATCTTAAGCTTTAATTTTCAAAGAAGAATTTCACTGATATAGATGAGGAATTCATTCAGGCAATCAATGCTTGTCCCTTACTATGCAGCTCCATGCTTCTATATAGTTATCTTTCCTACACAATTGCTTATTAGTTGGTTTTTATGTGAAAGCATCTAATTTTACATGGTACCAATGTACACTATGATGAGAAAAAAAGTCTGGTTTTCTGTTAGGAGCCAAAATATCCACCAATCATGGTGGCTAATAACTAGAAAAAAATAATTAATTTTATGACATTCCTACAAATTTAATTTCTGAAATGTTTGGCATTTTCACACTGAAATCATTAGTAACAATTTTAAACAAATTGTGTACAATTTTACAACATGAGAATCATGGCTGAAAACCAACTAAAATTTTACTTCATTCTTATTGAAAAAGGCTGAAAATTTAACCAAAGGTCCATACTATTTCTCTATTTTTACGGACCTTTCTCCATATTTAGAAACATTTTTTACACCCACACAATATGATTTAATTACGTATTCAAACAGAGCACTTTCCTTTTCTCTTATTTTAGAAAAAAAAATGTGGTGCTATTTTTCAAAACAGAGCATACTAAATACCAAAGATTTCGACCTAGCTTTGGGGAAGTGAAAGAGTTTGGAAAATTTATAAAGTTTTTCTTTGCTCTCTCTTCATTCAGTAACTCATTTTTATTAAATCTTAATTTCTATTTTCTGGCTGCAAAAAAAACCTTTTTTTTGATTTGCAGTTTGATCTGGTGTGCTTTATTGTTGGTTGGTGTGTTTGTTTAGTCAGGGTATTCTGGTAAGCTCCCAATCTCTTTTTCTAAATAAGTTGTTTTTTTGGCAAAGAAACATAAACATTACCAGGCACACAAAAGCATGGATAAGAACAGAGAATAACTCTTACAGAGATATAAATTAACAAAAGAACCAATATGAGAACTTCTCAAAGCAAATTACAACATTCTTATCATGAAAAAAGGCAATCTATCCTGGCGAGGCATAGAAAAAGAAAAGAAAAAAATTATGTTAGCAAGATATCTAAACTTCACAGAATATCCGAATATTATTTTCTTACTTTGTAAATAAGTCCAAATGCATTCATGGCTTAGTAAATTGTTAAGCCTACTGCACTATGCTATACCTCATCTTACTGTGCTTTGCAGCGGGTAACAATCTGGTTTAAAGCACCACCAATTCAGTCTCACGCTGAGTTTATTATCCTAACCACAGAACTGTCTCTCTTTCTCTCTATATGCAGTTACTTTTTGGGTCATTTTAAAAGTCTTCAGGCCGGGCGTGGTGGTTCACACCTGTAATCCCAGGACTTTGAGAGGCTGAGGTGGGTGGATCACCTGAGGTCAGGAGTTCAAGATGAGCCTGGCCAACATGGTCTCTACTAATAATATAAAAATTAGCCAGGTGTGGTGGCGCATGCCTGTAATCCCAACTACTTGGGAGGCTGAGGCAGGAGAATTGCTGGAACCTGGGAGGCGGAGGTTGCAGTGAGCCGAGATTGTGCCACTGTACTCCAGCTGGGCGACGGAGCCAGATTCCGTCTCAAAAAAAAAAAAGTCTGCATAAAACCTCCATAATACTTATATCAAAAACAAATAGCAGTCAAATTTACTTAATACTAGATTAATCGTTAAAATGTATTTGAATTTGACATCAACTTACTGCATGTTTATAGAAGCTACTTATAATTGTTATTCATTTTTAGAAAGTTCAAAATCTGATTCAGTACCAGTATAAGTTTATCCCACTTATTTCTTAAAACAGGTTTTTGTCCTGTATATTTTTAATATTTACATTTGTGTTAATGCTTTCCTAGTAACATGCTCCTTAAGGATAGTAAACTTGTCTTAAATTTCTCATAGCCTACACCACTTAGTACACAGTCTTCCATCATATTGGATGGCTGAGAAACAATGACTATTAACTAGAACTTAAAACTGTTATCTACCTATATTTACTTTATAGGAGGACAGATTTTCATCCCTACTTTTTAAAGTGACAATGAGCAAGGGAACCAAGATGTATATTCATGTACTAGATTCTGAGAATGTGAGATTCAAACTCAAGAGTGGAAAAAATAACAAATGTGGATCTAGCAGAAGCTCACAATAAAATGGGAAAATGACTTAAATGACATGAGATTTAAAAAGACAAAACAAAACAAAAACCCCTAAATATTAAAAACCGAGTCTTAGAATTATTTTGGGTTAGTCCAAGCTTGACTAACCTGCAGCCCAGGACAGCTTTGAATGCAGCCCAACAAAAATTTGTAAACTTTCTTACAACACTATGAGATTTTTTTTTTGCAAGTTTTTTTTTAAAGCTCATCAGCTATCGTTAGTGCTAGTGTATTTTATGTATAGCCCAAGACAATTCTTCTTCCAATGTGGCCCAGGAAAGCCGAAAGATTGAACACCCCTGGGTTAGACAGTAAAGTACTATTATCTACCCATTTCACCAATTACCGGACTCTTTCTCGATACTGAAGTCAACAGGGACAAAGGCAAAGTATAGAGAGTAAGTCACAGGCTTCGAACTCAGGTGGGTCTGAGTGCCAGTTCTGCTTCTTTTGGCAGTGTTACCTGGGGCAAGTTATTCCTGGTACAGTTTCTTCAGCTATAAAATGGTAATTATAATAAAGGCACCTATCTCTTAGGGTCGTTGTAAAGATTAATGTGAGGCAAAGTGTTTAATGGTATGGTACATTTTAAATACTCAATAAATGTTATTTTTATAATATACTTTTTTCTGATTGACCCAATAATTTTAACTTGAAATTGAAAAAATACTTTTACGATTTGCTATGTACCTTTCCACAAATCATTTGCTACACTCTGGTCCATAGTGCAGCCAAATAAACCACATTATTATGTTAGCACCTCCCTGCATTGCCAAACCTAGGTATCCAGTGAATGAAAATCCTATCTTAACAAAATACGAAGTTGTGTAACATGAACGATAAAAGTAATCTGCAAAACTTACTATTCCTAGATCAAAGTTTTCTCTTTCTAAGGTTATATATAGTATCATAGGCTCTTATTAATTACCTTGTCAGAAAAAGGAAAAGAAGCCTCTCACGTGATGCAGGCTGATCTCGAGTACTGAAATAGGAGTAAATCTGAAGAGCAAATAAGACGAGCCAGAAAACCATGAAAAGAACAGGGACTACCAGTTGATTCCACAGGGACATTCCCAAGGCGAGAAGGCCATATACCTCCACTACCTAAATAAAAACGTAAGATAGGAAAACTTCTTGCATCACCATCAATAAACACTTTAAACACTTGAGTCAAATCAGAAGTAAAATATTAAATAGCTTTTCTTTGATTGCAAGACTGTTTCAGCTAAATTCCTTTAAAGTTAGCCTATATAGTTAATAAATAGCATGTTTTTTAAAACTTACTAATTTTGCATTATTATTAACACTTGACACACACTTATCTAATAGCACAGTAAACTGCCCTAATAGTTCAGGGATAAGGTCAAAATAAGGTCATATTCAGTACAAAATAACCTTAAAAGGTAGTTTGAGGAGACTTGGTAAACACTCATGTCTAATCAAAATAATCAGGACTAGCATGAATTGATACAACACTGCTTGAGGCACTAGGAAAAAAAATGCAAAAGTAAAAACTTTCAGGGTTTATTCAGAAATGTCACAAATGAGAAACAGTTCAATGGAAGAAGAGTACTTAATCACTGGAAAAAAATTTTGCAGAGCAAAGATAGTTAGCAAGTCTTTTTCTCCCATACACATCAATTCCCCTTCCTCCTACTGTGTTTTTATCAAGCTATGTTTTTCCATTTGGTTTGCCAAGTGTAAGTAACACTAGGAAAAGGATATATCTTAAAAAAAAAAAAGGCTTAATAATCTGCAACTCACTAAATTAGTTTTCCAGTTTATAAAACACTCTTCTTATGAAACTGATTAGGAAAAATCAATCACAGAATCTGATTCAATCTAAGAGCATAGGTGTAACCAAGTTTCTAGAGTTACTATGTCAGGGACCAGACCCTGGTGACACAGCAGGAATTCTGCTGGACAGCTTACAAAACCAGTATCTAGCAGTCAGCTGGTCTTGCTGGAATCTCTCAATGTGATACCAGAATGTTTCAATAAGGTATAAACATCTTTAAGTATTAAGTTAAAATAAATTGACTTGCAGATTATTCTAAATTTAAAATTCTTTCATCAGTAAAGCAAAGGCTTTTTCTACAACCCAGTCTATTAACTTCTATTTTCCCCAGTGACAAAAGATTAAAAGAAAAAGGAAACTGCCCAACTAGCTGCAAAATTATTATCAGGTAAACTCATCATTACGAGGCAGAGAATATTTTTCTTCCTTTCCATTCAAGAAACAGACCACTAAAAAAACCTGTCTGTTTCCATTTCTTGCTTATCTGATTCTTTCCTGGTCACGCATTTTATAACCTATATTTCCAACAACTACATCTAGTTGATGTATGAATCTTATGGCAACCAACTAAACATGACATTAAAAAATGAAGGCTGAGGTTATTCAATAAATATTTAATATTCAATAAGTATTTACTGAATATTCATTATTTATTACAAACAAAGATAACCCTCATAAGACTGAATTCAAAGAAAAAATATGTATCTTAAATTTGTCATTATTACCCTGAATACAACTATAACCCTTCCTGCCCTGCTTCCCCATGAAGCCACTCTTCACTGACTGTAGAAATAATCCCTTTTCTGGAAGATCTACTCCTGGGAAAACTGCCCAAGTTAATCACTGTGTAAGACGAAGATAGAATCAGGCTAAGGCCAAAAGCTTAGAGAAAGTATTCTCAAAGATCTGCCCCTGGGGCCACAAGAGAATACTTCACTTAGCTGTTATCAGTTTGTTCTATCTGAGAGCTTCCTGTACCTTAAGGACACAGTCAAGAGGTGGAAGACAGTGACATTTTAACACTCTCTTTTTATACCAATGTCAGGTTAAAATCTATTTTATATATTACAAACTATCAATTAAACCAAACAGAAACATTTATTTCCCAAATGTGTATTGTTTGTATCTGGGAGTAATTTATCTTAGAGCAAAGGCTGAAAAAAGTAGGGAAGAAACTTTTACAAAAAGCATGTTATGTTGGCAAAGTCAATTCAAGTACTATATCTAAATGAAATCTATCATATTATAACCCAGAACTATTTAACTTTTCTGTTTAAATTAGGCACACAAAGGGAAGAAACTATAGTCACAGTAGGACTATAATCAGAAGGAAAAAGCAGGATTTGACTTATAGGTATTCAATTCTTTATTATTTTTGTCTTCATTACAATAGCTAACACATATGGAACATTGTCTGCCTGGTACTAAACTCATTTAAATCTCACAGAACTCTATGAGGAAAGCACAGCTTTCATTATTAGCTCCGTTTTACAGAAAGTAACGCAATTATCACAAGGTTACACAGCTAGTGAACAGCAGCATCAGGGTTCGATCTCAGATAAATCTGCTTTAAGAGAACCACTTCACTTTACTGCCTTCTCAATAGAACATAATCAAGAATCTTTCAGATGCTCCTAATTGGGCTGAAAATAGCAGCTGTTTTGAAACTGCAAAAATGAATGGTACCATAACTGTGAAATAAAAATGAACTATAACTTTAATGTACTTAACATTTATGTAGAATTTTATCTACCTGTTTGTGGTTGTCAGCAGTCTTACCTGAACCAATTCTCTGTATGCAGATTTAGCAAGGTTATAAGGTACCAAAAGATTAGACCCAAGAAAATAGAGAACTTCCAATCCAGTAAAAATCATAGCAAATTTATTGATGATAACAATTGTCTCCAAAGGAACAAGGCAGAGTCGTGCTAGCAGAGGAAGCATGTGAGCTGAAAACAGCCAAATCTGCTTTGTTTTCATGACACAGGAGCATAAAGTACACACCACCAACTGACCTAAAATAGGGAATAGAATACATTTAATTTTGAGTATTTGGCATCCACAAAATAAAAACAAACAAAAAACACTGTTGATAAGGATAATAACACAACTTTTGAAGAAGTCTAACTAAAATCTCGTAGATAATATTTTAAATCAAACTTAAACTTCATCTGACTATAATTACATATTCACATGTTCTGTGAATTTTGAATACTAATTCTGTAGGGCTGATCTGGAAAGAGCAGCATAAATCTCCACTGGTCGTCTGTGATGCCATGTGTAATATGAAGAAAACTTTAAACAATGTCTAATTCAGTATTGTGACAATTCAGTTGCTAATGTTTATACATAACTTCTTTTCCAAAGGTACGCAATATTTAACTGTTCTGGTCTATAGGTGAAAGCATAAAATCCAAGAGATATAATTACTTGTTCAAGATCATACTGCAACAATATTTGTTCTGATAATTTTTTAATCTTTATTTTTGGAGGGCCAAGTAAACTGCCCCAAATAACTAAATCATAAGTTAAAACTAAAAACTAAATAAATTCTTCTCACTGGGGATTACGCATGATCATTACATTAAACACAGAAATACAAAGAACAAAATGGGAAACTCTCAGTCTCTTATAATCCCACAACCCAAAGGTAGTCCTAAGAACACCCTGGGGTACACTGAATGTATGTGACATGATATTTGCATTTAGCCCTTTCCAAATATTCCATAATTATAAAATGCTTTGTATGAATAAGCTTTTACATTATGACATCCTTGTATAAACTACTTGGAACACATTTCCTAATATTCTCTTAGGCTAGGAATTACTGAATCAGAAAAAAACATTTTTAAAGACTTTGACACACTGTCAAGACTGCCCTCCAGCAACAATTTACCAGTGTATAATGTGGCTATTTTTCTATTAACTTGCCATAGTGAGTATAATTTAGAGATGGGAAGAACAGGGAATATTTCCCAAATTTTTTAAATTGGCATTTTGTTGGTTACTAACAGCACTGAACATTATCAATAAGTATATGAAAACATTTGCAATTATTTGGTGAAATGTTCACATTCTTTGCCCATTTTTCTGCTAGAATACGTATCCTACTGCCTGATCGAAATAGTAATCCTTAGTCACATGATTGCATTTTTCTAATATGTCCCTTGTCTTAATATTTTAAATAACTTTATTCTCTTATAAAAGTATGTATTGAAAATAGTCAAACCATTTTTTTTCTTAATAGTACCCACCTTTAGTGCCATGGCTTATTACATGGCTACCCCACTCAAGATTATACAAATAGCTGTATTTTCTTTTAGTAATTTTTAGCTAATTTTTAATTTTAACTTAAAAATTAATACATTTGATTTATTGTGGAATAAGAAAATAAAGATCGAAGTTTGTTTTTTGTACATGTTTAGCTGGTTATCTCAAAACTGGCTACTGGAATCATCCATTCCTTTCTCATTAATTTGAAATGCCACTGTAGTAAACTCCAAAATCTTTTACATATTTAGGTCTATATAAGAACTTGTTACTTTTTGTTTTCAGTGATCTATTCTAATGATGGTACCACCCTGCTCCATCATACTGATTGGACAAGTCCTCTCTCATTGCTCCTTTCAGAATTTCTTGGAGATTACTGAATGTTATTTTCCAGATTAATTTAGAATAATTAATCATATTCTCTCACTTCTTGTCAATGAAAACCAAAATGAAAATTTGGGACTTGTTTGTATTCTATCCATATACATGTTGAATATTCCTAATCCAAAAATCTAAAATCCAAAATGCCCTAAAATCTAACATTATGCTCCAAGAAAATGCTTATTGGAGTATTTTGGATTTCAGATTTTGGGATTAAGGATTTCCAAACAGTAATATAATGCAGATATTCCAAAATGTAAAAAAATCAGAAATCCAAAACACTTCTGGTGCCAAGCATTTTGAATAAGGAAAATTCAATTTGTGTTAGAAAAATACAAAAATGTCAACCATTTTTACATAAGACCAAACACTTACAACAATCTACTATGTCATAAACACATACGGTATTTTATCTCACAAAGCATTAATTTTGGCCTTTAAAAAACTGATACTAAAGTAATGTGAAAAATAATCATAAAGGCATAAAGAAAAGAAAAACTCCTAATTATATAGAAAACAAGAGGCCACCAAATGATCTGGCTTTCACTGTGTTTATAGCTATGAAATTTAAATGTCCTTGTTGAGCACAATGTAAACTTCCTCTAAGCTCTGAAAATTCCCTTAAGTCTATGCCAGCACATGTGGTGCTCAGTGCTGGGGTTACAGGCTCCCTTTATCTTCTTTCATAGAAGAATATGACTCATATGGCGTATTTAAGAGAAGACTACTCCTGCTGACGTAAAAGAAGGAAGGAGTCATATTGTTAGTGGAATTTCCCCTGAAGTTCCAAAAGAATAAGTTGTTTGTCTTCTGATTTGCCTATTTCAACTTTTAACTCTGCATAAACCAAAATCCCAATGTACTCTTTAGATTTCAGGATTCCACTATTAGAAATATCTCCAAGAGGTTGGCAACCCTAAGAAATCATGGCATATTAAAATTACCTAGTTTTTCAAAAAAGTTTGTTACTGAAATGAAGAAAAACACCAGAAAATTATTTTAAAATCTAAGTTGGAAGAAAACATGCTCCTTAATAGTTTATGGACTTTGGAAAGTTGAATCTTAGTTAAGTAAACAGAAGACCATGGCCACTGATAAGAAGAGTTTTAAGAAATATGCTTCATATTTATAATACAAGTATATGCATCATAAACTAAAACTTTACAAGCTTTCTAACTTGGCAAATATCTTCATTATTGAATGTTACCGTTAATAAATATGCCAACTCATAACGATAGTCATAAAGCAACATTATTTTTGTCCTCTGCTGTCTTTTAAAATCCACTCTGTAGAGATTAGTGGTTTTCCTGCCCCTAGATAAAATCCAAGGCAAGTCCCATAACTTTTCTACTCTAGCTTAGGTTACTGTCTCAATTTAATAATAACTGAAACTTTCAAACAGATTTAAAGTTGAGACTTATCCCTTACTCTAGAGTTCAGGCATTCTAGGGAAAGCATTAATTTTTACCTTTATGCTTTAAGATAGAAAACCTGCAAGTGGGAGAGAAGGTGGGGAGGTTGTGGCTGGCTTCTTTCTCTTTTTTGACCTAGCACTTCTCCCTCTCTCTCTGACTTACCAAGGATTGAAGTGGGTAGGGAAGAAGGAGAGGGAGGGAAGTAGGCAGGTTCCTACTTAACTGGACTCTTACAATGATGTGGTTGTTACTGGTGCTTCCTAGACTTGAGGTATCTAAAACTGATTTATTTTCCCCTGGACCCTTTTATGGGTTCTTCTGAAACCGTTCCTATCACTGTGGCTCTCTCACCTGCAGCAGTACCCTTGGTGCTTGGTATACACCCTCAACTGGCCATTTTTGGCTCTTTTCTCAGCTCCTGGGAATCTGGAAGGTCAATCCCTGTTGAGGTCTTCTCATCCATCTAAAAGGCCTTCTTGAACAGGACCCAAGAAAATCCTACACAGACTTTCGGGGCCACTGTCTAGTTCACAAGAAACTTACATCCTTTGCTCTACAATTTCCTGTATCAGAAGATACAGGAAAACCCTATAAGGCATTTTCATTCCACAGTCAAAACACTCAACAAGCAACTAGTCTATTGCTAGTCCTTTATATCAGATTAGAATTATAATGTAAGCCAAATATAATTTTAAATTTTCTATTAGTGTCATTTCAAAAAGTAAAAAGAAACAAGTGAAATCAACAATATATTTTATATAACCTAACATATCCTAAACATCATCATATAGACATTCAATCTATATTAAAAGTTAACAAGATGTATTAAAAGTTAACCTGGTTTGTACCAAGTCTTCAAAATTGAGTATGTGCTTTACACATACAGCACACCTTAATCTCAATTCACCACACTGCAAGTGCTAACCAGCCACATGTGGCTAGTTTTGGACAATGTAGTTTTAGATTTTGCAGGCTGAAAAGGCACAAGAATGATATAGTGGAATTCTGGCCTCCTGGAAAGGTGAGAGGTGGGTGAAGGATAAAAGACTGCACATTGGGTACAGCATACACTCCTCAGGCGACGGATGCACCAAAATATCAGAAATCACTGCTAAAGAGCTTGTCCATGTAACCAAACACCATGTGTTCCCCCAGAAACTTATCTAAAAAATGTTTTCCCAGCCTGGGCGACAGAGCAAGACTCTGTCTCAAAAAAAAAAAAAAAGTTTTTTAATGTAAGAAAATAAAAATAAAAGTGTAACTCAAAAAAAAAAGATGTTCCAGGGTGAGTCAGACACCAGTCCACAGCATTCCCCCCTTCACCACACAAGACACATAACTCCCCAAATGGTCCCCCAGTGAATCCTCTAGTGTAAAGGGCTGGGGAAGTATTTCAGAAAAAAAGAGTTCTCTCTGAAGAAATCCTCCTCTAATCTCTAATATTAGGCCTGTTAACACCTTCTACATGGGTGAGTTTCAAAGTCACAAAACAGGTTTTCTCTTACTTCCTTTTTTGCATTTTGGCATGGTACACTCTGGTAGCAGGGGTCTGGTACTTCACTTTAAATTGTATCTATATTGTTTTTAGGCCTTAGCCAACACTTCTATTTTTAACATTCTGCTACCTGAATATTTCAATCACATCTCAAGTTCTTGATGTTTCCGGACATTCATTTTTGACAATAAGGTCATGGCTTTCAACAGCAATAAGTAAATTTAAGATACTACGTGTTTCATTTTAATCTTTCAAAGTAATAATTAGCTCTATTTAAAAATTAATCTTCTCAAATACTTAAAAAACCCTTAAAAAAACACAAGCAACTGTGCACTATGTACAATATGACTATAAATACATAATCTATACATGGGGAAAAGAAGACTTAAAAAAAAAAAACCACCAAACAATGGGTATATGTGGGAAAAGTCCCCATGAATCACTTTTGAGAATTCCGTTTTAAAAAAAAATGAGTATGCATGAATTTTATAAGTTAGTAAGACTGGTCGGTTCCTACCTACACTTTAATTCTTTTATAATACTTACCTATTAAGGCTGTGGTAAACCGATTCATAGAGAGAGGTTCTAAATACATTGGTCCCTCATAGGCAAACTCCAGTTCACTCCGAACATAGTCCCTAAATAAGAAAATTGATTAGAATGTATATATTAGATACATTCCTAGCGGAATCACAATATGCTTATAAAAGCATATTATGTTAATGATACCCCTTTCCATATCTAAGGAAAAATTTAGATATGAAGAATTATATATAAATGGCCTTCATCTCTGTTTTCTGTGCACTAGAAACAGACACAACTTATTGAAATGGAATTTTACCATACAGAGAAAGCTGCCAAAGCTCCACATTATGAAATTTTCTTTCTTTTCATGGCCTTATTAAATATTTTATGCCCAGTAAAAACCCAATTGAGAGCTGATCTCTCTCAACTCTACTACACTAACCAATCACATCTAGTGATATTACACTAAACATCTCTTTTGGCTATCTTCCACCACCATCACCCCACCCTCATCTTATTTCCCTCAAAGTTTTGGCCCCGATTATATTTTATTAGTCCCAAGTAGAACCACAAACTAGTTAGAAAACTGGGGGATAGGAGTACAACCCTTAAAAATTATCATTTTCAACTCTATATGAAATCTAAGATAATTATAATATTTAAGTAGGCTACATATTTACTTTGAAGCAAATTTTACATCAAACAAAATATTCCTTTTAAAATTTAACTCATTTAACGTGTGACTACTGAGAAATAGTAAGCTTTAAGTAATAACCAGAGCCTTTACACACTCAGAAAACAGGCAGGAAGCACAACCAGGGAGAATTTAGTTTATTATCAGTAAGTTACATGGGAGTACTGGAAGACAGTTTGTCTAAAGTATTTTTGGCATCAAAGAAGGGAAGTTTGTGTAAAAAAATTCTTCCCTTTTTTTCAACTTTTAATGCTTTATTCATTGTATTTAAAAGAGAACATTTCAAGTATTTCCAAACAAACTCATATGGCTGTATTTACTTTTTCCATGAAATGACTTCCCATTAGGCAATCAAGTGGAATTCCTTTAGCACTGCATAGCCAAACAAGGAAAGACCCTCACACAATCAGCCGGAAGGGTATTTGCAAAAAAGAATCAAAACTTAAAACTAAAAATTGTTAAAAGAATTAAAACAGTTTCTGAGATTATAAAAATGCATGACTAAGTTATATGGGTGATCTAGCAATTCTCCTTTATCACTCTTAGATGATGGTTTCTAACACATAATGTATTAATTGTCTCTTTCTACTGAAAGAGGAAGCCAAATTCTCAGGAAGAATTATTGTAATGCAGTGGTTGTCAACCAAGGGGCAATTTTGCTCCTGAGGGGATATTCTACAACCTCTGGAAACATTTTTGGTTGTCACAATTGGGGAGAGGTATTACTAGCACCTAGTGTGTAAAGGCCAAAGATGCTGCTAAATATTCGTCAATGCAAAGGCTAGCCCCTAGAACAAAAAATCATCCAGTCCAAAATGTCAACTGTGCAATATTGAGTAACCCTGTTTTCATGTAGAAAGACACAAATGCAAATAACACATAAATATCTGATTACTATAGGTAACCATCAATGGAATTATATAGTTAGAAAACTAAAAAATTAAAAGAATTATGAAATTAGAACAAAATGCATATATAAATAGTATTAATACAAAGTATTTTAAAATGCTATTTGAAAAATAAATTTATACCTAAAAGAGATACAACTCTGAGTGTCAGTACTATCCAGACCTTTAAAGCCCAATAATTTCTTTTTGGTCATAGCATATCTCTCTCCAATGGATACAGTTTAAACAGGGGCCAGGAAAAATCCATACAGACAAAACACAGATTGGTGGTTGCCAGGGGCTGGGGAGAAGGGGAGATGAGAGTAACGGCTTAATGAGTACTGAGTTTTGTTTTGGGTGACAAAAATGTTTTAGAATTAGATAAAGGTGACAGCTGCACAACATTATGAATGTACTATATGCCACTGAACTGCTCACTTTAAAATGATTAATTTTATGTTATACGAATTTTACATTAGAAAAGGGAGAGAGGTCAGCTCCAAGAGCACTATCCCCAAGGAGAAAGCCACAAAGTGCCCCAGAAGGGCCTCAGTCCCAAGTGTCTCTTTGTGAGGGACAAGAAAAGACAGAAGAATTGAGGTCCCTACCATGTTTTCTTTCCACTGTTTGGTTTTGTCACATATTATTGATATTTTATAATAAAGCTCAGCAAACTAAACATTATGCTAGAATTTGATTGCTGAGACATTTGTTAATTGTTCTGCATTTTTTCATAGCCTACGTTAGTTTATCCTCTTTTTAAAAACTTTGTCTTTCTTTAGAGTTTCTTACCTTAAATTCTAATTTCACACAACAAAATTTCTAGGGATAACTAACATTCTCTGTTGCTTTTTAACTCAAAAAGAAATTACTGAATACATAAGTGCTGGCACTCTGCTAGACTCTGCTAATACTGCACATTCCATACTAGCACGCAACTTATAAACAGGGAGGGGAGATAAATACTTAGTCCTATAATTATTTAATTATGATGATGATCAGTGCTGTAAGAAAAAATACAGAATGCTGTGAGGATTTTAACGTCTTTTTTATTGATACATAAAAAGATTTTAAATTCACAGCATATTTAAAAACTACATCTTTTATTCTCTATTTCTAGGTTCTAACTTTTTCATTTAACTAATAATATTTCTATCTGCCTTTTACTTTTTTATCTTAAATACTACTTATTTTACTTCTCCTATTTCATATGGTTATTATAAAAGGTTTTAACTATTTCCTTTTCTTTTATCCAACCCTATATTTCATTCCTTTTTTAAGCCTTCTCTTAACTTTGTAATCCTTTCCATTATTTTCTTTTTAATTATTTTTGCTTTCTCTATACTCATTACTTTGCGATTTGCTGTGATTATAGGACCCTAAGGGAGGTCTGCATTCCAGAAGAATAAATGATCAACCTTTAGGCCACAATGACAGCCCTGATGTTAAGTGGTTTCCTCCCACTCGCTCTCCTTACTTTGTCCTCCTCTAGGATCCCAGGATTAGCTCTCCAATACTGTACTGCCCCCCACATTCCTGTTCAATTTAAGTCTGTATCATTCATCATAGCCTCAAAATTAGTATCATCCCTAGGCCCCTTAGAACGTTTCCCCTTTGCTCGATTCCTCTCTTTCAATACAGTCCTCCAAAATCCTCCATTTGGCTGACTCACCAAAAAGCCCCACCTCAGTAAAAACAGCCAGGCCTAGAAAGCCTGCAGACTCTCTCTTTAGGCCAGCTCAGCTTAGCATGCCAGAGTCAAGGCAGTAGTTTTGGTGACAGCTAAACTACCTAGTATGCCACACAACCACTATGGAGCTGTCACTTCTAAAAGGAGGATCTGGGCATCCCATCCCAAACTGTAGAGAATAACTGAAATAAGAATCAGGGTTAACAAAAATCTCTATATCTTACTTATGCACAAATTCCAGGTATCTCATGCTGGCATTGAGAATTCTTGGTAAATCAGTCCTAACAGGGATGGTCATTCACAACATAAGAAAAACAAGACAGTAAGCCTAAATAAGAAGGATCCAAAGTGGGAATTATCCAAAATTCCATGAGTCATTTTAGGTGAAAAATTAGTTCAAGGCAAGAGTCATAAAATTCTAACTTTTAACAACAACATATGATTCTCTTAAGACTCAGGTGAGCTATTCAAGAGAAGCATTACAATTTTTCATTTCAGAAGACTTAAAAGGTAGAATGTTTTAATATCTTCAGAAACAAGAATTCCTGCCAATCTACTTATAACTGAATAAAATATTTTCCTTCTTAAATGTTTTTTCACTTGTGGAAGGCTGATAATCACCCCAAGGCACTAATAAACTGAAAAATCTACGTCCCTAGTCCTGTATAACAGCCTCCCCTCTTTTAACTCAAACTGGGGCCACAAGGAATGTACAAGATCTATGAAAAGGGCCTCCGGCCATGGTAGCTCAAGCCTGTAATCCCAGCACTTTGGGAGGCCGAGGCAGACGGCTCACTTGAGCCCAGGAGTTCGAGAGCAGCCTGGACAACACGGTGAAACTCCGACTCTACAAAACAAAAAATACAACAATTAGCCAGGCGTGGTAATGCCTATAGTCCCGGCTACTTGGGAGGCTGAGGCGGGAGAATTGTGTGGACCTGGTAGGGGCAGGGGTTGCAGTGAGCCAAGATTGCACCACTGCACTCCAGCCTGGGTCAGAGTGAGACCCTGTCTCAAAAAAGAAAGAAAGAAAGAAAAAGAAAAGGGCCTCAGAGCTTGCAATTAGAAAAATTCTTGCTTATAAAGAGAAGTATACATGTTACAAAAAATAAATGGGTACCAAGAACAAAACCTAGTAGCTTACCACTTCAGCTAATTAAAGACCTTTATTATAACAGTCTCTTCAGCGACCTGACTCAGACACTGGACAACCTAGGAACAACTTGTACATTCTGGCTATTTACTTAAAGCTTTCAAACAACGTTAATTCCAAAGAAACCTAACCTGTTTTCACACAAAAGAGGTGTGCCAAGTTATCTTTTGCAATATGGGCAACAAGAAGCACCACTTGGTACAAGAAATCTCAGATGTTCAAATACCTGTATTTCCTTATATGCCTACTAAACACACATATACGCACACAAACATACCTACCATACCGTCAGCACTGAGCTAGCAGTTGAATAATTCATTTACCCAGAGTTTATTTAAACTGTTGACACCCTTTCTTTAGTTTCTTTCTGGCCTCCTAGATATTGAGTGCCTGTATTTGATAATGTTCAAAAGCAGAACACATGTCAAACAGTGAAACTGGTCAATTTTATTCCTGTCAAAATTAAGTTTAGAATATAAATGGTAATACTCATTTTAACAATCCAAGCTACTTGGGAGGCTGAGGCAGGAGAATCACTTGAGCCCTGGAGGCGGAGGTTGCAGTGAGCCAAGATTGCACCATTGCACTCCAGCCTGGGCAACAGAGCAAGACTCCGTCTCAAAACAAAAACAAAACAGTTGGGCGTGGTAGCTCATGCCTGTAATCCCAGCACTTTGGGAGGCCAAGGTGGGCGGATCACCTGAGGTCAGGAGTTCAAGAACAGCCTGGCCAACATGGTGAAAGCCTGTCTATACTAAAAATACAAAAAATTAGCCAGGCGTGGTGGTGGGCACCTGTAATCCCAGCTATTTGGGAGGCTGAGGCAGGAGAATCACTTGAACCCAGGAGGTGGAGGTTGCAGTGAGCCAAGATCACGCCATTGCACTCCAGCCTGGGCAACAAGAGCAAAACTCCATCTCAAAAAACAAACAAACAAAAAACAATTTATCTAGTTTTTTTTTTTAAAGAAAAAAAATTTTTTTTTGAGATAGTCTCACACTGTTGCCTGGGCTGGAGTGGAATGGCACGATCTCAGCTCACTGCAACCTCTGCCTTCCAGGTTCAAGCGATTCTCCTGCCTCAGTATCCTGAGTAGCTTAGATTATAGGTGCCTGCCACCATGCCCGGCTAATTTTTTGTATTTTTAGTAGATACGGGGTTTCACTATGTTGGCCAGGCTGGTCTCGAATGCCTGACCTTGTGATTCACCCGCCTCAGCCTCCCAAAGTGCTGGGACTACAGGCGTGTGCCACCACTCCCGGCCTATCTATAGTAGTTCTTAACTGAGGACAGTTTTGTTCCTCAGAGACAGCATGTGACAATGTCTAGGGACACTTTTTGGTTGTCATATTTGCTGGGAAGAGGGTATCACTGGGGTCTAGTGGGTAGACAGAGTGTTGTCAACATCCTATAATGCACAGGACAGCTTCCGTAGCAATGCATACCCTGCCCAAAATACTAGTATCCCTGAGAAAGAGCAGCCCCAATCTACAACTTTGAATTATGCAAGTCATCATAAAATGGAGAGCTGATTATCCATAGTTTACACATAAGTCACTCTTGGGGAAGTTTTTACATTTGAAACCGTACTTACACACCGAAGAGCCAGAATGAAAACAGTATTACTTCCTTCTTTTGAAAGCCAGTTCTACTGGGCTCTTAATTCAAGTCACAGACACACAAATCCAATATGTTGGTTCATAAATCTAACAATAAAACAAGGAATTTAAGAACACTGGGCCAGGCACAGTGGCTCATGCCTGTTATCCCAGCACTTTGGAAGGCCAAGGCGGGCGGATCACAAGGTCAGGAGACTGAGACCATCCTGGCTAACATGGTGAAACCCCATCTCTACTAAAAAAAAAATACAAAAAATTAGCTGGGCATGGTGGCAGGCGCCTGTAGTCCCAGCTACTCGGGAGGCTGAGGCAGGAGAATGGCGTGAACCCAGGAGGCGGAGCTTGCAGTGAGCCATGAGCCGAAATCGTGCCACTGCACTCCAGCCTGGGCAACAGAGCAAGACTCTGTCTCAAAAAAAAAAAAAAGAAATACTGGAGTTTAGAAATTTTAGAAAAAACATCCATCTGTGGATGTGACCACACCCTCACAGGAATGACCACCACACTCTCACAGGAATAGTAGTATCAGTGTATGGTTTTTCTTTTTTCCCCCTTAGTTTTGGATAGTCTCAATTTTCTATACGGATTAGCACTAGAAAAATACATTCCCTACATCCCTCAAAACGCCAAGGAAGAGTTTAGTAATTTTAAAAATTTTAAACTGACATTTACCAAATTCTGTTAAGTTCAATTAGAATATCAATATTAAATATTTATATGACATTGACTGAACCCATGAATCTCTGACATTTAATTCTTCCAAACTGCAAGCTATATCCATTCTATAGACATATTCTAAACAAGTTTTTAGTCATTTCAGGATAATAAGTTTCATTATGTAAATACACATAAAGGAAAACAGAAACCCAACTTTTCAAAAGTTCATGAAATTTTCAACTTAGAAAATTAATATTTGCAAATGTCTTTTTCTATAAGCTAGTTTTTAATTTTTTTTTTCTTGTTTCCAATAAGGCTGGATATAGCCAGTTTTTTAAGTACGAAATTAATTGTTAAAATTATTATAAGTGCTGATTCTCCTTCTCAGGAGCATAATAAACTATGCCTTGATATAACTAGATTGCAGTGAATGGAAGAATATATTTGTAAATTATAGATCTGATAAGGGACTTGTATATATTTGCAAATCATAGATCTGATAAGGGACTTGTATATATTTGCAAATCATAGATCTGATAAGGGACTTGTATATATTTGCAAATCATAGATCTGATAAGGGACTTGTATCTAGAATATATAAAGAACTCCTACAACTTAGCAAGAAAAAGACAAATAACCCAATTAAATACTGAGCAAAGGATGTGAATAAACATTTTTCCAATATTTACACACGGTCAATGAACACATGTAAAGATGTTTAACTTCATTAGCCATCAGGGAAATGCAAATCTAAAGCACAATGAAATACCTCTTCACACTCACTGTAATGGCTCCACTAAAAAGGACAACAATGGATGCTGGCAAGAATGTAGACAAATTGGAAGCCTCATACACCGCTGGTAGAAATATGAAACACTGCAGCCATTTTAACAGTCTGGCAGTTTCTCAAAAGGTTAAATATAGGCACCACATGATTCAGCAATTCCACTCCGAGGTATTTGTCCAAGGAAAATAAAACATTTGTCTACACAAAACCTGTACATGAATTGTCATAACATTATTCATAATAGCTAAAACATAGAAACAATCCAAGCGTCCATCAAAAGATAATTGGATGTATAAACAAAATGTGACATACATCCATACAATGGAATATGGACAGAAAAAGAAAGTAAGCACCAACACATGCTGCAACATGCATGAATCTTGAAAACATGCTAAGTGAAATTCAGTGCATATAAAATATCCAGAACAGGTCAATAAAAAAAGACAGGTGATAGACTGACAGTTGCCAAGGGCTGGGGGCAGGGAGGGTGGTGGGAAATAGACAATGATTGCTAATGGGTATGAAGTTTCTTTCTGGGGTGATGAAAATCTAAAATAAATTTTGATGATGTTCTGCACAACTCTGTGAATGTACTACAAACCACTGAGCTGTATACATATATACAGCTTGTTCTGTCAAACAGGGTCTTGTTCTGTCACCAGGCTGGAGTGCAGTGGCACAATCCCAGCTCACTGTAGCCTCAACCTCCCAGGCTCAATCGATCCTCCACCTCAGCCTCCGAAGTAGCTGGGACTAAAAGTGCATGCCACCACACCCAGTTAATTTTTTGTAGAGAAGGGGTTTCACCATGTTGCCCAGGCTGGTCTCCAACTCTTGAGCTCAAGCAATCCGCCTGCCTTGGCCTCCCAAAATGCTGGGATTACAAGTGTGAGCCACCATACAAGGCCCTTGAGCTATATACTTTAATCAGGTATGTGACTATCTCGATAAAGTTGTTATTTAAAAAAAAATACCTGGGGCCAGGCACAGTGACTCATACCTGTAATCCCAAAGCTTTGGGAGGCTGAGGCAGGAGGATATCTTGAGGGCAGGAGTTCAAGATCAGTCTGGGCAACACAGCAAGAAACCCATCTCTACAAAAAAATATTTTTTTAATTAGCTAGGCATGGTGGCGTACACCTGTAGTCCCAGCTATTCAAGAGGCTGAGGTGGGAGAAGTGCTTGAGTTCAAGGCTACAGTGAGCAATGACTGCACCACTCCACTGCAACCTTGGTGACACAGTGACAACCATCTCAAAAAAAAAAAAAAAAAAAAAGATACTTGGTTATGAAGCTCCACAGAAATCTGAACCATTATTTTTTTAAAACTAAAACCTTCAACCTCAATGTCTTACAAATGTTACATATTCAAACATTGGTATTTATTAACTGTGATATGTTATGAATAATTCAAGGACAGCACATCTTTACTAGCCTTTTGTGAGATACTATCATATAGTATAAATTATACTAAGAGGAAAATATTAATACTAAAATATGCCATATCTTGAAATTCATTCATTTTATATCAAAACAAACTCCATGAGATGGCATTGTCTACAAAGGGGTATCCAATCTTTCGGTTTCCCTGAGCCTAACTGGAAGAAGAAGAACTGTCTTGGGCCACACATAAAACACACAATAGCTGATGAGCAAAAAAAAAAAAAAAAGGCAAAAAATATCTCATGTTTTAAGAAAGTTCACGAATTTTTGTTGGGCTGCATTCAAAGCCATCCTGGGCCACACGCAGCCCAGGAGTTGGACAAGCTTAGTCTACAATTTCAAAGAAGTAACTTGCTGAGGTAACATATTTACTAGGTAAGGAAACAATTTGTATCAAGTCTGATTCTAAAGTTAATTTTCCTTTCTACTAACCATGCTGCCTACCTAAGTGGAATGAACTAGATTGTGAAAACATGGATTCAAGTTAAAGTCTGGGATTGCCCTTCCTAGCTGTTTGCCTACTTCCTTTTTTTCATCTGTAAATCCCAAAGGAACATAAAAAAAATCAAAATGAAATAAGAATGGGAAGTATTTTTGCCTACTATAAAATTTTATTAAAACTTAATAAAATCCTATTATTGAGGCTGGACACGATGGTTCGTGCCTGTAATCTCAGCACTTTGGGAGGCCAAGGTGGGAAGATCACGAGGTCAGGAGTTCAAGACCAGCCTGGCCAACATGGTAAAACCCCATCTCTACTAAAAATACAAAAAATTAGCTGGGCATGGTGGCGCATGCCTGTAGTCCCAGCTACTCAGGAGGCTGAGGCAGGAGAATCACTTGAGCCTGGGAGGCAGAGGTTGCAGTGAGCCGAGATAAAATAAAAATAAATAAAACAAAATTCTATTATTTAAAATAAGCTTTAATTTCCTAGTTATGAAAATAAACTTGAAACATTAGAAAAAGTCATTTTCATAAACTGAAACTAAAAAGCTCAAAAAGCCACAAGGGTGGTCAGAAAAAATCCTTTCTTTACCTCTGAAACTACTTAGGTCCCCTTTTTCCTTATATACCAGAATCCTGACCTCTCTAGAAATGCCTGGATTGGTAATACAGTCAGCCCTCCATATTCACTGGGTTCCACATCTGTGGATTCAACCAACCAAGAATCGAAAATATTCAGAAAAAAAAAAAAACTGCAATTGGAGTAAACATGTACAGACTTTTTTTGTCATTTTTCCCTGAAGAATATAGTATAAAAACTATTTACATAGCATTTGCATTGTATTAGGTATTATAATAATCCAGAGATGAATTAAAGTACATGGAAGGGAGTGTGCAAAAGTTGCATGCAAATACTATCAGTATTTGAGCATCCACAGATTTTGGTATCCTCAGGAGGTCCTAGAATCAAACTCTCATGATACCAAGGGAGCATAGCACTGTAGATAAAAACAGAACTACATGGGTTTAGCCATCACTACACCACAAATGCAAATGGAAATGGAAAAACCATGAGAAAGGGCAGGCTCACAGTTTTTCACCCAGAATTGTAGCTATAATAAAAGCAACAATATTAAGAGGTCTACCTTCAACCTTGATATTTTCTTAATTAATCAACAAAATCCTATCAATTCTAAAAAGATATTATATGGCTATACATAAAATACCATGTAAAAATCATTTTTTAAAGATTAACAATGAGAAAATGCTCACAAAACATTGCTATGTGATAAAAACAAGACAAAAGAATTCACCAAGTACTCACTATGTCAGAAACTGTGGTAAGAGCTTTATATACCTTATCTTATTTGATCTTACAACAGCCCCTTAAGATATTTTATTACCACTTTAATGTGAAAAAACTAAGGCTTATCCTTCTGGGAAATGACACCCAAGGTTATGGAGCAGTAAATAAAAAACCTGGAATTTGAACCTATCCAAACCATCCATCTATCGAAAAATAAGTGCCCAGGCACTCATTTATAAAATAGAACAGTTACTCCAGAGCTCAGTATACCCTAATGACTGCATTACACTCTATAGATACAATTTTTGTTTACAAAAGAGTAAGCAAAGATGGGAAAGTGTCTCCATCCTCAGCCTGAGCTGAGACTCAGAGGTATCGGGGTAAGGCCACAGGAACAGAGGTGTGGGGGCTGGTGGTACTAGGATGAGAAACGCATCATGTCTGTATCAGTATTGGTGCTTGGACTCCTAGTTTGGCTCTATGGAGAGGGATGCTACAGGACAAGGTCTAAGTTGTTTTCATGAAGGAGTCTAAGACACAGTGACATACTTCTGTCATGCAAAACGGGGAATGTCACTGTCTCCATTCTTGAAGGGAACACAGCTTGATTTAAACATTGTGAGGATTGCAAGAAATGCAACACTACTCTGCCAGCTCCAGATTTTGCAACTTTGACATCAGAGGACCTACCCTGGGCAGGATGGTGGCAGAAGTTAAAGAGTAAGACACCATCCTCCAGGCACCATTTTGAGCATAGAAAATCAACCAGGAAGGAATAAAGGAGGAAAATGCAAGAAGAGTAAGCTTCTGGGAAACACCCTGGGACTTTGAGAAACAATTAGACAAAACATTAAAGAGAATTGGTGGTCCTGTTTCAACAAGAGGGGTGAAAAACCCAGTGATTTTAGTTATTCTCATCCTTTCATATCCACAGAAGTGGTGAGAATTGAACAGTATTTTAAAAACTGAAATAAAGTACCAGAATATTAACACATCTATCTCTGGGTGGTATAATTTCAAACGATTATTAAATGCCTTTACATTTTCTGTATTTTCCAAAAATTGTCCATAGTGAGCACCATAATTTTATAATCAGAAAAAGTTAATGTTTTTAAAAACTCAACAATGTAATTCTAATAATGTAAAAATGCTACTTCTAAGATTAAATTTCAACTACCCCAAAATCTGTTTCAGACTCTTATTATGGCTTGTACTATATGCAAGGTCACTCCTCTTAGAATTGGGAATATATTTTAATATGGTAAATGCCTTTCTATCAAAAATCATAAAATTTAAGTTTCAAAAGAAATTATACCTCCAAAATATATTCCAACCCACTACTTCATAGTGTAACTTTTGGTCCACCTATATTTTAACATTCTGTTGCAAAGTAGAAAGCTCATATTCATTGGCAGACCCAAGTCTTAAAATTTAGATCTAGCAGACTTAGGTACACAGACAATATGGCTAAAGAGATAGAAGGTTAGCTATACAATCAACCTTACAAGATAATGTATATCAATCATTCACTCCACATGGCTGCATCTTATGCTGATTCTTACACATCATAAATTGATTTCCTAAAGTAATGAAGTCTATAATTGTTAAAATGCTCCTACAGCCTACTTTTAGAAATTCTTTTATCAGGCAATACAGGAAAGTTCAAGGATATCCTCCCGAGTAGATGGGATTACAGGCGCCCGCCACCATGCCCGGCTAATTTTTGTATTTTTAGTAGAGACGAGGTTTCACCATGTTGGCCAGGCTGGTCCCGAACTCCTGACCTGAGGTGATCCACCCGCCTCCCAAAGCGCTGGGATTACAGGTGTGAGCCACCACGCCCAGCCAGTTCAAGGATATCTTTATAAACATAACCTTAAGGCTTGTTTCATGTTAAGCTTGTTTTTAAAAGCAGAAATAAAATGTCAGCATAAACCAGCTATTAATCCTGTGTAAGATTTGGAAAATGAGTATCAAACCAGTTTTGGACCTACCAAAGCCTTAGCTTTACTTAACAGTGTTCATGAAAAGTATTTTATTGGCAAAAGAAAACTTTAAATTCAATCATACATTTCAAAAATGGGGTCATATTCTTACCTGGAAATTTGATGTCCAGCATAGAGGAGCAGAGCAGTCAAAAAATATAGATAAAGCTGAACCAGATGCTGCCTGGGCAATGTTAGCAGCACCACACTTAAGATATAACCTGTACCAGAAAGATAAATAAAATACAATTTTAATTTAGTTTCCCAATTAATTACAATAAAAGAAAGAGCTTGAGACAAATAATTTTCCAAATAGGTTTCAGTACTTTCTGAGGTTTTTTATTATACTTACCAAAGTAAGTTTAGCATAGTGACACCCCTATGGATTTTTTGTTGTTGAAAATGTATTGTGTTTTTCACTTCTTTTGTAGATTTCTCTACCTAATAATCAAATATATCACACAAATGTGTAACACAACTCCTTTCTTCATCTACCTTTCCTTGATATCAACTTACTTGTTTTATGCCAATTCTCTCTTTCTTTCTAGTCCCAGAGGAAAAACTGGGTGTCTTAATGTCTCTTTCCAAGGCTGCCCCTTCCATGTGATTTAAGACCTTATTTCTCCAACCCCTGAAGACTCTCTATCTCCTATACTTTCAGTCGTTCCCCCTGACATCACTCCTTACCTTTGTTTCAAAGAATGTGCAGGGCTTTTACCCATCTTGAGAAAAAAAAAATAAACTTCTTTTCACTGCGATTTTTTTCCTATTATTTTTCTCATTCCACTGTCAAATGTTTGAAAAGATCTATACCCAATGCCTCTATTTTCTAAGCATCTATTCTTCTCTTTACCATCTACAATCCCTTTACAAACCCCCCTAACTTGTTTGCTCTAAAGAAAGTTGGAAGTCAACGACTGCCTACTTATCACATCTAAGACATCCTGCTTATTTTTGATCCCCAATATCCAGGCAACGACCATCAAAACGTTGTTACTCTTTGGCTCTGTTCATATGGATTTCCTCTTACCCTCTAACTTCTCTAATTTCTTTTCACGCTTTCCAATAAACACTGGAAATTTGGTTCCTAAACAACTGTTTTTCTCTATATATAAAGTACCTAGTGCAAACAACATATTTTGTAACTTCAAGTATCAGCATCTCTTCTATAAATGTTATCAACAAAGTTACTGATAACTTATTATACAGGCAAAAACATATCCTCATTTCTTAATCTAAGTAGACATCCCATCTCATGACACCTGAGATATATTCCACTTAAATGTTCTCATATTCAACAAGTACAAACTGTGCTCCCCACCTCCTCCCTCAACAAAGTAACTCAGTGACTCAAAACCTGTCATCTTTTCTCTCTTATCGTCAAGTCCTGCTGAGCCTTCCATGATAAATTCCTCTCATGTGTTACCCTTCCATTCCAACCTCTATGTCCCATATCCTAATCTGCTCTGCAATGCACAGTATACTACCATCCTTCTTTCAGTCTCTATTTTTGTATACCCTATACTTCAAGCTTGTCCAACCCACGGCCCATGGGCTACATGTGGCCCAGGATGGCTTTGAATACAGCCCAACACAAATTCATAAACTTTCTTAAAATATTATGAGTTTTTTTTTTTTTTTTTGCAATTTTAAGCTCATCAGCTATCACTAGTGTTAGCATATTTTATGTGTGGCCCAAGACAATTATTTTCCTAATGTGGTCCAGGGAAGCCAAAAGATTGGACACCCTGATATACTTAATTACCAGGGTAATATTCCTAACACCATCACTTTTACTTGACAATTCTCCTGCTCTAAAAGTTATGAACCTGACATTCTTGGTCTTACACAATCTGGACCCAGTCTACTCTTCTATAACCATCTTCCACTTAATTTACAAATCTTTATTAAGGCACAGGTACTCCTACTTATCCCCTATTGCCTCTCTCATGCTGAATCAATCATGCCAAAAGCTAAGAAAACATGAGCATGCTTGGGACTAAAGAAACAGAACTGAGGATTTCCTACACATCCTAACTGCAAGGACAGTCCATCAAAAGCCAGAGATAAGTATTTTTATTTGCTCTTTATTTCTTAAAATAATTTCCCCAATTTTGTTAACCCCTACCTCAAATGACTTTAGAGGTATTTTAAAGGATATGTAATATAGTTACTAAGCATTTCCACTGATTGTAGCTGAAGGATTTTCTAATGTCTATTACATGAAACTTCTCCTTAAACTCTCTTTTAACGAAACTGTCATTTTCCTTTCCAGAACGGTCTTGTCTTTTCTTTCTCCTATATATCGCATATAAAATCAGCGGCCAAATCTTCTAGATCAAACATATTCATTTCATCCATTCCTTCAATTATCCAGTCATTCAATCAACATTATTATGTGTAAAGTATGACCCACTTGCATTCCTAGACATGGAAGATCCAAAATTAATGTGAATAATAATCTAGTGAAAAGATAAGCATGGACAAAAGTAATTATTAGACAAAATTGATGCTATAATAAATGAACATTGGAAGGGCTATGGTTAAGTGATTAAGCTTGACTTGGATCTCTAAAGGTGAATGGTTCTTTACCAGGCTAAGAAGAAAAGGAAACATTCTAGGAAAAGAGAACAGCAAGCATGAAAACCATAAAAGTGTAATTTTCAGGGGACAGTAAATTCTGTACGTTAGACTAGACTTTGATGTTAACAGAAAGATTGGGAGATGATGCTGAAAGAACTAGCAGCTAAAGCCTCAATATAAAGCCTAAATACAATAATCAAGAATTTAGACTTAGCTAATGGTTCTCAAATTCTTCAATATCTATTTAGGTGAGGTAAGAGAACAGAAACCAAAACAACAAAAGCACCATTGCTCATCTATACCCCATTTTTATATTCCAGTGGAAAAGTAACTCTGTGATAACAAAATATTTGTGTAAGAAAACTTTGAGAGACAATGAATACTAACTATGAGAGCAGTATGAATGAACCATCTGAACTACGATGTATATATAATCTAACAATTTAAAAAATGCAAGCCAAAAATACTATTGACACAAACATGCATCACAACTCACTCTACAGCATTAACCAAACAATCCATAACAAACTAAGTTGACAATGGCAAAGCTGTTAGTTTTTAAATTATACACAGTAATTTGTAATTAAAAAGCAAGACCAGTGGCATTTAAAAATGATGACCTAGGCCAGGTGTAGTAGTGCACACCTATAATCCCAGCTACTCGGGAGGCTGGGGTGGGAGGATCCCTTGAGCCCAAGAATTCAAGGTTACAGTGAGGTTATGATTGCCAGTCTGGGTGACAGAGCATGACCCTGTCTCTATAAAAAATAAGGGTTGGATGTGTTGGCTCACATCTGTAATCCCAGCACTTTGGGAGGCCAAAGCAGAAGATCACTTGAGCTTAGGAGTTCGAGACCAGCCTGGGTAACACGGCAAATTCCTGTCTCTACAAAAAAATACAAAAAATTAGCCAGGTGTGGTGGCACACAACTGTGGTCCCACCTACTGAGGAGGCTGAGGTGGGAGGATCACACGAGCCCAGAAGGTTGATGCTGCAGTGAGCTAAGATTGTACCACTGCACTCCAATCTGGGCGACAGTGAGACTCTATCTCTAAATAAATAAATAAATAAATAAATAAATAAATAAATAAAAGAAATAATGACCTACGGGAACAGACTCTGAGAACAGAAAAAATAAAAAATAAATCAAAATGATGACCTGCTTAAAACAACACTGATGAATCTAATAATTTCTGCTATTTAAACATTATGGTAGTTGTAGGGTAAACAGCAGGACCAGAGGTAAGATGAGAGCCTGGATTGTAACAGTAGCTTTGGGTATGGAGCTGCCAGTCAGCCATGAGATACATATTTAAATAGGTCTTAGTGGTTATCTGTGGGTGACTAGTTGAGAACAAGGAAGTGAAGATCTGATGTTTCTAGCTTGGGTAATCAAGAAGACAGCTTTGCTATTAAGACAGGAAACACAGCAGGAGAAAGACTTCTGAGGTGAGAAAAAGGTGATGAGTTCAGTGATTGACAACAAATTGAAATGTCCATAGGCTATTTAGGTGGAAATGTCTAAGAAGTAATTCAAAATGCATTCATTCAGGGCTGGGCACAGTGGCTAATATCTGTAATCCTAGCACTCTTGGAGGCTGAGGCAGGAGGATCACTTTAGGCCAGGAGTTTGAGACCAGTCTGGGTAACAAAACAAGACCTTGGTATATGCCTGTAGTACCAGCTACTCCAGCAGCTAAGGGTTACTTGAGCCCAGGAGTCTGAGACTGCAGTGAGCCATGATCACACCACTGCACTCCAACCTGCGCAAGAGTGAGACCCTGTCACGTACATACATACATATATATAAAATTCATTCATTATTGGGCACCAGCTAGGTGCTGGGAATACTGAGATAATAAACAACCCCCTTCTTACCTTAAAGGAGCTCACAATCTATTAACAGTTGGGAAAATAGATAAGCATATGGACCCTTAGAATGCAACATAATAATTGCTATGGTAGAGATGTGAACTGGTTCCATGGAATCACAGAGGAAGAACATCAACTCCAGACTACAGTGGTCAAAAAGCAATGTAAAGTGGAGACAGAGATCTGCAGCCCAAACTACGTTCGGTCACCCAAACAACAAAAGATTAAAATTAAACACAAATTGTGGGCAATATCAACACTTGAGAAGTCTAAAGAAAACAAATCAAAAGAATCAGAAGCAATGGTCAGGGAGTTAGGAGAAAAATCAGGAAAAAAAAAAAAAACACTTTCAAGAAAGAGGAAGTGGTAAACAGCTCCATAAACATAGAAAAGTCTGTAGAATTAGGACATAAATGAGGGTTGAATTTTACATTTTAAGTCACTAATGATTTTAGTGATGGTAGTTTCAAAAGGATTTTCGCATCCATTTCTTCCTTTCTAATTTCTACCTTGCCAGTTCTGGCTCTCATTACCTCTTGCCTAAAATCCTAACTGGTCTTCTTACCTCCAGTTTCTCCCCTCCCCAATCCATCATCCTATAAAACGCTGCCTAATCAATCTTAAAATGCAGCTCACCTGCTCTAAAATCCCCACTGACCCACCACGACCTATAGAATTAAGCACCATATCTACTGTATGTATTCAGGATTCTTCACAAAAGCCCTATTCTACCTTACCAATATTACTTCTACTCCTCCTTTCATATCCTACACTCCAAAAAACAGTGGGCAGTCACTTCTCTTTCAGCAGAACCCACCCTGGAAAGCTTCTAAGTTTGAAGACACAATTACATTCCATTAAATACAAACTTTATTGCTCCCTCCCTTAATTTTTAAGCTCCTTAATTACAATTAGAAGACATAAAGGGGGAAAAACTCCCACTTACGATAGCAATAAAAAAGATAAAATACCTAGAAACAATAAATGTCAGGAGGCTGCGGCAGGAGGATCACTTGAGCCCAGGAGTTCCAGGCCAGCCTGGGCAACACAGCAAGAACCCATCCTCCCCACCTGCCCCCAAAATTAGTAATAATGCAATCTAAATTTTAAAAAAAATCAAATGGGTTGCTTTGTTTTTGGAATGAGACCTAGACAATTTTGAGACAATTCTTAAATTCACATAGAAAACTAACCATAAAAAAAAAGCTCAGAGGAGGAAATAAAGAAAACTGAAGGGACTAACCCTGTTAGACAGTAAAATATAATCTAAACCCTCAACAAATAAGACAGCGTGTTAATAGTTCACAAACAGGCAGACAGACTAAAGGAAGAGAAGTTCAAAAATGAAACAAAATATATGTGAGAATTCAGTATATAATGAGAAAAAAATGGACTAAATAGGTGAGGATGACTGTGTGGTTATCTAGAAAAAATAAAATTATACCTATAACACACTATTCATACAGATAAATGAAGCAAAGATTTAAATGTAAAAATAAACCCACAAAAATAGTAAGATAAAATACAACAGAATTCTTTATAAACTCAAGAATAAAGAAGGCTTTTCTAATTGACTCAAAATACTAAAGCTTAAAAACCTTCTAAATGTCAAAAAATCATAAGCAAAATCACTGAGTTGAAACTGGAAAAACTATTTTCAACTTATCACAAAGGATTAATTTCCCTAATGTATACCAAATTCCCACAAATTGGTAAAAAAAGAATCTCACAGAAAAGTGGGCAGGGTATATAAACTGACAACTCTCAGAAGAGAAAATACAGGTTTTTCTTAAGTATGTGTATGTTCAATTCATTCATAATAGAAATGCAAACTAAAACTACATTGAGTTAAAAAAATCAATTTTTCCACCTATTGGAGTAGCCAAAATATTTGTGGTAACAGGCTGTTTTGATAATATAGGATTGTAGGAACTCTCAACCACGGTTTTTGGAGGTACAAAATAGTAAAACCCTATGGAAAGTACTATCTGTCAACACTACAAATATATATAAGTTAACCCTTGAACAACATAGGATGGAACTGTGAGGGTCCACTTACATGTAGATTTTTTACAACCAAACTCTTATGGAATACAGTATTTGCAACATGCAAAACCCACGTATACAGAGGGCCAACCTTCTGCATACATAGTTCCACAGGGTCACTTGAGGGACCTGAGTATGCGCAGATTTTGGTATACGTGGGCATCCTGGAACCAACTTCCAGCATACACCGACGGACCACTGTACTCTTTAACCCAGCAACTTCGCTTCTAGTAACTTAGCCCCAGGTTATATTTGTACTTGTTGAAATTATAGCTATACAAAGTTATTTAGCACAACGCTGTACAAAATAGCAGAAGGTAGGCTATCTAAAATGTCCACCAATGGAGTAATTAGTTCAATAAATTATGGTATATCCATACGAAGATACTATGCCAACGTAAAATGCAATCGGGAAGAGGAGAAATGAGGCCTCGATATCTACTCAAGAGAGTCTTTAAGATCCGGCAGACTGTCATCATAAGAAAAAGAGCACAAAACTCTATTTCATAAATATCTAAAAGCAGTAGTTATGGCTCCACATACATCACAAACAAAAACCATGATTCAAAACCATGTATACCATGCTAACATCTGTATAAAAAGGGGGGAAATATACATTTTTTATATTTACTTATATATACATAAAAATATCTCTAGAATTATACAGAAAGAAATAAAAGCTACATGGTGTTCAGAGTGAGAACTCAGCGAATGAGTAACAGAGATGGGAGGGAGATACTTTTCATTAAATACTTTTTATGCTTTTTTATTTCTGAATGTAGATACATTATTTTATTAAGGTGAAATTTGATTTGTATTTGAGGGTGAAATTCTGTAAACAGGAGCATTACATAAACACTATGTAATATTTTGACAAAGGTAACTCCAACCAAAACATTGTTCAAGCTGAAAATATCTGTTCATGCAACCACTGAGCTTACTCTACTTTGGCATGGAGTAAGCATATTTAAGATGGCTCAACTAACTTTATAAAATTATAAACCAGATTATGAACTTCAATTGTACTCGAAAACATTCAATTTCTAAAATTAATATTCCTGGTTATCAGGCAGCTGTTTTTATAATAAATATTTCAACCTATTCAGAAACAATATATAAGCACATTTTTAAAACCACAGTATGTATGACTTTGCTGATTAATCTAAAAATCTAAGCCAAGTACCCAGTTGTTCTACAACTGACGGGAATTACTTTCCATAAATTGGCTAACATACAAAGCCTTTCATAAAAGGCTGAGAATTACAGTGTTTTGCAACATAAAGGAACTTTCCCATTTCAGAGACATTCCCAAGGTAGTGCTATCCACAAAAGATGAGTTTACTGAACCGAAACGTTTTGTTTCTAGTGCACCATCTCTTCTACTACATCATACTTCTTTCCACAACAGCTTACCTCTTAGGGATGTAAGGGGAACGTTCTCAGGGCTAAGTTTTAGAACCCAGAAAGTGATAAAAATAAATCTCAGAGAGACAGGACAACTCTTCATGACTTTATAAAAGATATATTTTGTGACAGGCAACTCTAATAATAAAATATTAGCAAAACCACTATAGTACCATTCAAACCATGTCTGGAACTCTGCAATCACAACATTAATAAAATATATTGCTATATACATTACAAATAAACCAAAACCTAAAAAGTAAGGATCATGATTTTTATTCTAGGTAAATTTTATCTGTTTCATGCTTGTATTTCTTGACTTTAATTTCTTCAATCTCTTATCATTATTTTTACCACTAACCCCATAGCATATCAATGATAGTTCCATTTTTCTTGAAAGGGGATTCAAGCAAAAAAAAAAAAAATTATAGTTCCAGGAGGATTTTTTTTATGGAACAAAGTATTATAGTATCATTTCCCAAATTTCATTTAACTGAACACTTTATCTTCAGCTGATGTTAATGTTTTCGTTTATCTCAGGGAACAATAAAGAATGTTGCATTTTAAAAAGCTTACTTTCTGAATTACTACCAAACCCCAAAACAAGGACAAATTAGAAGGGGCCAAATGTCTCTAAAAGTATTTCTCATTGTTTATATTTCATCATATTAAAATCTAGAATGTTTTCTTCTGCCTTCCAGTTTTATCCAGTAAAATAAATCCAATACTGCTTACTTTCTTGTAGCCTTAATAATTCATGTGCAATGATAAGACAAAACTATCAAGATTCATAAACACTCATCAATAACTATATCACTATCATCTTAATGAAAATGAACTTCATTTTACCCAAATTCAAAAAGATACTAAGACATAAATCAGAATGCTCACTAGAAGATTAGAAAATGTGATGTAGACACTCACCTACATAATGCATATTAAGAGCCAAATACTTATACTGGAAAAGAGGGTTATTACTAAGGCTACTTCTTTGGATCTGCTGGAAAAAGGAGCTGACATCCCATCTGTACAGGACATCCAACAGCATGATGCTTGGCACCCTCAGGGCCACATTTAACACTGCCTCCAGTTTCTCCTTTGCAGCCATGTTGTTTTTTTTTTTCTTTTTTTTTTTCTTGGAGAAGACCTAAAATTCAGAAGACACAATATATAAAAATAAAAAGTCAACACAAATCGCTTTTAGATACCCTTTCACGAATCTAATAGGTTGTCACACACTGTACAAAACTATGTGAGAACGTATACTACTTCTCAGCCACAACTACTATTTTTAGATATTCATAAAATAACCTCTGTATTGTGTTTTCACATTGACCCATTCAGTTCTGTCCAATCTTATAATTCTGATTAAATGTTCTGGCCTCAAAACTAATTTTTTAAAAGGCCACTAACTCCAAATCTAGGAACAAAACACTCTGTAAGACTACTGTAACTTGTATAAAATTAACTTGAAAAATTCACTCACTCCAATAAAACTATGATTTATGTAGCTCATAAGAGGGTGAATTTTGAATATTTACTCTATGAAAAAGCCTAAGCAATTCAATAAAAACTTGATAACTGCACGTTTAGTTTGCAGCATCTTGTACTCTATGCTTTTCCTTATTCACTTACAATCAAAATTGAAGTGCTAAATTTACAATCCAGAGAACTCATGATGTAGATACAGGTAGAGGGAACATTATTTACAATATCATTTCCTTGAATCTTTAAAGTTAAATATGGTCTAAAATTCCCATAATCTGCCTTCAAGTGTTCATCAAATTCTTCCCTTGATACACAGATAAGCAGGCACATGGAAGACGCCAGGCATTGAGTCTGCAGCCCCTGTCTCTGCACAGACCATGATAAGTAGTGGGGGGGGGCAGGGGGAGGAGGAAATGAAAGGCAGTTATCAGGACAATTTACTATTTAAAGGGACAATTCAATGCCATACTGCTTTATATGGTAGAACTTCAAATTAATCCAAAAAAATATAAAATAGGGCAAACAAGGCCGGGCGCAGTGGCACACGCCTGTAATCCCAGCACTTTGGGAAGCCGAAGCAGGCAGATCATGAGGTCACGAGTTCGAGACCAGCCTAGCCAATATGGTGAAACTCCGTCTGTACTAAAAATACAAAAATTAGCCGGGCATGGTGGTGCACACCTGTAGTCCCAGCTACTCAGGAGGCTAGGGCAGAAGAATTGCTTGAACCTGGGATGCAGAGGTTGCAGTGAGCAGAGATCACAATACTGCACTCCAGCCTAGGCAACTGAGCTAGACTCCGTCTCAAAAAAAAAAAAAAAAAAAAAAAAGCAAACAAAAGTGGGTAAAGAACAATTTAAAGAGTAAAGATAATTCTGGATTGTTGGCTCTGACAATATCCTTTTAAGAATTTTGCTGAGAAAGCTAAACACATTTCCAGCTTTAGCAGTAATTTCAGACATTACAGGACAAACGAAAACATTTATTTCTGCAGAAAATTATAGTGACAGATTGCTATGCTATGGTTAAATATTTGTCAGTATTTCCATCTTACCCTCCAATTTTCATAGCTTCCTAGTTCAGATAGTCAAAAAGCTAAAGGCAACCCAACTTGGCACACTATCAATAAAAGCTTTTCAATAATCATATATCAACCATTCCCATAACCCAAATGTTTTATATATATAGCCTGCCAATAATATAGATTTAACATTTTTATAGATAAGTACTGCAATTCTGATTATTTCACATGAACAAGATCATTTTCATAATTTTCCTACATAAGAAAAAATATTATTGTGAAAATCAGAACTAAATATCATGTCCTAAGAAGGAAAAATGCACTGAAAAATAAAATCTCTAACCTTTAATATTTATTGCAAACCAACCACTGAGGAATCTAAATTTCTCAAAGCCCATGATATTATTATTTTTTCTAATCCCAGGAAAAAATACACCAAAACATTCACAGAAATTGTTGGTAAAGAGTTTAATGCATTTTAATGTGTATAAGCCATCTAGATAACTTCAGGAATTACAGTGGAAAGACTTACTTTGGTGAGCAAACTGATAACCCAATACCCTCTTGGGAATTTATTTCAAAGTAATATTGAATAGATCTTCTCACAAACCACCAGCCACCATATTTGAAAATCACCACGTACTGAGATGACAGTATTACTGACAGTCTTTATACTGCCATCGAAAAGTAACTATTTTTCTATATTCTGGAATCCAATATAAATCATTACTCTGTTTTTATAAGTAACAAGAGAGGGAGGAGCTATTACTGATTTAACACTTGTAGCCCATATTTATTTCATTTGATTTGGAACCTTTCTCTTTTTTCAATGCTTTGCTATTTTAAAATGTGCCCATTTTCACCATTTACTGTGGCTCCTAAACGGGTAAAGAAGAAAATTTAAACTAAACAAATAACTAATCCTGCTTTAGAAATCAAGATCTGCTAGGGAAGAAAAACTCCCTAATCCGTACAGAGGATCATCTCTATTACAAAAGTCCATTAGCAGAATGGTACATGTTCCCTCTTTATTTCCACCCACCACTCCTGCCTAACAAATATAATAAGAAACAGAAAACAGGACACATTTCTATTTCTATAAAGAGAAAATACCGGGTCCCGAAAGCTGTCAATAAAAAACAATATCCAAGATCCCCCTCTACTACATAGTCAACTCGAGACTGAAATGTTTTTAACAAGGACTTTGGATAGAATTAAATACGCCCAAATAAACGAAACTAAATGTTGCATTTATTTCTATACGTGAATGTTATTTTAGCAAGTCAGTGGCAAGCTGGTCATGTATAAAGGCACTGACGAAACAAATTTAATACATGGAAAATCAAAGAGAAAAAAATTTCAAAACCTTATCACTTTGAACCCTTCTAAAGTAAAAGAGCACATGATAGTTATCAATACAAATAGGTACTTTACACTACACTTTAGCACCACACACTAAACCAACATCAAAACAAAACTTTAAAATATTCATCTTCTTTGCAAGTACTTGCAATTACTCACACCTGCCAAATCACTATATCATACAAACACGAAGTAAAATGGAGCCTTCTCTCCTGATCTAGAGAATACCTTTATAATGTTGCCTAATTTATCCTGTTCCAGATTTATTGTCAAACAGGGCTAATCAGCATATCCTAAAGTACAGGGGAGCTCAATATTCTCTTGAAAACAAAATAATACCAAATAATCCTAGAAAATAAGCAGGAGAGCTGAAAGCAGAAAAAACCGAAAGGTTTAACACACCCAAAGCCAAATACATAAACTTCCTATACTGTTTTATCTTCCATGCAAGATTTTAAAATGTCCTCCTTGAACTTTGAAAAGAACTGGGAAAGTAATATCCAACATGATGTGTCTGCAGGTAACATAAACTAAATGTGACTCAAAGATGTTTTACACAGTAAAACAGCTAAAAACAAACCAAAAAAAAAAAAGGCATTTCTTTCCAAAAACCACAAGAGGTGCAACAAATGCTAACCAAAAAGGAGACCTCAATGAGTTCATTAAATGACCTTCTCAGGCTTAGAAGCAGCAATCCGTAATTATGAAAACAGTAATGTCTTGTAGAAGTATAATGCTGTACAGTTTACCATTCAAATTTGTGGGTTAGAAAACACAGGGGGCTTCATTCTACACTTTCCTGAAAATACGGGATTTTAGTTTTGAATATGAAGAAACCAAACAAATCGTCCTGAATAAGAAAAATGTAGGTTTTTACAGTCACAGCTAATCTCTGAAGAACTATGTCAAATAAGAGAAATGAAAAATGTGATTTTTTATTTCTCTTATTTGAGTTCTTCAAAAATACACCTCCTAAACTTTTTTTTAAAAAGACAAAGAAAAAACAAGAATGACACGTGACCCAACTTAAAACTATTCAGTACAATACTTCTACACCTTCCCCCTAAAAAAGAAAAACAAAAATCATCATTCACCATTATCTCCTTTCTTTCTCCCAACCAGTTAAAAAAAAAAATTCTACCATCAACTAAAACTGATCTTAAGAAAAGTAAATTTTCGGGCTGTCCATCGGTTAGGATGGTAGGCCTCACTGAAAATGTTAAGAGCACAAAGCTAGAGCCTAAAATTCTAAGTAAAAGCCCAGAACTGAGATACCAGGAAAGAGAACGCATTTCTTACATAAGCAATGGCACATGTTTTAAATATAGCTGGTCCTCCCCACTCCCACTCCTTGCTAGCTAACTTTGTATGTACCTGATCTCCACATAAACTACTAGCAATTCTGTGGTTTCTCATCATCTCCCAAACCGCAAAGACAGGGAGTCTACTCTGAATACAAAGGCCATCTTTCAACTTAAGGAACAGAGAGAGGAAATAAAACTGCTACCTCTGCCATCGGCCGCTCAGCCTGGGTCACGACTGCAGCACCGACAGCTCATTCTTTTGGGCATGATTCAAGATTCAGTAAAACTGCACACTCCGTATTTTAAAAAATAAAAAGACACACAGTCCTCTCCTTCCCTTTCAGACTAGTTTCCTCTTTACTGCAGACTGCGACGCAAGGCCATCCACTAATCTTTGATGCCTGCTCACTGCACAGGCCCCTTCCTCTCTCCCCGCACCTCCTCCCACAACGCCTGCAGATCTCAGATGCGTTTGAACTACAGTAACCCCAACCCAGCTCGCGGCAAGCAGGCAGCGCAGCAGCAGTAGCAGCAGCAACCGGGCCGCCGCCGCCGCGGGGCTAAGAGATTACGTTCAGCAAAAACTCTTCCAGGAAAGAGGCTCGAGAGCTCCCCTCCTATCTCGCCAAGGGTGCTGACTCTGTCGCGCCACGCCACGTACCAAAAGGCTCGCGAAGAAAAACGCGGGCGAAGTTCAGCATCCCCGAACAGAAAGGGAACTCATTCCAGAAAGGGGGTTCACGGGTCTGAGGGTCCTTGGGTGGGGAAAGCAGTATTGGAGGGAGAAGACAGAAGGGATGGCAAGACAGAGGAAACCACGGGGACAAAAAGGAAGGGATGAGGAGCCCTCTTACTATAAAAGGGACTGACGGACGGGATGCAGAGCAATGGGCCCCCCTCGAAAAATGGACTGGCAGGCCCTTCCGCACCCCCAAACAACCTCGCACCACCTGAAAGCGGGGAGCTTGAGTTTGGGGCTGCGTAGATCAAAGCAGGGTAAGACGAAGGGAAAGAGGGAGGGGAGCTTGGAAGCAAAGTGAACAAAGAGGCAAAAGAGGCAAAGTTGGAAATGGAAACGAGAAAGGGAGCTGGAAAGGGGCCGCTCTGGAAGGGTCTTGAAAAAGGCCTAGAAATGGGATGCTGGGGAGGCAAAGGGGGACAGCCCCGAGGAAGGGCATCTCAGGAATGTAAGGGAGCGCTCCAGGCCCTGGGAAGAGGAAGGGATGGGAGGGCGGGGAGGCAGCCGAGGCCCGGGAGCTGGAACAGAGGGGGCTTTGCGCGGGGCCCAGGAGGGGAGAGCAGGGTCGGAGGGAGGCGACCACCGCGGGAAGAGCTAGAGGATGGGAGGGAGGGGTGCTGCGGCTGAAGAGGGGATGTGGACTCCTCCAATGCTAGGGAGAAGAGGGAGGTGAAGCGAGATAAAAGGAAAGGGGCGAACAGGGAGAAGAGGAAGGAGCCTGCGACGCGATGGGGGAGGGGAGGGAGGCCGTGGGAAGCGGCCGGGGGGCGCGGGGATGGGAAGGGGCCGGGCGGGCGGCGTGGTCACCTCAGGCTGCGGACTCCCTCCCTGGGGAGCGGCGCTGCCGGCGGGCGGGCTCCGCAACTCCCCGGCTCTCTCGCCCGCCCTCCCGTTCTCCTCGGGCGGCGGCGGGGGCCGGTACGGCACGGCTCACAGCGGCGGCTCTTCTGCGCCGAGCCTCGGATGTTGCTTCTGGGGAGGCGGAGGCAGCGGCAGCGGCAGCGGCCCGGCCCGTACGGTCACCATCGTCCGCGGCAGCAGGCGCTCGCGGGCCGAGCCCCTTAGCAGCCGGCGCCGGCGTCGGCGGCCATGGCCTCCTGCGTTTGCTCCTCCCGCCCCCGGCGCTCTGCGGCGGCCGCGGCCCGACTTCCGCACTCTGCGCCTGCGCGCGGCCCAGCCAGCGCGGCGCGCCCCTCCCGCGCGCGCCCGCGCTCACTCACAATCGCGCCCGCGGAGTGCTTTCCGCACCGCCTCCGGTGCGTGGGCGGGAGACATAAGCCTAGCCAAGCCCATACAGCCCGGCTCGGGTGGCTATGGAGAGGCGTACTGCAGAGACACCTGGACGCGCACTGTGACAGGCGCCATTCTGACACACGTGCTCTCTCACTCCCAAACACCACGGGCCGCAAGCGCTCACACCCACACTCACCTGCAGGGACCACGTGGGAGAATTTGAAGGGCTGATCCTGTCCCGGTGCATTCGCAGTAGCAATGATGCGAGAATTCGTTTTAACCTCGTCACTGACTGGACTAGACTGTAAACTCCTTGGCGTCTGGGATGGCTCAGCCGTGCCCAGCACCAAGTGCAGGCACTCAAACCCCTGTGGAGTAAGTGACTGGATGAATGAATGCATTGGAACTGTTCACTGAGTATCTGTAACAATTTTGATCCCATGGTTTGGTACAAAGAATTTTATTGCAGTATGAAATTAAATGGTGTTTGTGTGTTTGTCTTGTCTTGGTCTAAGGTTCAAAACAGGCTAATGTATGTTTTCCCCTCCCCAACGTAGAGGAGTTCCACTTTGTCTCTGTGCCAGTCTCTATCACAGAATGCGCAATCCTACCCTAATTTAAATGTCCACACCTTTTAGGGCAGGAACTGTTGCCCAGAATACATAGCCTGAAGCATATTGTGTGTTTACACAACGATAGTCTTCTGGGCTTGGCAAGACTTCTCATTCCCCATTTGTCTGCCACTCTGCCTCACCACGACCTTCTGCAACCCCCACTTCTATCTCCCCTGCCTTCCACCATCACCAAAACCCCTCCACTGTTTCTTGCTTTCTCTTTCGTTAGTTCCTGGGGAGCCAGTTGCTATGAGCACCTAGCCTGGCCTTAGATGTTGAAAGGGCCAGTGTACACAGAAGATACACACCCAGTGATGGGTAAGATGTTGCAACTATACTGGGTCATGCTGAAATTGTGAAGCCTCAACTTCTTCATGTGCAAGAGAAATTAATGTACTGTAATCTCGATGTCTGTGTTGAGGACCCTCCTTGTAAATTCAAGTCTCTGGCCTCTGCCCTTTGAATGGTAAACCCCCAATTCTGAACACTCTTGTATCCTGCTGAAATTGTGAAAGCAAGCTCTGTATTTAGAAAATGCAATCCCTGGAGGTATCAGTCAACCAAACTCTGAGTAACTTGCCTTCCATTAGTTTGATAGCTCTGTAGGAATCAAGTGTTTAAAATGTGTGGGAATTGTGTACATAACTCACTATAACCACCTTTCATCCAGGTGCCTCAGACTACTTCACCATAGTCATAAATCCTGTCACATCCCAGTGATGCAGTTCATGAGTCTCTTAATCTAGCCTGGTAAGTAAAAAAATTACAGAGGTCACATGAATAATGACTGGAATAGGAAATGGACCAAGATAGCAAGGCCTTATCTTGATCCCCTCCCTGTTTTAACAACTTTACATCTGACTGAGTCAAGAAAACCTAAGGCCAGAAACAGATTACAAAGAAGTCAAAATGAACGTAACACTAAATTCTAACTTTATTTATTTATTATTCTTGGATAAATGGCAGAATCCTGAAAATGTGATTCTAAAAGGAAGTATGGTTGCTGGATTTGCGTGGTTTTTGTTTGTTTGTTTGTTTGTTTTTTGAGACGGAGTCCACTCTTGTTGCCCAGGCTGGAGTGCAGTGGCGTGATCTTGGCTCATCGCAACCTCCGCCTCCTGGGTTCGAGCAATTCTCCTGCCTCAGCCTCCCAAGTAGCTGGGATTACAGGCATGCACCACCACACCTGGCTAATTTTGTATTTTTAGTAGAGATGGGGTTTCTTCATGTTGGTCAGGCTGGTCTCTAACTGGATTTGTGTTTTAAATGGAGGAGAGGCCTACTTCAGCTCTTACCTTTCCTTTTTTTAAAGTGGAGAAAATGGCTTCAAAGCCCTGTAACCCTCACTGGAAGTATTCTGGACTTGTAAAAGCAGGAAAAAGTCACATGTCTTTTTACCTTTTAACTTAATAGCAGCTGCCTGTAAATGCTGAAGTTCAAAACAAGTAAAGAAAATTACTCTGGTAATGAAAGGGTTACTGCTATTATAGTGCTGCTAATCCAGTTATGGGAAAGCTCCACATTGCCAGAAGCAGGTAATTAAACAGAACTAAAAAGCAACGCAAAAGAAAAAAGAAGTGGGGGTGGGGCGGGTGAATCGAGAGCAGCTCAAATAAAAGAGCTCAATCAAGTGTAGAGGAAGTACTTTCTAGAGGCACCCAAACCCACCCAAATCAGGAAAAGCCAGGAGCTAAATTTGTCCTTAAGTACCTGGAAGAAACATAAGGAAATGTCTAAATGCCACAGCTTGGTCATAAAAGGAACTTACCCAGGGTGCTAGAAGGAAAGAAGTGGTATGTTTATGACTGCCCAATGGCAGACCATTCAGGATTCGAAAGGTTATCTTCCTTCCTGTCTAAATGCATCCAACATTGAGGAGGAAGTCAGCACAAAGTTTGAAAGAGTGCATATATGTTCCAGTTCTAGCCATTCCAAAAGACTCGTTCCTGAATTCCTGATAGAGCCAACTATTGCTAATAGTCACATAGAAATAGTCTTGTGTTGCAAATCCGCAGGAACTGATGGCCACTTTATTATGCACTGCCTTCTAAATCTAGAGAAAATGATATAACGGATTTCACATGTTGGGGCCAAAATCCAAAGAACCTTGGATAGCCAGCATTGGGAATATGAGGGAGAATTTTCATGTCTTCATTTCTTCACACACTTTCTTGTTCCTAATGTTTTCTGGGCACTTTGAGGTTTTCTTTATCCAATTCAAACAACCAGATATTCAAAGATATCCAATTCAATAATCAACTCCCTAATTAGAAGAGTCTAGATAATATATAGAATCCATTCAACCTGGCTACCCTCATGGTTTGATTTTGAGAGCCAACTCTATAAGGAAAACTATAGTTTTGTTAGGCAACATTATTCGGTAAAGGGCGGTTCACTCTTTTTTTCATATATATATATATATATATATATATATATATACAGCTTAATTGACATATAATCCACCTGTTTTAAAGTGTACAACTCAGTGGTTTTTAGTATATCCTCAGAGTTGTGTAACCATCACCACAATCAATTTCAGAACATTTCATCATAACCTCCCGCCGGGGAAAAAAAAACCCATATCCATTAGCAGTTGCTTACCTTCTCGTCCCAGCCCTCAGCAATCATTAATTGTTCTGCAGTCACTAATCTTTCTGTCAGATTTGCATGTTCTGGACTTGTCATATAAAGAGAATCATACAATATGTAGCATTTTGTGTCTGGCTTACTTTACTTAACATTTTTGAGGTCCATGCATGTGTAGCATGTATTGGTACTTAATTTTCTTTTCTTGCCAGATAAAATTCCATTGTGTAGATAGATATACCGTGTTTTGCTTATTCATTCATCAGTTGATGGACACTTGAGTTATTTCCACTTTTTGGCATTTATGAATAGTGCTGTTATGAACATTCATGTACAAGTTGTTGTGTGGACACATTTTCATTTGTCTTGGTAGAATTACTGGGTCATATAGTAACTCTATGGTTTCACTTTTTGAGGAACTGCCAGATAGTCTTCCAAAGTGGCTGCATCATTTTACATTCCCACCAGCAGTATATGAGAGATTTACTCTTCTATTCAGATGCTTCCTATCTGCTAGCTATGGGACCCTGTGCCAAGTGTACGTAACTTAAGAACACCTCCATTTATTGTCTGTAAAATAGGGATAGTGATAATATCTACTTTGCGGGGTTGTTGTGAAAAATAAATGAAGTGATGTGTGCTAATATTCTTGGTACAAAGTCCTCAATAGTTCCCCCTCCTTCTTTTTTTTTTTTTTTCCTCGAGACAGGGTCAAGCAGTCCTCCCACCTCAGCCTCCTGAGCAGCTAGGACTACAGGCATACGCCACCACACCAGCTAATTTTTGTGTTGAGACAAGATATTGCCATGTTGCCCAGGCTGGTCTGGGCTCAAGTGATCCACATGCCTCGGCCTCCCAAAGTGCTGGGATTACAGGCATGAGCCACAGCACCTGGCCTAGTTCCCTTCCTTCTGTCTGTAGTATTTGATTGTCAACTTTTATTCTCTAATAGGGAGATAAAGATGAAATTGTAACTTTATATTAACACTAAGTGATTCATACGCATAGCTGGTGCTGAATAAACACTTTTCGTGGATAACTGAAAACAGCAATAGAACTTATATTGTTTTAACACCAAAATAAATGTATTTCTTTCTCCCTGGTATGGAACTAATACCTGAGACTATAAGAAGAGAAAGCATAGAAATAAGTCAGCTTTTTTGTTTGTCTGGAATTTTCAGATTTTTCTGAAAACATTTTTTATTTCCCCACATTTTAAGAGTTTCAAACATATAGAATTAAAAGAATATTCTAGTGATCACCCATATGCATACCATCTAGATTCAACAATTGGTAATTTTTGCATGTTTGCTTTATCTATGTGTGTGTGTCTTTTGCTAAGCTATTTTAGAGAGCTACAGACATCAACACACTTCACTCCTGAATACTCCAAGCTGCTGCTTCTAAAAATTTTACCAATTACCGTTACCGCACCTAAGAAAATGGAGTATAGTTCTCTACATCCTCTACTGCCCAGTCAATACTCAGATTTTTCTCAGTTCACCTCAAAATATCTCTAAAGAAGATCCAATCTGACAAGCCAGCTTTGCTTTTCATCAATCTGAGCACCTGTGACTGTTTAGAATCACTAACATCAGCAGAAACAAATTATATTTTTGCTGTTGTTTTCAGATTTTAGCTCAACTGGCACCTCTGTTCTATCCAGCTACTTTCTTTGCCTTGGTTCTGATTAAGCCTGAGGTAGGGAGTAGTGCAAAACTGTGTGTTGTTGTTTATGTGTGATGATATTCAACTAAATAAAATGGACATTGATTGTCATAGACATTTGTTAGCTACCTCCTCGCTATTCTTCTCCTCTTCTTCTTTCTAATACCAACTTGAACCTTGAATAAACAGGTGGTCTGTTGGCCATTGACCAGGAATGGGCTCCACCAGTTTATCCTTTCTCCCTTAGTGCTTAGTCCAGGGAAGGACCCGTGAGCCACATTGGGCCAATCAGAGGTAGGACTAAACATCAGAGGTTTTGACTGAGCTATGGGAAGAGCAAAGTTTCTCTTTTCTGCTAGACCTAAAAAAGGAAACCTGTAATCCCAGGAATTTACTGGCAGCTATCTGGGATACAAAAGGAAAGAACCAACTGAAGATTTAGCCAACAGAAGAAAGAGAACCTGAGACAAAAAAGAAACCAGGACCTGGTCACAGTGTAAGAGCTCTAAGCCTTATCTGAAGCCAGCATGCTGACCTCCTCACTCTTTAATTTATATTACCCAATAGATTACCTTTTTTGGCTTAAGCCAGTTTGGGTTGTGTTTTTGATTATTTACAGTTAAGAGTCCCAAGGCATTCAATCCTTATAATTTGCTTGTCACCCATCCCTGAGTATAATATGCTGCTATGAACATAAGGAGGTAACTAATAATAATAATGTTAAGTACATAAAAACACAATTGTACAGCTCCACATACTATTATGAAATACAACCATTTAACCACTATCCAGAAATATAAGCTTGTCCACATCCCAGAAGACCCTCACATGCCCTTTCATTCACAGCTGTCTCACTAGCCCCAAAGGTAATCATTTTCCTGACTTTAATGTAGTCACTTTCTTTTCTTTCTTTGACCACCTAACTATGAATTCCTGAAAACTGTAGTCTAGTTCTGCCTGTTCTTGAATGCTATATAAATTGCATAAAATAATCAAGTATTAGATTTTTTTTTCCTTTTTTTTTTCTTTTTTGAGATAGAGCCTCTCTCTGTCACCCAGGCTTGAGTGCAGTGGCACAATCTCGGCTCACTGCAACCTCTGCCTACTGGGTTCACACGATTCTTCTGCCTCAGCTTCCTGAGTAGCTGGGATTACAGGCATGCACCACCATGCCCAGCTAGTTTTTGTATTTTTAGTAGAGACAGGGTTTCACCATTTTGGTGGCCTTGGACCCCTGGCCTCAAATGACCCATCCACCTCAGCCTCCCAAAGTGCTGGGATTACAGGCATGAGCCACCATGCCCAGCCTAGATATTCTTTTGTGACTAGCTTTTTCTCCTTAACATTGTGAGATTCAATTACGTTCTCGTGAGGCTACAGTTATTTCATTTTCATTGCAGTATAGAATTGTCCTATGAATAGAATATGATTTAATCATCCTAGTACTTATGAACATTGAATTTATGAACATTAAAGTTTCATTTTGGAGCCATAGGTATGGTGAATCATGCTGCTGTCAACATTTTTGCACTTGCCTTCCTGGTCACCACCTGTACATATTTCCCTTGAATTGCTGGGCCACAGGGCTACGTATCTTCAACTTTCTTAGGTAACTCCAAACTGTTTTTCAAGGTGATTGCAGCACCTTACTTGCCTAATAGCAATCTGGGTCCTGTTGCCCTGTCTCCCAGCCTATGATTGGTATTGTCAGACTTTTAATTTTAACCATTCTAGTGGGGTTTTTAACTTGCATTTCCCTAATTGCCAATAAGGTTGAGTACTTTTTCGTATTTTGGGGGCCTTTTTAGATTTCCTTTTTGATGAATTGCTCAAGTCTTTTCCCCAGTTTTCCCTTACGTTGTCCTTTGCTTATTGTTTTCTTTTGTAATTCTTTGCATATTATGAATGCAAGTCCTTTGTCAATTATGTGTCAAGCAAAATGTTCTGTTATGTAGCTTCCCTTTTTAGTCTCAAAATGATGTCTTTTGAGGAAGGTAAATTTTTAGTTTAAATTTAATATTTTTTATTTGTAATGCTTGTTTTAAACCTGTTTTTTCTGTGCTCCACAGCACCATCTCTGTCATAAATTGAGTGTGCATATCTGAATAGATCTGTTTCTGAACTTTCTATTCTATCCCACTGGTTTCTTTGTTTATCCTTGTGCTGACACCAGACTGCTCCAGTGACTCTAAGAAGCTGATATGTGGTAAAGCACATCTTCCCACTTGGTTTTCTTTGTTTTGTTTTGTTTTCGGGAGGATCTTGGTTCTTTGCATTTCCTTATCAATTTTGGAATCAGCTTGTTGAGTTTCCCAAGATCGTGCTGAGGTTTTTAGTTTCCACGTAGATATTTTACATATCTCTTGTTACATTAATTCCTCCATGCCTGGTATTTTTTTATGCGATTGCTAATGGTAATTTACTTTTTTTTTTTTTTTTTTTTGAAGAGGAGTCTCCCTCTTTCATCCAGGCTGGAGCTCAGTGGCACAGTCTTGGCTCACCATAACCTCTGCCTCCCAGGTTCAAGCGATTCTCCTGCCTCAGCCTCCCAAGTAGCTGGGATTATAGTTGCCCACTGCCATGTCCAGCTAATTTTTGTATTTTTAGTAGAGATGGGGTTTCACCATGTTATCCAGGCTGGTCTCAAACTCCTGACCTCAAGTAATCCCCCCATCTCAGCCTCCCAAAGTGCTGGGATTACAGGTGTGAGCCACCCCACAGGCCGGAAATTTGCATTTTATTGTATGTTAGGCTTTGAGGATGTAACAGTAAATCTCAAGAGTCTCTGACCCCAAGACCTTCCAATGTCTTAGAGTGGGGGCAGACACATAAATGATGTGGGTTGGTTATCACAGATATACAAAGTGGTGTGGGTTAGTTGTGATAGAGGTGAGAAAATGTTACCATGAAAATGCAAATAGTGTGAAGTGGGTGGGATTAGCCCATTTGTGGGTTCTTGAGGGGATGGGGAGAGATATTCTGAGTGTTGAAAAATGCATAGGAGTCAGCTGAACGGGTGCTGACTCACACCTATAATCCCAGCACTTTGGGAGGCCAAGGTGGGTGGATCACCTGAGGTCAGGAGTTCAAGACCAGCCTGACCACCATGGTGAAACCCTGTGTCTACTGAAAATACAAAAATTAGCTGGGCGTGGCCGGGCATGGTGGCTCACGCCTGTAATCCCAGTACTTTGGGAGGCCAAGGTGGGTGGATCACCTGAGGTCAGGAGTTTGAGACCAGCCTGACCAACATGGCGAAAACCCATCTCTACTAAAAAAAAATAAAAATATTAGCCAGACATGGTGGCATGCACCTGTAGTCCCTCCCAACTATTCAGGAGTCTGAGGTGGGACGATGGCTTCAGCCCAGGAGGCGGAGGTTGCAGTGAGCCGAGATCACGCCACTGCATTCCAGCCTGCACAAAAAAGCCAGACCCAGTCTCAAAAAAAGAAAAAAAAATCTTCAAACAACCCATGGAGAGTCAACAGCTTCTCACAATAGTTGATCAGTTATAAAAAGCCAGCTAGCTTCTACCAGTTAAGATACCAGTAACAGTGGTGCCAATTGTTCAGATTATATGAAATTACAACTCCTATGTGTTATATATTCTATAATGTGAAGCAACTTGTGCACCCTGCAAACCAGGGTCCCTTGTAAATCACTGCATGGAGTAGTTTCATGGAGTAATAGGAGAATCAGTGATATTGTGGGTCCTCTTTTATCAATTATGTCACTTACCGCTGCGTATCCATATATTCTTTTTAATAAACTGCTATATATTAAAAAAAAAAAAAAAAAGACGTGCACCCAGAAGTGAAAGAATCAAGTTTAGGCACCTGCCAGATGCAGACAACCTGAAGACCACCAGCAACCTGCACTGCCTTAGCTGGCTTCTGCCCAGGTGGGGTCTGATGCAGCTGCTGGTGCCTGGGAAGGATTTAAGTGGGGGAGAGAGAGCATAAGGTGACCACAGGCCCTCACAAGTGCAGAGAACTCTCACTTTTTGGATGGAGATTGAGGCATTTAATTAATATCTTGACACATTTCTAATTACCAAAGCCAGACTGATTTTTTACTTAAAGTGAGTAGGAGTGCCCACTAATTAAGAATTCTTGATATCTGTCCAAGTTTCCACTGGAAGGCAGAAAAAAATTACTCCTTCTGAATACTTAAAGGGATAGTGAGTGATAAAATCAGATTGCATTTTGATTGCATCACAAATCTTCCGAGTTACTTCCAGAGTGTAAAGTTCATATAAGAAAGGATATGCAAAACAATTATGATTGGATCTCAGATTTACAGAGGGAATGGGGGGAAAGATGAGGTAAGCTGGGGCCAGTCCAGGAGTTAAGGAGGGACTTTTCATGCCATGCGAAGGAGTTTGGACTTTAACACAGAAATCAGTTAAATGCTGAGGAGTTGACTTAGAAGAGTAACATTTAGGGCATTTACTATGTTTTAGGTCCTGTACTAGGTAGTTTACATGAATTATCACATTTAATTATCATGAAAAACCTATGAAGTAGATAGTATAATTATTGCCATTCTAAAAATGAGAGAACTGAGGCATAGAGAGGTCAAGTAACTTGTCCAGAGTCACGCAGCTAGCAGCAGCAGAACTCAGATACAACCCAGACTTGTCAGGGTTCTATGTGTATATCCCCCATTATGCTGCACCTGCTTCCTGTCCCACTGATAATGCCAGGATAGATGATGAGTTTGTTCACAGAGTGTAGAACTCAAGCCCCACTGGTGTCTCCTTAGTAATGAATGAACGATTATTTTACCTGAAATGACTATATAAACAAAAGACAATAACACTTCAGGAATCTTCCCTGTGAGTTATCTTTGTTTTTGTTTTTGTTTTTGTTTTTTGAGACAAAGGCTCACTTTGTTGCCCATGCTGGAGTGGAGTGCCATGATCTCGGCTCACTGCAACCTCTGCCTCCTGGGTTCAAGCGATTCTGCCTCAGCCTCCTGAGTAGCTGGAACTACAGTCATGCGCCACCACTCCCAGCTAATTTTTGTATTTTTAGTAGAGATGGGGTTTCACCATGTTGGCCAGGCTGGTCTTGAACTCCTGACCTCAGGTGATCCACCCACCTCGGCCTCCCAAAGTGTTGGGATTACAGGCGTGGGCCACCGCGCCAGGCCCCTGTGAGTTTTCTTTGATGTCTGATATGGTTTGGCTGTGTCCCCATCCAAATCTCATCTTGAATTGTGGCTCCCATAATTCCCACCTGGGAGGTAATTGAATCATGGGGGCAGGTTTTTCCCATGCTGTTCTCGTGATAGTGAATAAGTCTCACGAGATCTGATGGTTTTATAAAGGGCAGTTCCCCTGTACACCCACTCTTGCCTGCTGCGATGTAGGACACGCCTTTGCTCCTTCTTCACCTTCCGCCATGATTGTGAGGCTCCCCCAGCCATGTGGAACTGTGAGTCCATTAAACCTGTTTTTCTTTATAAATTACCCAGTCTCAGGTATGTCTTTACTAGCAGCATGAGAACAGACTAATACAATGTCTCCACATTGTTTCACAAAATAAGAACGTTTGCTTTGGGTCATAGACTTCTGAGTAGAGTGTGGCTAATTAATTACTCTTTCTAAATGGGAAATGGAGGTGGCGGCTAGGAGAGTGCAGACTAGAGTTACTCTAACTGGGTTCAAAGCCTGGCTCTGCCTCTTACCAGCTGTGTGACCTTGGCCGAGGTACTCAACTTTTCTTTGCCTAATTTCCTATTTAATAACACCTACCTCACAGGATTTTGTGGTCAGATGTGTCATTATACATATAAAGTACTTAGAACAATGTCTTGCACAAGGAAAGCAGCATTGCTATGGTCTGAACGTTTATGTTCCCCCAAAATTCATATGTTAAAATCTATTATTCACTGCAATAGTATTAAGAGATGGGGTTTCTGGGAGGTGATTAGGTCATGAGGGCTCTGTTCTCATAAATGGAATTAGAGGCTTGAGGGAGCTTGTTCGCCCCTTCTGCCATGTGAGGACACGTAGAAAGCACTATCACCAGGAACAGGCTGTCACCAGACAACCGTTGCTGCCTTGATCTTAGACTTGCCAACATCTAGAACTGTGAGCAATATATTTATATTGTTTATAAATTACCTTATCTAAGATATGTTGTTATAGCAGCCCAAGCCAGGATAAGCACTATCATAATTGTTATTATTATTATTTTTGGCTTATCATGCTTATACCTTCACTATTCAAAGATACTAAAGATACTATCAGTCAGTATTTACTGAGCACATATTCATAGCATCTGTTAGATGCTAGGTGCCATATAAGTGAATTAGAACACACAATTCCTGCAGGTGCTAAGTGTGATGTAAATGAACCAGACCATAATTTCTGCCTTCAAGCCTGTTATGACCCAGTTAGATAGATGGACCTACGTATGCTGCCATGTTATAAAGCTGCATGATACATATTTTATCCCTTAATTGATTATAAACTCTTTCTGGCATGAGCCACAGTTTCTTTCTTTTTGAATCCCTCGCTCCTTCTCTCTTCCACTTAGGAGATTGTCTATAGTATGTCTTCAGCTAATTTGTCATCAACTTCCAAAAAACTTATTTTATTTGTTTCCTTTTTTTTTTCAAGACAGTCTCGCTTTGTCACCTAGGCTGGAGTTCAGGCACAATCTCGGCTTACTGCAACCTCCACCTCCCAGGCTCAAACAATTCTCCTGTCTCAGCCTCCTGAGTAGCTAGGATTACAGGTACCCGCCACCGTGCTCAGCTAATTTCTATATTTTTAGTAGAGATGGGGTTTCACCATGTTGGCCAGGCTGGTCTCAAACTCCTGACCTCAGGTGATCCACCTGCCTACTAGGCCTCTCAAACTGGTGGGATTACAGGTGTGAGGCACTGCACCTGGCTGCAAAAACCTTATTTTCAATAAACTTTCCTGCTGACCACTCCTATTAAGGTTCTGGTGCTTTCTTCATAGTGTCTTTACTCAAGTGTTCTCAGCATCAAGCTTCCAATCCACTGACCCTACCAGCTCTTTACATCTTCTCCTTATGTCCTGCCATCTCTCTTCACCCACCATAAGTTCTATGGTGTGTCATTTAAATGTGCCACTTACAAGGATTCTTGGCTCTCTGTCTGCTCTGTACCTGCACCTGAGTGGCTGATATTGCTGGATAAATCACACAACCAATCACAAATCTCAAATCTGAGCCTTCAGGCCCACTCCACAATCCCACTGCATTGTCCTGGTACATTTGTTTCCCACTCCCAGAGGGGCATGCTCTGCTGTCTTCTCAAACCTTCCACACCACCCATCCTCTCTCTTCCACTATTTTCAGCTGAGTGAGTAGCTGAGAAAATCAAAGTGATCCATCAAATCCCTTGTCTATCCACCATGAAATGACCAGAACGTAGCGGTATTTTAGGCCTTCTTTCTTGTACCGTGGTAGAGGTTCCCTGGCTTCAACAAAAGATCAGATTCTCCACTAGCAATCTGAATCTCAGCCTCTTGTTTTTTTCCAGCATTTAGAATCTGAAATAAATCCCTCTTTCTCATACCATCAAGTCCCCTCTCTACTGGGTCATTTCCACTAGCATAGAAACATGATTAGAATGGCGGTTGTTTAAAAAATGTGTCCAAACACGGTGGCTTGCACCTGCAATCCCAACACTTTGGGAGACCAAGGCAGGAAGACCGTGTGAGGCCAACAGTTTGAGACTGGTCTGGGCAACCTTGTAAGGTCCCATCTCTAAAAATTTTTTTAAAATTAGCTAAGCATGGTGGCACACACCTTTAGTGCCAGCTATTGAGAAGGCTGAGGCAGGAGGACTGATTGAGCCCAGGAGTTCAAGGCTGCAGTGAGCTATGATTGTGCCACTACATTCCTGCCTGGGTGACAGAGTGAGACCCTGTCTCTTAAAAAAAAAAAAAAAAATCCCCCCCTTGAATTTTGTGCCTCACAACCTTCACCTCCACTTCACTACAAAAAATATCCTGAAAAGTTGTCTATCGCAACTGCCTCAACTTCCTACCTTTTATTCTCCCCTTAATCCATTCCAATCAGAATTTAACCCCAAATATTTCACTGAGAGTTTTCTAGCAAGATCATGAAAGACTTCCTCACCAAATCCAGTGGTCCCTTGTCAGTACTGATCTTATTCTACCTGTCACCAGCCATTTCAAAGAGTTGACCATCTCCCCACCTCTTTTTGTTTGTTGGTTTGTTTTGTTTGAGATGAAGTTTTGCTCTTGTGGCCCAGGCTGTAGTGTAGTGGCACAATCTTGGCTCACTGCAACCTCCACCTCCCGGGTTCAAGCGATTCTCATGCCTCAGCCTCCCGAGTAGCTAGGATTACAGGCATGCACCACCACGCCTGGCTAATTTTTGTATTTTCAGTAGAGATGGGGTTTCACCATGTTGACCAGGCTGGTCTCAAACTCCTGACCTCACGTGATCCACCTGCCTCAGCCTCCCAAAGTGCTGGGATTACAGGTATAAACCACCACACCTAGCCAATTATCTCCCCCTTTTAAAAACATTTTCTCCTCCTGATTTTTGCATTAGATGCCTAAGGCTGCTGTAACCAATGACTACAAATTGAATGGCTTAAGATAAAAGAAATTTATTCCCTTACAGTTTTGGAGGCTAGAAGTTCAAAATCAAGGTGTCAGCATGGCCTTGTTCCCTCTGAAGTCTTTAGGAAAGAATCTTTCTTGACTATTCCTAGCTTCTGGTCACTCCTGCCAATCCTTGGTGTTCCTTGGCTTGTAGCTGCCTCACTCCAATCTCTGCCTCTGTCATCACATGGCCTTTTTGTAAGGACACCAGTCATTGGATTCAGGACCCACTGTAATCAGTATGACCTCATTTGAACTTATTAGATCTAACTAATCAGGTCTGTAAAGACCCTATTTTCAAATAGGGTTACATTCTGAAATTCCAGATGGGCATGAATTCTGGGGAGAATACTGTTTAACCTGCCAGTTTCGGTGACTGCATGCCTTCCCAGTTTTTCTTCTATCTCATTAGCTGTTCTTTCTCACTCTCATTTGAGGGCTACTTTGTCTTAGCTGTAAATGTTGGAGTGACCCAAGGCTTGGCTCAGGGCCCTTTCGCCTTCTGTAAACACACTGTCTCCTGAGGGGATATCGTCCACTCCCATGGTTTTAAAATTCCACTAATGACTCCCAAATTTGTGTTCCAGCCCTCAGCTGTACCCTTAGCTGTGTCCAAATCCCAGCCTCCTATTGATGATAGTAGTTAACACTTATTGGACACTCCCTATGTACCAGACCCTGTCTTAAGGTCTTTATATGTATTAACTCATTTAATCCTCACAAGAAATTTACAGGGTGAGTACTGTTTTTATCCCCAATTCATAGATGAAGCAACTGAGGCACAAAGAGGTTAAGTAAATTGTTCAAGCCTACATAGGTGGGAGCCAGGTTGAGTCCAGAGTCTGCTCTTTTCACCACCACCTGTTCTGCCTTTCCTCTGGGATCCAGGCTTATATATCCCAACACATACTCAACATCTGCACCCAGATGTCTAATAGGCATGTTGGAGGTGAATTAAATAGAACATTGGACTCCTGCCCGTTACCTCCACCTTAATCTTTCCTTTCCTGGTCCCACATCTCAGCATATGGCACCACCAACCCAGATCTAGAAGTCAAGTTCAAATTTGATTCTCCTGTTTCCCCATTTACCCTAGTCTTCATTCCCGTGCCCAGCCAGTCCATCAGCAAGCCCTACTGGCTTGACCTCAAGCATAGGTCTCTAATCTGTCCACTTCTCTCCATTTTCACTACCATCCTAGTTCATGCTGAGCTATCATTTCATGTTACTGCAATTAAATTCTAGTCTTTTTGCTTTCACTTTTTTGGTCTATCCCTAACCCAGTGGCTAGATACATTTCTGAAAGATAATCAGACCATGACATGGCCCAGTTTCAGAGCCTTCCAGGTGTCCCTTATGTTCAAAATGCATACTCCTGTTCCTTGCCCACAGGGCCCAGCCTGACCTGGCACCTTTGCCTCTCTGCTCTCCTCTCTTACCACACTCCTCCTTAGTTCTCCAGCTTGAGTCACAGGCTTCATTTATGCTTTTCCAGGAACCCCAACCCATGCTTGCATCAGGCCCTCTGCACCTGTTCACTCTCCTGACAAAAATGGTAGCAGAAATGCTCCATCCTCACATCTTCCCTTCATTCAGACCTTGGCTCAGACATCACATGCTCAGACAGGACTTTTCTGAATCACTGCTTTTTTTTTTTTTTTTTTTTTCGAGACAAGGTCTCACTCTGTCACCCAGACTGGAGTGCAGTGGCACCATCTCGGCTCACTGCAACCTCTGCCTCCTGGGTTCAAGGATTCTCCTGCCTCAGCCTACCAAGTATCTGGGATTACAGGTGTGTCCCACCATTCCTGGCTAATTTTTGTATTTTTAGAAAAGAGGGTTTCACCATGTTGTCCAGGCTGGTCTTGAACTCCTGACCTCAGGTGATCCGCCCAACTCAGCCTCCCAAAGTGCTGGGATTACAGGCGTGAGCCACGGCACCCAGCCTAGGACTTTCCTGAATCACTATCTAATGTTGTTCTGTTGTCCCCTGATCACTTTCTCTCACACACTGTCCCATGTTTTTTGTTTGTTTTTCCTTTGAGACTGGGTCTCGCTCTGTCACCCAGCCTGGAGTGCAATGCCACAATCTCAGCTCACTGCAACCTCCACCTCCTGGGTTCGAGCAATTCTCCTGCCTCAGCCCCCCCGAGCAGCTGGGATTACAGGCACCTGCCACCATGCTCGGCTAATTTTTGTATTTTTAGTAGAGATGGGTTTTGCCATGTTGGCCAGGCTGGTCTCGAACTCCTGACCTCAAGTGGTCCACCCACCTCGGCCTCCCAAAGTGCTGGGATTACAGGTGTGAGCTGTTGCGCCCGGCCTGTTTGTATTTTAATAGCCTTTATCACTATTTAAAAATACCTCATTCATGTTTTATTTATTTGGACGGAGAGCTTTTCATTTACATTTTATCCCCAGTGCCTAGAATGGTGTCCAATACAGACTACTCAATATATATTTTTAAAGGGATGAATGAATGAAACTGAGTGTACAGACAAGTGAGGTCAATCATGAGGTTGTTTATGGATCAGTTTTAAGGCATAGTTTGAAAGAGGGGAAGATGTTTTATTATAGTGGAGAAAGGACATTTTTAGCAAAGAAAACAATATATTCAAATAAATGATCTGGTCTTGAATAAGTGACAGATAGAAGCTGATAACTGTATTAATTCAGGTGATATAGAAAGTTGGTGACTACAAGAATAAAATTAGCTTATGAGAGCAGGGAGTTATCACTTAGATATTGAATGTCAAACTAAGGAGTTTAAATTCATTAATGACTTCAGCAAATCTTTATTGATTTTCTTTTGGATGCAGATACTGTTCTAGGTACTTTTTGTACAATAATGAACAAGCAAGGTATAATCCCTGTCCTCATGGTATTTACAGTCTAGTGGAAAACTGACATCAAATACTATTCCATAAGCATTTATACAAATGGTCAAAGTGTGTGCTGAGTTAATATTTTGGAAAATTACTCATTGTGTGTTTTGTTCCCAGCATTACTTGTTCTCCTTTGGCTCTTACCCATTCAATCAGCTCAGTATTCTGCATGTAATGATGCAGAAGATAGATGAATTGCAGAATCCAATATATAACTAACAAAAACCTTATCCTAGCTCTTGAGTTCCAAAATTCCAGTTTTCAGTAGGCATAGAATATAACTTCTGTCATGAATAGTGATTTGAGAAGATACTCACTGAATCAGAGCAAGGCTATTCTGGCCCAGAGACTGGCAACTTTTCCCCAGGATAGAGGAGAGTCAGAGGGAAGTGATTAGAACTTAGGTGGTGTTGGGTCTTTGCAAAATGGAGCCTCCACCCCATCTCATTTCCCAGGCCAACCTCCAGGGGATGACAAATTCAAGATTAGTTTGGACTTCATAAGAGCAAAAGAGACTGGTGCTCACATTCTCCAGGCCCAGCCCAGCAAGTTGACCAACACTGAGTAGAAATGGCTTTGTAGAAGCCTTTGCACTTGGACTTTGAAACCTCACAGATTCCACCTGTGCTTCTCTTTGGTGCAGAAGAGCAAAGTGATCTCTAGGCACACAGGAGCAGTGCTCCAATGAAGCACAGCATTGTTTTTCTGACAGCAAATCTGTCATTTTCCAAGGACCACCAATTCTCCAATTCTTTGATACCAACTGGGTGTCCAATAATTCAATTCAACTCTGACACCAATTACCTGGAGTCAGTGCAGACCCCACAAGTTATGGGTTCAGTTGCATAACAATGCCTCCACTTCACATGTTAGCCGGATATGGGGCTCCAAGCTAACTGAACCTCTGCTCAATCAACTACAAATTTGGGGATTCCCATGACCCTCCCTGTATTAGTTCATTTCCACGCTGCTGATAAAGACATATCATGCTGATAAAGAACAGCATGGAAAAGAACTGAGCCCCTGATTCAATTACCTCCCACCACGTTCCTCCCACAACACATGGCAATTCAAGATGAGATTTGGGTGGGGACACAGCCAAACCATATCACTCCCCACCCTCCACCAGGTTTGATAATTCGCTAGAAAGACTCACAGGACACAGGAAAGCACTATACTTACCACTGCAGTTTTATTATAAAGAATACGATTCAGAAACAGCCAAATGGAAGAGATGCATAGAGCTAGCAAGGGAGTGGAAGGTGGACAGAAAGCCCATGCCCTCTCTGGGCATCCACCCACCCAGCACATCAATATGTTCACAAACTCAGAACATCCCTAAACGTTGTTGTTCAAGAGATTTTACTGAAATTTCATTATGTAGGTGTGATTGGCCATTGGTGATTGAACTCAATCTCCAGACCCTCTTCCCCTCTCCACAGTTAGGGGTTAGGGGATGGGGCTGAAAGTCGCCTGGTGATCAGCTCTATTCTGAAGCTCTCTAGAGGTTAAGAATTCTCTCATTAGCATGTGGTCAGGTATGATTCAAAGAGGCATGTTATGAATTACAAAAGAGTCCTATTAGGAAATTCTAAAGGTTTAGAAACCCTTGTTCCCCGCGTAACTACTCCACCCAAGGCAAGTCTCAAGCTGTCCAACTTGATGTCACTGAGTTCACCTGGAACCCAGATGAAATATCAGGAGGAAAGGGAAGGGTGAGTACTGACTCTATATCATTTTCAATTCCTGTTGAATAAGGGTTCAAATTGTAAATTAAAGCCTACTCTTCCTTTCCCTCCCTCCCTCCCTTCTTTCCTCTCTCCCTCCCTTGCTTCTTCTCTCCCTTCCTTCTTTCTTTCTTTCTTTCTTTCTTTCTTTCTTTCTTTCTTTCTTTCTTTCTTTCTTTCTTTCTTTCTTTTTCTTTCTTTTTCTTTCTTTCTTTCTCTTTTTTTTTCTTTTTTGAGATAGAGTCTTGCCCTGTCACCCAGGCTGGAGTGCGATGGCATGATCTCAGCTCACAGCAACCTCCACCTCCCAGGTTCAAGCAATTCCCTGCCTCAGCCTCCCGAGTAGCTGGGACTACAGGTGCACGCCACCACATCTGGCTAATTTTTTGTATTTTAGTAGAGATGGGGTTTCACCATGTTGGCCAGGATGATCTCCATCTCCTGACCTCGTGATCCACCCGCCTAGGCCTCCCAAAGTGCTGGGATTACAGGCATGAGTCACCACACCCAGCCTCTCTTTCTTTCTTTTGTTCACAAAGTCAACAGTGGCTGAGTGCCCATGTGTTTCACGGTGCTTGTCTAGTATATTTTTAAAAGGTGGCACCAGGGCGCTTCTGCTAAAATGGGTCTGTTGTTCATGGAGGAGCTGGGAGTAATGGCTCTGGAAGTGTGGGGAGACCAACAGCTGACAGGGATCAGCCCTTTCAGTCCAAGTGGGACACTGCTGCCTACATTATCTTCCTCACCTTCGTCAGCACCCTGTTGTTCTTGCTGTTGCTCATTATCATCCACTGTTGCTGCAGCTGCTGCTGCAACTCCCAGAAAGTGAGCCCCCAGAACAAAAAATTCCAGTAGGGTAGGTAACTTGGCCCTTGTACCTTAACACCATGAGTCCCTGCCAGCCCCTTCCTGTATGTCTTGCCTTGTAGCAAGTAACAATCCCATGCCTTGTGTTTACCTAGAAAAATTAATTAAATTAATGGTGAGTCACATATTTAGAAAATAAGAGTTTTTGCAGACCTGCGTTTGTAGATTGAGATCCATTCCTGTCATTAAGACTGATCTTGCCATTGTAAATAGAGATATACAAAACTACAAAGAGATTTGTGGAATCCCAACTGGATTCTATTTAAATATCAATAAGAGCTGAGCCTGGCCTGCTCAGAAGAATAAGAAGATAATTTAGAATAAAATAAAGCCATTGAAAGAGTAAATCAATCCAATCTCAAAGTGAAAGAACCTAGGAGAGGGGTTACAGACCCAGATTTCACTAGAATTAGGGACGTGAACATGGGACCCTTTCTGGCTATGAAATTCCTGTAACTAGGCCTCGTAACTGGGCCTCAGTATGTTGGGAGAACACAAAACCCTGAGTCCCAGCCAAATCCAGAGTCAATTTGTATCCTCAGTGACCTCCTCCTGAAAAATAAGACCAAATGTTTGGTGTGGTATAACTGTCTGCTTCATCTGCCCATTTTAATTCTAGGAGGATCTGTAATTGAAAATAAAAGAGTGAATTATGAAAACTGATTAAGCCAAACCCATCGTATTCATATATTCATGGTAAGTTGAGAAACACCTTGTGCACTTGCTATTTAGAATACGTGTAATTATTTGGAGAATTTATTAATAGCAGATGAGCGAATCAAACAGAATTGCTTTATAATTTAATGTATAATATTTAATTGAATAATTGATTAACTTCTGACTTTAAGTTCAATGTATAAGAAAACTTTACTAAATTTAAAGATACTATTGGAACATTCAGAAGAACCTAATATTCACCATATTTATGTTTCATATGTTAGAGTTACTTAAATTATTTTTGTTACACAGTTGAATGACTTAAAATGAAAACAAGTACATTAAATGTATGAATGTAATTTTTTGATGTTTAAGAATTAAAATTGTCCAGCGTGGTGGCTCACACCTGTAATCCCAGTACTTTGGAAGGCCAGGGCGGGCGGATCACCAAGTCAAGAGTTCGAGACCAGCCTGGCCAATATGGTGAAACCCCATCTCTACTACAAATACAAAAATTAGCTGGGTGGTGGTGCGTGCCTGTAGTCGCAGCTACTTGGGTGGCTGAGGCAGAAGAATCGTTTGAACCCAGGAGGCGGAGGTTGCAGTTGCAGTGAGCCGAGATCGTGCCACTGCGCTCCAGCCTGGGCAAAAGAGCGAGACTCCGTCTCAAAAAAAAAAAAAAAAAAAAAGAATTAAAATTAAGTTTGTAAATGGGCTCACACATTAATCAAAGGCCCCCTTAAAAGTGACTGTTAAAGTCTTATTTATTCATTAATAGAACAATGTGATTTTTATTTTGAATTTTAAAGCTTAAGGACAAATAGTCTTTTGATCTTATAACCTTAAATGGAATATTAATTTCTAAAAACCAAACTCATCATAAATAATCTTTTCTGGTCATAAAAACTGCCATCACTCATACCTAAACCCAAGAATCACTTTCTTATAGTGATGATTTAAACAGATGCAAACAGCGAGCACATCTTGTCACCTTTGCGGGACTGTGGCTGTGCCCCTCGCAGTAAATTTGGAGGTTCTACATCCCTGGTGAAAAACAAAACAAAACAAAAAAAAAGCCTGCCATCATTGACACCAAAACACTCATAATGACAGTACCCACTGTAATGCTTAGAAGTGAAAAAATAACATGCCATGAAAGAGACTAATTGAAGGGGCTTAATTTAGATCAGGGGTTCAAAGATCTCTCTGGAAAGTGCCTTGTGAGCAGAGACTTCAGAAAGAAAGTTTAACCAAAGGAAAATCAAAAAGAAGAGTGGTCCAGGTGGGATCCTAGAGAGAGCTTAGTATGACAGAGGAATTGAAGGAAGTTGGGAAGTTCAGAGAAGCTGGAACCAAGTAAGTCAGAGGGAGAGTGGCATGGATGGGACAGGAGAGGAAGCTGCAGTCAGATCATGCAGGCCTTTGGAGACCGGGTTAAACCATATGTTATATAAACACAAATATACAAATCCCTAAATGTAATGGAAAACCTCTGAGGATTTTAAGCAGAGGTCGGGGTGCTGAGTATGGTTGAATAGCCTGCGTACTGCACAACTCCATGTTGCACCAGTGGCATAGTTCCTGGTGTGATGCAATATTGCCTCTGGGCAGGTAACACAATCAAATTAGTGTTAAACAATTACTCTGGTTGCTGTAGGGAGAAGAACTGTAGAGGTAAGAGTGGAACCAAGGAGATCATTTAACTAGCTAATGCAGACTCCAATCAAGTAGCCTAACACAGTATTTGTGGTGATAGGGAAAAGTGGACAGACTGTTTTTTTTTTTCTATTTCCATGGCAGACAGTAGAAGTCTGGGTAGATTTCTGAATCTGAAAATAACCTATCTTAAATGGTGCTTGAGAAAAATTAATCGTCCATCCAGAAATGTGCTAGAGCTGATATACAGCAGCTTGTATTGGTTCAGTAGAGACAATGGGGTCCACCTTTCCCCAACTCCTCATTCAGTGACATCAAGTTGATAGCTTGAAATCTGCCTTGGTGGGAGTATTTATACCATGGAGATTAGCAAACACTACCAATAGAGCTTCTTTCCCCAGAGAGCTGATTGTGAAACATTTACCAGCACACCAGTGCTTCCAGTGCTTTTCGCTATCTCAACACTGGAATACTATTTAAAGAATCACTGCATATAATATGATATGATGTCAAAGAACATTCATATGGTTCTTACGAAACCTTAAGAAAGGAATGGTTATGAGAGACACTGGGAAGAAAATATCTGTAAGACTGGGTGGTGCTTTGCAAATGGTGGTAATGGGAAGAGGGGGAGCAGATTGTATCTTCTTCCATGGAATAGGAATCATTTCAAAGCATATATCTTTGATGAAGATTACAGAGAGAACATTTCACAGTTTGGTTCCCTGTCCTCTGTATTTTAAATGTCCCTGCTTCTGCTGTCAAGGATTTCAAGTGCCTTTTAAAAATTCCATATTGTGGTAGCTCTGAGTTCTGAATTCTATCACTATTTACTGGTGCAGTTAAATGAATAAAATAATAATTGAATACCAGACTCTCAGTCACTGTCTTGCAGAAACAGAAGCTCTGCAGAGAGCTGGAGAAGAGCATGCTTCAAAACTGAAAAATGTCTTCCACTTTGTAAATTTGTAGCATCAAGGCAGTGGTGTTGAAGACCAACCTGAGCCTTCCATATATATGTGAAGGTTCACATAAGGGTTTCTAAAGGGTACCAGGAAAGGAAGTGGAGGGAGACCCTAAGGGCATGCTCCAAATATTATTTTTCCCATGAAAATAAGTGTTCTGCAGAATTTAAAGCTTATATCACAACATGATGTAAACACCTTTCTCATCAATATTGTGACAAGTATTTTCCTAGATCCCGGAGATATGAAAATGAATAATGTAGTGTTTCCTCGGATCTCAGTGAATAAAAAAGTGAATAAGACTACTTCATTTGGCACACAGTAATTGAGAGAGACAAAATCATGAACAGATTAATTAGAGTACGATGTGGCCAATGCAGAAATTTAGTATTTAGAAGATACCATGGAAGCCCAACGAAGGGCATGTGACTCAGCCTTGGGTGAGCAGGGGCAGCTTCCTGGGGGAAGCGATATTTAAGTTGAATCTTAAAGAGTAGGGGTAAACCAGATACAGTGTGTGTATGGAGTAGAGGGAATTCCAGGCAGAGGGAAGAGCATGAGAAAAGACACAGAAATGAGAAACAACAGGTGATTTGGCCTTAGAGGCTTGGCTGAAGGGAAGATGGGGATAAGGAGAGGAGGGTGGAGGCCTCCAGGTTTTCAGTGGAGTACCAAGGAGTAGGGCAATTTGAGTGGACCATGCTGGGTGTAGGCAAAAAGGGGGTAGACTGTCTGTTGAGTATTAGAAAACAATAATAAAACTGACTATATTGCCAGTGATTCTAAACAATGATAACACGCTCCTCTCTATCAAGGTGGCTACCCCCTGGGTACACCACTGCATGTTTTTCCTGAAGGTCTGGGGCAAGGAAGTGATGCAGTCAGACTCCTGAGCTGTGCAGATCTGGAGATGCCAGCCTCAATAATATCTAAGTGAGAGAACATTTTCTCGCATCCCCCTCCCCATCCTAGACAGATAGAGAGTGCCTCTACTAAACATCCTCAAAGCACTGAGCATTTTTCCATAATAGCCGAGCAGTTTGTAATTATATCCACCACTGAAGAGAAAGAATGCAAGAGAAAAATACAGGTTTTCGGAAGATATATAGAGTTTGGGACAAGTTTAGTTTTATTGGCTTGTGGGAGATCAAGGACAGATACACAGCAACAGGACATGGATTTTGGACTAAAGCTGTAGGTTCAGAGTCATTAGCATAGAAGTGGTGGTTAAATCCTTGGGAGTGGATGAGGTAACCTGGGAAAAACTGAGAAAGACAGTGGGCCAAAAGTGGAATGCTAGAAGCTGAATATTCTATGGACAGATGATGGAACAAATATCCAAAAGAAAAGACAATGAAGAAATGCTCAGAGGCCTAAGAAGAATCTGGACAACACAAAATTGTGGCAAGATTTTCCAGGACCAAAGGAAGAGAAAGAACTGGAGATAATGCAGAAAACTAAAATATCAGTAAGTGTCTGTGAGAAAGAAGTCAAACCCATGGCATATGTGTTGGAAGGAAGTTGGTGAGAAAATGGGGAAGCAATGGCGGAAACCTTGGAAAAATCTGGGAATGACAGAATCCCATCTAGGATTCTCCAGAGGGACAAAACTAATAGGAAATATGTCTATGTGAAAGGGAGTTTATTAAGAAGAATTGACTCACACAATCACAGGTAAAGTCCCACGATAGGCAGTCTGCCAGTTGAGGAGCAAGGAAATCAGTAGTGGATCAGTCCGAGTCCCCAAACCTCAAAAGTAGGGAAGCCAACAGTGCAGCTTCAGTCTGTGACCAAAGGCTCGAGAGCCCCTTGGCAAACCACTATTGTAAGTCCAAGAGCCGAAGAACTTGGAGTCTGATGTTCGAGGGCAGGAAGCATCCAGCACCGGAGAAAGATGAAAGCTGGAAGGCTCAGCAAGTCGGCTTCTCCCACCACCTTCTGCCTGCTTTATTCTAGCCAAGTTCGCAGATGATTGGGTGGTGCTCACCCACATTGAGGGTAGGTCTGCCCACTGGGAAGATTTCCCTTTGCCACTGTCCTTCAGGGATGTCCTAGAAAGAGACTATAGTGCTGCACCTGTCCACTTTTGGGTGGTACCTGCATATCGTGCAGAACCACCCGTAAACCAGGCCCTAGTCCTCTCTTCCTGTGTAGACTGATCGTAAGGAATTCCCCATGAGGCCATCGGTGCAGGCTTGGGGAGAGAAGACAGGGTGGCAGGAGTGGAGATCATGGGCATTTGAGCCATTTCCTTATGTAACTTACTTGTGCCTTCTAAGCAGCTCAGGTCGCATGGTGACTTGATGACCCATAATCAAGCCTTCAGTTTCTACCAAAGCCCAGTAACAAGCCAAGAGCTGTGTCTCAAAAGGAGAGTAGGTATCTGCAGAAGATGGCAGGGCCTTGCTCCAAAATCCTAGAGGTCTCTGCTGTGATTCACCTATGGGGGCTGGCCGAAGGCTTCGAACAGCATCCCATCTGCTACTGACACCTCAAGCACTGCTGGATCTGCTGGGTCATATGGCCCAAGTGACAGAGCAGCTTGCACAGCAGCCTGGACCTGTTGCAGAGCATTTTCCTGTTCTGGACCCCACTCAAAACTGACAACCTTTTGAATCATTTGATAAATGGGCTGGAGTAACATACCCAAATAAGGAATGTGTTGCCCCCAAAATCCAAATAGGCCAACTAGGTATTGTGCCTCTTTCTTGGTTGTAGGAGGGACCAAATGAGGTAATTTATTGTTCACCTTAGAAGAAATATCTCAATAGGCCCCACACCACTGGACTCCTAGAAATTTCACTGATGTAGAAGGTCTCTGAATTTTAGCCGAATTTATTTCCCATCCCCTGGCATGCAAATGTCTCACCAATAAGTCCACTGTGTTTGCTACTTCTCACTCACTGGGTCCAATCCGCATAATGTCATCAGTAGAATAGACCAGTGTGATATCTTGTGGAAGAGAAAAGTGATCAAGATCTCTGTGAACAAAATTATGACACAAAGCTGGAGACTTGATATACCCCTGAGGCAGGACAGTGAAGGTATATTGCTGACTTTGCAAGCTGAAGGCAAATTGCTTTTGGTGGGCCTTATGGACAGGAATGGAGAAAAAGGCATTTGTCGAATCAATGGCTGTATACCAGGTACAAGGATATATGTTAATTTGCTCAAGCAATGAAACCACATCTGGTACAGCAGCTGCAGTTGGGGTCACCACTTGGTTAAGCTTACAGTAATCCACTGTCATTCTCCAAGATCCATCTGTCTTTTGCACAGGCCAAATAGGAAAGTTGAATGGGGATATGGTGGGAATCACCACCCCTGCATCTTTCAAGTCCTTGATGGTGGCACTAATCTCTGCAATCCCTCCAGGGTTGTGATATTGTTTTTGACTTACTATTTTTCTAGGTAGAGGCAGCTCTAATGCCTTCCATTTGGCCTTTTCCACCATGATAGGCCTCACCCTACCAGTCAGGGAGCCAATGTAGGGATTCTGCCAGCTGCTAAGTATGTCTATGCCAATTATGCATTCTGGCACTGGGGAAATGACCACACAATGAGTCTGGGGACCCACTGGACCCACTGTAAGTCGGACCAGAGCTAAAACTTCATTAATTACCTTATCTCCACAAGCCCCATAAGATCCGTATTTTAGCTAACCAAGCTTTAACTGGAGGACCACAATGATGTTTTGGGTCCTCTGAAATCAATATCAGCTCAGAGCCAGTGGCCAGAATCCCCGAAAGTTCTGATCATTCCCCTTTCCCCAGTGCACAGCTACCCTGGTAAAAGGCCAGAGGTCTCCTTAGGGAAGGATGGGAAAAAGATTAACTGCATAAATTGTTGGTAGTATAGTGAGGTTCTTCCTCAAGGAGAACCGGCGTCCCTTTCATTCAAGGATTTCTGGGTCTGTAAACTGGTTCATGTCTGGAAATGATTGACAGGCCGTAATTCTCTATTTTTATAATTCAAATTAGTCTTTTGTCCATTCAGCCTGAAAGTTTTCTGCTTATATAAATTAAGTAAGCATGCAGTAGGCTTCCTATCAATTTCACTTCTAGGAACACTGTGATTAATTAGCCAAAGCCAGAGCTCTACATAAATCATGCTATTCTGATTGCTACTTTGCCTTTGCTGTCCATTATAGTAACTACATCCACCTTGCCTTTCATGGTTGAGTGCCTCAACTTGGCCCCTGCCACCTTGGGATCCAATTATTTCCATTGCATTTAACATTTCTAATTGAGTGACTGCAGTTCCCACTGTAAGATCTGGCATACAAAGATAAGCAATCACAAAACTCTTCAAGGATGTAAATGCTCCCTTCACAAATCTATTTCGCAAAGTATTGGTGAAGGGTATATCTTCTGGACCCTCCCAGCTGGGATGAGTAGGTCTAAAATGACTAATCCACTCCAACATTCCAATCTCCCTAAGCTTTTGGATCCCTTCCTCTACATTAAACCAAGGGAGATCAGGCATTTCCAGCCTACTCATAGTAGGCCATATTTTATTTTATTTTATTTTATTTTTTTGAGACAGAGTCTCACTGTGTCACCCAGGCTGGAATGCAGTGGCACGATCTCAGCTCACTGCACCCTCCACCTCCTGGGTCTAAGCAATTCTCCTGCCTCAGCCTCCTGAGTAGCTGGGATTACAGGAGTGTGCCGCCAAGCCGGGCTAATTTTTGTATTTTTAGTAGAGACTGGGTTTTGCCATGTTGGCCAGGCTGGTCTCAAACTCCTGACCTCAAGTGATCTGCCCGCCTTGGTCTCCCAAAGTGCTGGGATTACAGGCATGAGCCACCACGCCCAGCCAAGTAGGCCATCTTTTGATCCATGTTTCAGCTAACCAAGCAAATAAATTATTAGAACCTTTTTTTAACTCCCTGATCTGCAACATTAAATGCAGAATCCCTGCTTAGTGGGTCCATATCAGTAAATTCAGCCTGATCCAACTTTATGTTCTTTCCACCATTATCCCATGCCCTTAAAGTCCATCCCGATACCTGTTCTCCAGATTTCTGCTTTATAAGTTAGAAAACTCTGTTCTTTTGGAGTGTAGCGCACCTCCTCATTGGTCACACTCTGAACCTTACATCTAGAGCCTGCTGGAACTTGAGTCTAGTTATAGGTCTGGAAGCAAACAGGGGTGTTAGGGGTGGGTCCTGAGGAGAATCAGCATTCTCTTACCTGGCAACTTCCTCAGGGGAGGCCATCACTGTTGCCTCAGGCAGTGCAGGGTTAATCTCCTCAGACAAAGGTGGAAAGGCTGATGGCAGCATGGGTGGTGGGGGGAGATGTTGCTACTGCTGCAGATGGGAAGGCTGTTTCCTCTGGCAAAAAAGGCTCATCAGAATTTAGAAGCTCAGTGTCCCAAGCCTCATCAGGGACCTCCTATACATCCCCATTCCTAATTGCAGGGTCCCATTCTTTTCCAATCAATGCCCTCACTTTAACAGTAGACACCTGGCAAGGGTGTGCATTCACCTTTTATTGCAAGTCAGCCACTCACATGATAAGAGCTTGTGTCTGTTTTTCCACAATTTCAGCTCTTTCTATACAGGAGATAAAACTCTCTGTTAGGGCAGTCTTAGAAGATTTGGGGCTCAGTATCTGCTTCTGGAGCCAGGAGTTAGAATCCCTGAGTTCATCGTTTTCTTTCATCACTTTGTCCAGCAAACTTAGGAGCAACCAAACAACTTTATGACATTCCTTGATTCTCCACATATGGTCAAAGGTATTATGTATAGAGTCACTAAACTCCTTGCCTCTGCAGAGCAGTGAATCAGGAGTATCAAATGCATTTATTTTGCATAACTTTCTAAACAGTTCACACCAAGGACTATCAGTGTTTTCCATAGTATTCAAAGCAGAGGTCTTAGCATTTTTGGGTCTAATCAGATTGAGCAGCCAATTCCAGAAACCCTGAAACCAACTAAAGAACTCTATCCTTAAAATTCTTGAACCACTCCAGGAACAAAATCTGTATTAGTCAGGGTTCTCTAGAGGGACAGAACTAATAGGATATATGTAAATATGAAAGGCAGTTTATTAAGAAGAATTGACTCACGCGATCACAAGGTAAAGTCCCACGATAGGCCGTCTGCAAGTTGAGGAGCAAGGAAGCCAGTAGTGGATCAGCCCGAGACCCAAAACCTCAAAAGTAGGGAAGCCAACAGTGCAGCCTTCAGTCTGTGGCCAAAGGCCAGAGATCCCCTCGGCAAACTGCTAGTGTAAATCCAAGAGTCCTAAAGCCAAAGAACTTGGAGTCTGATGTTCAAGGTCAGGAAGCATCCAGCACTGGAGAAAAATGAAGGCAAGTCAGGTTCTCCCACCTTCTTCCGCCTGCTTTATTCTAGCCAAGTTGGCAGTTGATTAGATGGTGCTCACCCACATTGAGGGTGGGTCTGCCTTTCCCAGTCCATTGAGTCAAATGTTAATCGCCTTTGGCAATACACTCACAGACACCCAGAAAGAATACTTTGCATCCTTCAATCCAATCAATTTGACAATATTAACCATCTGATGGTGTAAGTGGATCTATGGGCCCCTGCCTAAGTCACATATTGAGCCCTGCAGGTGACAAGACCCCAGAGTTTTCCCACAGCACAGTGTGGTGAGGAATACGGTAGTCATGGCCCAGTGTGGCTGAGGGGCCTAGTGAGTGTTTCCCTTCCCTCAAAAACAGAATTGGCCCAGCAAAGAGACTCACCAGACTAGAAAAGACAGGGACTTGTGTTGACAGATGGGATCATGCAGATCTTAAGGTCAGCTAGGATGATGGCCATCTTAAAAGATACCGTTGTCCTAAGACCTCTGGCCCGGATGCATTCTACATGAACCTCATTAACTAAGCCTCTGCCCACACCTACCTCCTCTTGAATGTTATCTCAAGCAGAAAACTTAGTTGCCTGAGGCCAAGTGTCTGCCACTGGGAGGACAATAACAACAAATAAAAATGAAGATAGAGAAAAATAAAGTAATATTTCTTGTGTACTTCAGTTTGCAAACTGGAACCCATATGCTAATTGTAGAAAAATGACTTTATAAATCCTGGACTCATTGAATCCTTTCTCTGTATGCTGTTGATGCTGCATTCAAAGAAGTACAATCCCAACAGCTAAAAATGATAAAACATGAAATTCTGAGCTTTCATGTGCATTACTTGGAAATTGTTTAAAAGGATCCCATTTGTAACCCCGAGAATACTCTTCCTATGCTCTCTTCTCTCTTCCACAATTCTCTCACACCCTGTATTGCTTTAGAGCCTCTCATTCACAACTCTACCTCCCCAAACCTTTTTCTCCTACAGTTCACACTATATTTTGCTTCCTAAATTCATGAATCTGGCTGGGCACGCTGTCCTGTATTCCTAATACTTTGGGAAGTTGAGGCAAGAGGATCCCTTGAGGCCGGGAGTTCTAGACTAGCCTGGCCAACATAGCAAGACCCCACCACTACAAAAAAAATTAGCCAGGCATGATGAGGCACCACTACAGTCCTAGCCACTTGGAAGGCTGAGGTGAGAGGATCATTTGAGCACAGGAGTTCAAAGCTGCAGTGAGCTAAGAAGGTGCCACTGCATGGGTGATAGAGCAAGACCCCATCTCTTATAAACAAACAAACAAACAATTTTTTTTATCCCCTAGTTCTTTAATAGATCATTTATGTTTTCTTTTCTCCTGTCCTTTCCCCTTTTTTCCTATTCTTTCTTCCTCCTTCCCGAGGTATGGAAGGATTGTGAATCTACTCAGTCAATCTTAAAAGGGGCAATGGGGAGAGGGAAAACAAGGAACCCTCACAGGCTAATTTTTAAACCACATCTCTTAAGAAAATATGGAGAAGCAAAGAGAGGAAAATGTAAATTACCTGAAATTCTACCACTGTAAATATGTTGATATACTTTCAGACTTTTTCCTATGCATTTATAACACACACACACACACACACATATATAAGTTGCAAAAAATGGCCAACAGTATATATATACATACTCTTTTGTAGTCCCCTTTAAGCAACTTATTGTGAATGTCTTTCCCTCTCAAGCTTTATACTGACAACATCATTTTGAAAAGCTACATGACTTTCCATTGTGTGAATGTACTATCATTTATGAACTTTTCTTTCACTGTAAGACATTTAGGTTGTTTTCTCTGTTGTAAATGATAAACACTGCTGTTGTCAATATCCTTATGATAACTCCTTTGCTTACTTGTGCAATTATTTTTATAGGATCAGTTACTGGGTGTGAAAATTGGGATGGCAAGCGTGCATATAGCATTCACTTTCTAGGGCTGCTGGAACACAGTACCACAAACTGGGGAGCTTAAACAACAGGAATGTATGGCCTCACAGCTCTGGAGGCTAAAAGTTCAAGATCAAGGTGTCAGCAGGATTGGTTCCTTCTGAAGGCCTGTCCGCAAGCTCTGGTGGTTTGCTGGCTCTCTAGATGCTCCTTGGTTTCTGCTGCATCACCTAATCTCTGCCTCCATCTTCACATGGTCTTCTCCCTATGTGTGCAAATTTCCCCTTTTTGTAAAAACACCAGGCATACTGAGTCTGAGACACTGTGGAACATGCAAGCGGAAATATCTACTCAGTAGCTATATATGTAGGTCTGGAGTTTAGGAAAGACAAATGTGTGAGTCATTGCCACTTCAGTGGCAGTTGACAGTCATGGGGATGGGTGAAATCACCCACTAAGATCGCCCTGTAACATGATATAAAAAGAGAGCCAAGGAAAGAATTCTAGGAACTCCAATAAACTTACAGGATGATTGGAGGGTAAGAAGGTCACTAATGTTGCATAATTAGACCTGGGCTTCAGGAAGTCAGCACTGGGAGCGATATTATGGAATAGTTGGAATTAGAAAGAAAGAGGAGACATGTCCCATCTCCTAGCTCTGAAGCACCCTGTGTGTCCATTCCTGACTTCAGGCACCTCCCTCCCTGCCATTGGCAGTCACTGCTCTTAAGTTTTTATTAACCAATCTCTTGCTTTTCTTTATAGTTTAAGCACATATATATCTCTAACTACTATGTTGTTCAATTTTTTCTACTTTTAAATGTTACATACATGGAATCTTGCTTTATGAGTTCTTCTACAATCTGGTTATTTACTCAAAATTAGGTGTTTTGGAAGGATTTGTTTTGTCACGTGTGGCTATAGATTTTTCATTTTTAGTGCTGTATGGTATTGCATTGTAGGCACATACACCAATTTATTATTATTATTATTATTATTATTGAAAGTAATGGCAAATACTATAATTACTTTTGCACAAACCCAGTATTTGTCCACTGTATTATTCATGGACATTTGGGGACATTTCCAGTGTTTTGCTATTATGAGTAATGTTTCCATGAACTTGTTCATACATTTCTCCTTCATCTGCCCAAGAGTGTCTTTCTAGAAAATATACCACAGAGTAGAATGTTTGAATCGCTTACCCCCAGGCTTGCTTTACACCAGAAAAGACTCATATGAAAATGAATTCCTGCCTCACACCATATTCAAAATTCAATTTCATGTGGATCAAACACTGAAGTTCCAAATGTAAACCTTAAGACTTTCAAGAGAAAATATGAAAATTATTATTTTTTACATTTTGAGATGGAGTTTCACTCTTGTTGCCCAGGCTGCAGTGCAACAGCGCAATCTTGGCTCACTGCAACCTCCGCCTCCTGGTTTCAAGCGATTCTCCTGCCTCAGCCTCCCAAGTAGCTGGGATTACAGGCGTCTGCCACAACGTGAGCTAATTTTTTTGTATTTTTAGTAGAGACAAGGTTTCACCATGTTGGCCAGACTGGTCTTGAACTCCTCACCTCAGGTGATCTGCCCGCCTCAGCCTCCCAAAGTGTTGGGATTACAGGTGTGCGCCACCATGCCAGGCTGGAATATCTTTATGACCTTAGGTTAAGAAAGGTTTTCTTATACAAAGTACAAGAAGAACCACCTGTAAAGCAAAAGGTAATAAATCGTAAGAATTAACAACTTCTTTTCAATAAAAGACATGGTAAAAAGAATGAAAAGAGAAGCCATAACTGGGAGAAGATAGTCATATAATATATATAATGCACAAAAATTAGTATCTAGAGTCTATGAATAATTCCTACAAATCAATAAGGAAAAAGACAAATAACTCAGTAGAAAATGAGCAAAAGGCTCTTCACAGAAGAGGAAATCCAAATGCCGAGAAACACAGGAAACAAGATTCAGTCTCATTAGTAATCAGATAAATGCAAATTAAAACCACAATGAGAAACTGTTTAAATCCACCAGACTGGCATAAACGTAAAAATAAGACAATACCAAGTTTTGACAAGAATATAGAGCATTGTAAACTCACACACTCCTGGTGGGGTTGTGATTTGCTACAACAACTTTGAAAAGCAATTTGTCATCACCTAGTAAAGTCAAGTAAGCATGTGTCATATACCAAGCAATTCTACCCCTAATGTTAAACTAAAAAAAAATTCTTTGTACATGTGAAGCAAGAGACACAATAAGAAACTCCATTGCACAATAGCCCATAATTGTTCCTAACAGCAAAAAACATTGACACAATTGAAATTTCTATTGACATTAAAATGGATTACAAAACTGTCATCTATCCATATCATGGAATTTTATACAGCAGTGAAAATGAATACACTGCAACTACACATAATAAATGGATGAATTTCACAACACAGAGTGAAAGCCAAGTAGTAAGTCACAGAAAGTCACATATGATGTGACTTAATAGATGTAGTTTAAAAAACAGACAAAATCAAATAATAGTTTGTTTAGAGCTACCTACATGTGTGGTAGGGTCTAAGGAAAACATAGGCTTAACACAAAATTTAGGATAATAGCTACTTCTGGGTGGAGGTGAGCATGCGACGATAAACTATGATAAATATTTGAAGGAAAGGCTGGAGCTTATTTGAAGTTCATAATTAAGGGCCTGACTCAAGACTGTGGATTACAAAAGCCTTCCTGAGGAAGTGCACGTCAGCTGATACCTGAAGCGTGAGAAACAGTTTAGAGCAGTGCTTCTCAAACCTTAACAGAGACCCCCACCAATTGCTATGGGATAGAAAGGTATTTTCAGTCATAGTCAGATTTTTGATTATTAAAATAGAACTTTATCCAAATAAACATAAAGTACTGACTATTGGATTTTCTGCCTTCCTGGAGGAAAAACATCATTTTTTTTTCAAGCTTAGCCTCATTCGAATAGAATTTGAAAGATTTCACTCTGCTTTAATGGAAGCCAGACTTGAGAACAAATGATAATATATACAAAAACTGGTGGCCATAAGCAAAAAATCTGGAAATATCCGATTGTTTACTCTGGGTTAAAAGAGATTATGAGAGAGACCTGGTCTTCAGAAAATGCATTGAACATCCAAGTTCAAGTAGCTGCAACAAAAGCATCCTTTAAAATATATCAGATAAATTTTAAAAAAAACTTAAGGTGGCAATAAAAGATGGCCTGGATGAAAGCATATTTTTGTAAAAGCATAAATCTGCTTTCACAAGAAGCTAAGATAAAAAAGAGTGAGTAAAGTGAATAAACTGAAAAAAACTTGCAGAAGATGAAAGATTGAGCTGCTGTTCTTACATAGGAGAATGAGATCTGGGAATTGGAGATATTAACAATGCCTCAGACAATGGAGATTGTGTTGAGGATTAATAAAGTTTTTTATTGAGGTAAAATTCATTTAAAAACACTGTGAAGTATACAAACCAGTGGCTTTTAGTACATTCACAATGTTGTGCAGCCATCACTACTATCTAACTTCAGAAGATTTTTGTCACCCCAAAAAGAAACTCCATACACATTAAGCAGTCACTCCCAATTCCTGCCCCCACTTCCACCTGGTAACCACTAATCTATGTTTTGCCTCTATAGATTTGCCTATTCTAGACATTTTATATAAATTGAAACATTATGTGGCCTTTCGTGTGGGTTCTTTAACTTAGGATAGTGTTTTCAAGTTTCATCCATATTGTAGCAAGTATCAGCACTTCATTCCATTTTATGGCTGGATGACATTCCAATGTATGGGTCTGCCATATTTTGTTCATGCCATTTATCCACTCATGGATATGTAGCTTGTTTCCACTTTCTGCCCATTATAAACTATGCCTACTACGAACATTCATGTATAAGATTTTATTTGAACATATGGTTTGATTCTCTTGATATATTCCCAGGTGGGTAATTTCTGGGTCATATACTGTAGTAACTCTGTCTGAAACATTTTTAGGAAATGTTTTTTTTTTTTTTTTTTTTTTTTTTTTTTTTTACAGTGGCTATACTATTTTACATTCCCACAGCAGGTTTTGAGGGTTCAAGTTTGAGTTTTCCTTGCCAATACTTATTTCGCATTAAAAACAAAATTATTGTTATAGCCATCATAGAGGGTGTGAGGTGGCGTCTCACTGTGGTTGGATTTGCATTTCCCTAACAACTGATGATGTTGAGCATCTTTTTACGTGCTTATTGGCTATTTTTATATTTTCTTTGGATAAATGTGCATTCATCTCCTTTATTCATTTTTAATTGGGTTGTCTTTATGTTGTTGTAAGAGTTCTTTATATATTCTGGGTACTAAATAAACCTTTATTAGATTTCTGATTTGCAGATATGTTCTCCCATTCTGTGGGTTGTCTTTTCACTTTCTTAATAATGTCCTTTGATGCATAAAAGTTTTTACATTTGATGAAGTCCAAGTTTTTTCTTTTTCTTTTCTTGTGCCTCTAGTGTAATATTTAAGAAACCACTGCCTAATCCAAGGTCATGAAGATTAACATCTATGTTATTAAAATGAAGTTCTGAAGAAGCTGGATTTATGTGGCTATGGTAAATGTATCTTTAAAAACTCTTGAAGGAAAAAGCAATAAAATCTACACTAAATTATTGAAGAAGTCAAAATAACAAATGCACTTATGGATAATGTTAAAAGTCTCAAAAATGTACTAGCTTCATTGCAGTCTGAAAAATCCAGTTTGAAAGTGAGATTTCAGAGCTTCAGCAGAAACTTAGTCATTACTAAACTGCATCAATAAAATAAAATGATTATGCAAGATTCAATTTAAAGTGATTTACTATGGAAAGAGAAGAATCTTTCCAAAGCAGATGAAAAAATCAGTCATGCATCTGAAGTGCTAGACATCTTCAGAATCCTAGCCAAAATTCTCTCTCTCTCTGTCTCTCTCTCTCTCTCTTTTTTAGCAGGGCCTCTCTCTCTCTGTTGCTTAGGCTGGAGTGCAGTGGCATGATCACAGCTCACTGCAGCCTCAACCTCCTGGGCTCAAATGATCCTCCCACCTTAGCCTCCCAAGTAGCTGGGACCACAAGCATGCACCACTATATGTAGCTAATATTCTTTTAAATTATTTTTTGTGGAGACAGGGTCTCCCTGTGTTGCCCAGGCTGGTCTCAAATTTCTGGCCTCAAGAGATCCTCCTGTCTTGGCATCCCAAAGTGTTGGGATTATAGGTGTGAGCTACCACACCCAGCCCAAATTAAAATTCTTCTAGAAAAATTAGAAAAAGCCATTGGATCCTATCAATTATCATGAGGAAAAAAAAGCTCTTGATAGTTGGTTGAGAGCTCTATTGGCTGAGAAAAACTTTGATAACTCAAGAAAATAAAATCCACAACTCAGGGAAATAATGATTTAGGAAGAACTTAAGTTTCAGCTTTTTAAAAAGTATCTCTATGTCCCTGATATTCCAAAAGGAAAATTTGGCAGATGCATGGGAGATACTAGGATCCCCTGATACCAAGACAGCGGAGCATTAGGTTGGGATGGCTCAGGGTTCCAGGATCTGTGCCTAGTGTGGACCAGATTCCTCCATCAGGCCAACTCCATCAGGACACATAAATTCCTCCACAACAACAGGGAGAGTTTCTCCTGGTGCTCCTTTGCTGCCTTCTTTCAATGATATTCAATGCTCAAGATCTTCTTTTGATGATGTTGAGAGACATGCACCTTCAGAAGTGGAGACCAATAGGAAAGACAATGCACATGATCTTGGTCATTTAATTACACCAGACTCAACCCTTCCATCTGGACAAGAAGCAGCTGCCCAGGCTCTGTTCTTCTACCTCATCCTCCTGTCAGATGGCACAGATGTGTCCCAGGGGAATGTTCCTGAGAAGCAAACCTTCTGTCATGCTCTCTTCTCTGGAAAGCCATCATGGACCTCCTCAAGGATTCTTTCCTTGGGGATGGCCACGGCCCAGCACATCCTTCTCTGGCCACAAGAAACATGTCTTCACAAGTGCTGGATTTTGTCTTCTGTTCACACAACTTGAAAACAGAAGCAATGCACCTTCAGAATTGATCCTGCCTCCCAAGAAGCCTACTTCCAAAGATCAGAATCATAAAATGCATTTTTGCTGTCTTCGTAAGCAATTTTGATATTTTGTCAGTTTCATTGCTATTAAGTGATCATTCCTTGCTTCAAATGAAAGCTAGAGAGAATTACAATTCTTATGATACTGTTTTATAACTGTAGATTACCTATATGTGAATTTTTAAGCAAATTGTTTCCATTTTATTCTATTTGTATGTAATTATACTATTTTTGTTGTTAAGTCCACTAAAATAATTCAGAAACACAGCAAAAACTTTGTCTTCTAAGATATTTTTGAATATTTTCTCTTTTAGTTTTATTGCTCTTAAGTGATTATATAAGTACTCAAATGGGAACATGATAGAATTATAATTCTCAGGAGAGTGTTTTACAAACACACATCATATAAATGGAAGTTTTGTTAGTAAATTGCCTCCATTTTATTTGATTTCTGCATAAAGTACATTCTTTTCAACATTGCTATTTAACAAGTCTCTTCTGTTAGTCCAGAAAAATGGCAATAGTTTTATCTTCTAAAGTATTTTTCAATTTCTCTTCTTTAGTTTCTCTGTAGTAGTTATGGGATTACACAATTGCTCAAATGGAAGCTCAATAGAACTATCATTTTTAAGATAGTATTTATGAATTTATTTTTAAGTGAATTTTATTTTCTTCAATCTCTAGATAACATGAAGACAGCATTTCAATTGCTGATGTTTAACAAGTCCCCAGTAACTCCAACTGTAGTTGTAGTAAGAGCAGTTGTGTAAACACATGGAGACATTTGAAATTCAGTTTATTTCTGTATAGCTGGGGCTGAATTTACTCTAAATAATTAATATATTTATCTAAACAAATGTCAGTTTAAAAAGAGCTGTCTTAAAATAATTTCCTCTCCTGGGTGACTTAAAAGAGGCAATCTAGGAGAAAACTACATTCTTTTCTTCTGTCAACCATGCTATGGATCCTTAGGGACCTGGGTTTTCTTTTAGGGAATCAAAATCTTACACCTATTAAAGGCAAAACATGGCTGGGCATGGTGGCTCACGCCCGTAATCCCAGCACTTTGGGAGGCCAAGGTGGAAAGATTGCTTGAGCTCAGGATTTCAAGACCACCCTGGGCAACAAAGTGAGACCCTGTCTCTACAAAAAACCCAAAATATTAGCTGAGTGTAGTGGTGCATGCCTGTGATCCCATCTACTCAGGAGGCTGAGGAAGGAGGATAGCTTGAGCCCCGAATGTCGAGGCTGCAGTGAGCTATAATTTTGCCACCGCACTCCAGCCTATGGGAACAGAGCAAGACCCTGTATCAAATTACAAAAAAAAAAAAAAAAGGCAAAACATACCTTTAAAATAAAGGGGGGAAAATCTACCTATAATCTACTTTAAGTCTTCTGTGAAGTAGTATTGCACACTGATAGCTAAGATTGAGATTTCACTGTGGAGGGCAATAGAAAAAAGCAGGTAACAATTTTTTTTCACATTCACGGTCTGTTTCTAACATATACATGCCTTCTTTTGAGGGATCTTTGTCTTAATGTTAGCAACTACTACAGTTTGTGTCCCTGCAGGTGCCCAAGAAATGTTGAGTGAATTAAATTTCATTTTGAACCCAGAGATACTAATTAAACTGATTTTAAGTGATGTTTTAAAGATGAAAAAGGGCCAATGACTATATATTTCTCCACAAACGATGAATAAAATAGTTTTCAGAAAGTTTGGAGTGTGTGCTTAAAACTATATTTGGGGGGTGGCCTGATTTTTAAAATTTCCTGTAACCACATTTTGGATTATTTCAAGGTCCAATGTGATACAAAAGTTGGAGAAATTGAAAATAAATTTTATAAAAATTATAATGAAGAAATATACAGCATAGAAGAATAAAAGGGAAACAATAAAGGGTTAAAAGTACAGATTCCAGAGCTGTCCAGTTCAGCAGCCACTAGCCACATGTGGCTATTGAGCATTTGAAATATGGCTAGCATGGACTGAGATGCATTGTGAGTATAAAGTACACAATGGATTTAACATGATTTAGTATAAAGAAAAGTCTGTGAAATCTCTCTCTTTCTGTTTTCCCCCCATCAGAACTCTACTTTTGCATTCAGACAGGCAGGGGATGCCTCATCCTTTGAATACTGGCACATTAAGAGCAGTGACATAGGTAAGAACTGAACCCAAGCACTATAAGAGAGGATGTTAAGCAAGATCTAAAAATCAACGTGATCAACAAGAGCAGTAATCTTTTCTTTTCCAAGAAAAAAGAATGGAAGAAACAGAAGGTACTGGGCGCAATGTATTAAACACTGTGTTTTGAATGACTCGAGATTCTACGACTGCCTGGAGGGGTTTTGCTGGATCGGTGCAATGTCATGTGATTATTGGAAATTAATCCCTTTTTTCAAGAATTTTTCAAGAATTAGGTTAAGTTAGATTTGAGCAAACTTAATTACCTTGCCAGGCATTTGTTTTTCAGAAACATAATAATCTATGTATTTGATTCAATTAGTAGTAGGCCCATGGGTTGTTCTGTAAATCACAAGTATGAAATACAGACTCTAAAATTCATTTATTGAGCAATTACCATCTTCTGGGCAATGACCTTGTGAGAGGAATACCATTATGCCTATTTTACTAATATGAGAAATAAACCAAAAAGAGGTTAAGTAACCTGTCCAAAGAAATACACCAAGAAGTGGGGGAGCTGATTTGTACCCACAAATGGTTCTTCATTAATTCTCTTTCAGCTGGGAAAGATAATTTCAAATGTTAGCATATGTCCTGATTTTATCTTGTGTACATCATATTAAAACCCAGAAGGACTGGTTGGCCAATCGACATCATCCTTCAAACTTTTCTCCCTCTCTCCCTTCACTCAATCTAGTCAACAATTAGAAGACAGAATCGAAGTGTGATTTGTTGATACCCAAAAAAGACTATGATGACTGAAGGAAATGTAGAGTACTCTAGATCACAAAAAATAATTCCTGCATGGTGATGGTGAGGGTTCAGTTCTCGTTCTCCCCATCACAATTCTATGTATATATGCCATGAGGACAAACACTTGCAAATATAGGCAAACTGCTGATTGTGGGAGGGTGGGGCAGAGTGCAGAATGAATCAGCTATTAAGATAAATCATCTATTCAACTGTTAACCCCAGGCAAGCACAAAACCCACAGAATATTATGAAAGAATATTCTCAAGCACTAGGTGTTTTTAGGAATTCTAGAAACAAAGACTGAGATAGCACTTGTTACAGACTATTTTTTTTAGAGCAGTTTTAGGTTCACAGCAAAACTGAAAGGTACATAGATGGCTGGGGGCAGTGGCTCACACCTGTAATCCCAGCACTTTGGGAGGTAGAGGCGGGCACATCACTTGAGGCCAGGAGTTCGAGACCAGCTTGGCCAACATGGCAAAACTCCCTCTCTACTAAAAACACAAAAATTCGGCGGGCGATAGTGGCATGTGCCTGTAATCCCAGCTACTCGGGAGGCTGAGGCAGGAGAATTGCTTGAACCCAGGGAGGGGGAGGTTACAGTGAGCCGAGATCGCACCACTGCACCCCAGCCTGGATGATACAGAGATTTCCCATATACCCACTACCCCATTCAGGAACAGCCTCCCCTACTACCAACATCCCCCATTGGAGTGGTACGTTTGTTACAATCAATGAACTTGTACTGACATATCATTATCACCCAAATATTATTAAACAATCTCTCCTTTTCTTACTTTTTTTGTGGTTATTAGAAAATTTAAAATTACACATATGTGGCTTGCATTATATTTATCCTGGACAATGTTGCTCTAGAATCAACCTGCCTGGGTGTTAAATCCTCCACAAACCTGAGGTATGACCTTAAACAGTTAACATAACCATGTCTCAGTTTCCTTATCTGCACAATGGGCTTAAAGACAATACTTTAAAGCAGCGGTCCCCAACCTTTTTGGCACCAGGGATCACATTTCTTGGAAGACAATTTTTCCTCGGAACAGGAGTGGGGGTGGGTAGATGGTTTCGGGATGAAATTGTTCCATCTCAGATTCTCATTAAGGAGTGCCCAACGTAGATCCCTCGCATGCGCAGTTCACAATAGGGTTCCTGTTCCCGCTCCTATGAGAATCTAATGCCACCACTGATCTGAGATGGGACAGAGCTCTGTTGGTAATGCTCCTGCGCCATGCTCACCTCCTGCTGTGCAGCCCACTTCCCTTCTGTGGCCCAGTGGTTGGGGACCCCTGCTTTAAAGGATTAAGAGCATTTCTTAGACATACTGATGTTGGCATGTGCCAATGTTCAGTAATAATAGCAAGGGTACCAGCAAAATGATCAAAGAGTGAGCCTATTCCGAGACAGAACAGAACTGGAAGTGGGATATAGTTGAAAAATGGAAGGATCACTAGAGCAGTTTATTAAAACACACACAAACAAAAACAATACAAAGCAAGCAGATAGCTAGTTAGTGTTTAAAGTTACATTTTCCAGGGTCATAAAAGCATCATTCCTATATCAGTTGTTACAGAGGAAATCTGGAGGAAATAGTGGCAGATTGCAGGTATGCTGACCATTGACTGAAAATAAAAATAAATACATCTACAAAGCAAGGACAATGATACATCTGTGGTTGTTAACTGGAGTCTTAGGCTTTCATCCCCCAGCTTTGCTGAGGATGCAGAAACTGAGTTAAGCCAACATCAGAGGCAGAGCACCGAGCAACAAAATCTGACTTTAAACAGATTGTTGCCAGTGATTTTCTCAAACCATAAGTAAAACACAGAATCTATAGTTTGCCCATTTTTTGTTTTGAGGCAAAAAGTTTTAATTTTATACCCATAAGGTTGTGAGAATTAAATAAAATATCACATCTATTATATTTACATGCATTAATAATAGCTTATTGGGAATATTATTATGGGAAAGTCATGAGGATAAAAAAGTTATAGTTTAGTTTCACCATGTTTAAAATCATAATAATACGGCTGGGCGTGGTGGCTCATGCTTGTAATCCCAGAACTTTGGGAAGGCCAAGGCGGGTGGATCACGAGGTCAGGAGATCGAGACCAGCCTGGCCAACATGATGAAACTCCGTCTGTACTAAAAATACAAAAAAATTAGCTGGGCATGGTGGTGCGCACCTGTAGTCCCAGCTACTCGGGAAGCTGAGGCAGGAGAATCTCTTGAACCTAGGAGGCAAAGGTTGCAGTGACCCAAGATTGTGCCACTGCACTCCCGCCTGGCAACAGAGTAAGACTCCATCTCAAAATAAAAATAAAAAAAATAATAATAATAATTGTGAATTACATCAAAATTGGAATTATTAAAATACAATCAGATTCAGACATTAATTTTTTCTTAGAGTCAGGGTCCCATTCTGTCACCCAGGCTGGAGTGAAGTGGCATGCTCATGGCTCACTGCAGCCTTGAACTCCTGGGCTCAAGTGATTCTCACATCTCAGTCTCCTGAGTAGCTGGGACTACAGGCATGTGCCATCACTCCTGACTAAGTTTTTCTATTTTTAGTAGAGACAGGGTCTCACTTTGTTGGCCAGGCTGGTCTCAAACTCCTGGCCTGAAGTGATCCTTCTGTCTTAGCCTCCCAAAGTGCTGGGATTCCAGGAGTAAGCCACCACACCCAACCTCAGAAAGAGTAATTTTAAGAAAAAAATTAATGTAGAAATCACTGTTGATTTAAAATATGGAGCATTTCAAGATTGGAGAGTCATAAACTAATTTGGAACTATTTAATACTTTTTACATTTGCTAGTAGCAGTGACAGCAGAAAATACATTTCCAAGTGGTAGAATTTAAAATTAATGTAAATCCAAAGAGCTAAGATATGAATGGAGAGGAAGAAAATGAGTGATTTTCTTATGGATAAAATGTGACTATCATTAAAAAATAGAGTGGGTGAATGAATAATAAATTAACTAGAATATTGAGATAAGGAAAAGTAATATTGAGACTTCTTAGGAAAGTAATTAACACTGTTAACTGTCAGTGTAGAATAACTTCAGGAGTGGCTAATAGGCCTACAGAGAGGGTCTCATCCCTGAGAACCCTCCCCAGTACACAGGGACAAGCTCAGGCAGAACCTGATCCCTTAGGCAGAACTGATTGGTTCAGAGAAGGACATGTGGCCTAAGTGAGGCCAATAAGATTCTATCTCAGGATTTTGGAATTTGGAGCTGAGCAATACAGAAACTAGGAGTCAGAGTCATATGAATGGCAGTGTTCTTGAGAGAAGGTCTATGGATCTAGAATTTATTGTTGAGGATCTTGGACTCACCTTGACTCCTGGTTCAACGACAGGCATAACTGTGTCTGGTACTGTGCTCTTTCTAATACTGCTCTCCTGCTTCCTCTCCTCAACTCCCTTTAGGCTCAAGCTAGCATGTTTAAGTTTCTGTTATTTAAAACCATAAATAATATTTCAAAACAAGTCACTTGAGGTAATATTTATACAGTAGCAAGAAAAAAATTACTACTTTGATGTTTTCAATAAAATTCTACATACTAAATGTAAATTTTCTATAAAATTTATTTAAGTATGAATGATGAAGCTCTGAAAATTCCAGGAGAGATATATGCAGATATCAGGGAAGTAATAATAGCTGTCAATAAAGAGGAAGAACATGAATTTTCCATTTGGTTTTACGGATTACGTGATGCTTATGTTTCTCATTTTGCAAACGGAAGATTGATGGAAACTGTCAAAATCTAGCCCAGGCCCATAGGCTGTTGTCTGAGAACTATTAAACCATAGAGGCTCTGAAACACAGAACGTATTTATCTTTTTGTCTTTTGGCTATTCAATAAACTCATTTTTACAAATGGAATTGAGGTCAGGGGAAATTGATTGCCTCAAGGTCAGGAGGGCAATTTTAGGCAAGGCTGCTTCTAGAACCCTGTCTAATGCTCTTTGGAAATAAACACATTGTTAAAGAAATGTCTCCTGAAGATTGGAAGCATAATGAATAAAACAAGGTAGCCTAGTCATTACAGATAGCTTATTGGTAATCAAAGCTTGCCTTGTTGTGTTGTAAATGTTTAGATTGTAACTGTCTAAACATTTCATTGATATTTTTTGAAGCATGGGAGATATTAATTTATTCACTTATGAGTCACTGTGGATGTAAAAAAACAAATAAATGAAATTACTTCATAATGTTAAATACTACAACATAACAATTTGATGTTCTTTTTTAAGATTTCATAGTGAATGTGATTAGGCAGCAATATATTATGCTAAAATTTTCATCTCAGAAATAGTTTCATTAGCCTAGAATTTGTGGGTTGGGACATTGTAATTATTATTCCATAAGTAAGAAGATACTATCTCTAATGCACAAGACTTTGGATATAAAAGAGAAGCACACATTTTATTGTTCCTATTAAAACTGTGCATGGGACATCTATGGAAGGTCTGTTCCACCCTTTGACTGTGGGAAAATTTCTACTCTATATTCTTCTCTATAAATGATAATGAAATTAAATGAATGTAGATATTCTGCCACCCTGCAATCTTTACTAACTTTGAAGTTTTCATTTTGTTTACTAAATAAAGAAAACTAATATATTAACCACCTGTGTCAAAGAAAAGTAGAATCAGTTTTTTATAATGAGTACATATTATTATTATTATTATTTTGTATTTTTGAGACGGAGTTTCGCTCTTGTTGCCCAGGCTGTAGTGCAATGGCACAATCTTGGCTCACTGCAACCTCTCCCTCCTGGGTTCAAGCTATTCTCCTGCCTCAGCCTCCTGAGTAGCTGGGATTACAGGTGCCTGCCACCACGCCCAGCTAATTTTTTGTATTTTTTGTAGAGATGGGGTTCACCATGTTGGCCAGGCTGGTTTCAAATTCCTGACCTCAGGTGATCCACCCAACTCAGACTCCCAAACTGCTGGGATTACAGGCGTCAGCCACAGCGCCCAGCCGAGTACATGTTATTTTTATAAATGAGAGAAAATGCATTTTACTGTTAGAATAAGTGGAATCAAGTCATGATAATGTTTTTCACTCCTGTTGGTAACTTTTCAGCCCTATATTTAGGTTAAGCTTGCTATATCATATTTATTCATTTATTTTGTTTTGTTTTGTTTGCTGTGTCATATATAGATATGTTTTGTTTTCAAAACGAAAACAAAAAAATGCCTTTTTTTCTCATTGTAAAAGTAATACAGAGATTTCCAGTTCCAAGACAGTTCCAGTTGCACGTCTCCCTATTCTTCTGCTAAGTATAGCTAAAAATCCTGGACAGTATATGTAAAATAAATATAAGGGGACTCTGGAAGGTAGAAATAAGGCAGATTGGCTATTTACCTTAAAAAACATGCTAGCAAATTCCTTGGGATTTCTTTTTGTTTCATATATCCCAGACTACGTACTGGCAATACAGGCAACCTAGAAATGCCAGGGGGTTCATGTAACACTCCCCCATCCCTACCCCAAGCCTGCTGTCTCTAGACAAAGGACCAGGAAAGGAACAGCCTGGTAAGGCAGAAAACATTTAGTTAATAACCACATATGCAGAAAAGTTACCATGGGAGGCCTAAGCCTGCCATCCTTAGAAATTCTTGCTTGCAAGATTGGTCTTTGGCTGGCATCTGGGAACATCCTACAGTTCCTATACAGATATGAAACTTTCCCCAAATGATAAGAATGGCTCACTGAGACTAGACTGTTGGCAAACAATGTAGCTTCTGCTGCACAGCTGCTTTCCTTCTGAGAGTCTGCAGTTTTGATAGGTGCAAGACAGTGGGTATCTACATGATGACATAGTTTGTCTGTGTCCCCATCCAAATCTTATCTTGAATTGTAATTCCCATAATTCCCACATGTCAAGGGAGGGTCCTGGTAGGAGGTGATTGGATCATCGGAGTGGTTTCCCCCATGCTGCTCTCATGATTGTGAGTGAGTTCTCATGAGATCTGATGATTTTCTAAGTGTCTGAATTTCCCCTGCTTGCACATACTCTCCTGCTGCCATGTGAAGAAAGTCTTTGCTTCCCCTTTACCTTCTGCCATGATTGTAAGTTTCCTGAGGCCAACCCAGACATGTGGAACTGTGAGTCAATTACACCTCTTTCCTTTATAAACTACCCAGTCTTGGGCAGTTCTTTATAGCAGCAGTGAAAGGGACTAATACAATAATCAACTGTCCCCAAAACCTAGGGCACTGATTCTCTAATAATCTTCCTTTGTAGACACAATTCATGCCTGTTGTCACAGTTCCCTGTTAACAAAATTAAGTGTGCTCTGTATAATTTCCCTTGGAGAGAATCCTTAGAATCTTGGGCCTGGTTTCCTCCAGACTTCATTCCACGAGGCTATTCCTTTTGCTCATTTTATTTGTGACAGGAACTATACGCTGAGTCCTGTGAGTCCTCCTAATGAAACGCTGAACCTGGGAGTGTTCTTGGAGACCTCTGACACACTGCCATACTCCAACCAAATATCACAGAAAAAGGAGTGTTCCCACCCCCACCGATCAGTAGTAGCTGACTGGGAAGCCTAGACTTTCACCCTTGATGGACTATAGGGTCCTCTAAACCCCCACCAGGCTGGTTTCAGAGAAGGCTGAGTGGGAAGCCCAACTTTCACCATCTTCCAGTGGTAATGAGTCCCCCACACACCCTCCAAAGTGTCATTGGAGGCCACGTGAGGATATGACAGTGAAACAGCAAAAGAACTAACATAACTAATCCATTTTTTAAGGGGCCTTTACTCATTCCTGCATGTAGGCTAGGATAATTTTAGAACACTGAGATAATATGCAAAAACAGCAATCATGTAGTTTTAAAAATGAACTCTAGGATTAAAGGAGAAGTATGTAAACAGCTAACTATATTTTGTTAAAGATTTATAGGAACATTTTCACATGACAAAGAAGTTCCCAACCACTGTGGACCCTCACTGGTGCCGAGATGTCTGTGGTTATTGGTCATCTCTTGATCTCAACTCCCTCCTTGTCCCCTTACCCTTACACAAAAAGAGCCTAAAATTTGTCTTGACTTAAGATGGTACTTTAGAATGATGGTCCACCATCTTCTCAGTTAGCTGGCTATCTGAATAAATCTGCTTTTCCTTCCACCAACCATCATTTTTCATGTCTGGCTTTCAAGCAGTGAGCAGCTGAACCTAGGTTCAGTTACATGGGGCAGTAATGAGGCATCCCTCTCCCTCCCAACCAGGGTGGTATCAGTGGAGGCCTAGTGGGGAGCCTGAACTCCCAACCCTGCTCAGCAGTAATGAGATACCTTCCCCACCAACCTAGGTTGTCAAGGGAGGCCTGATGGAGAGCTTTGACTCTCTCCCTAGTCAGAGAGGTTGGAGGTGGCATCTCCCTTCTCCTAACAATTCAGTGTCAGAGGAAGCCTGCTGAAACAGAAAATTTAAATAAGATTCAGCACCAAGATAATACAGATGTTGGAATGACGTTATCCTAGCCTACATGAAGGGTTTTAAAGCAGTCATCATAAAAATGCTTCAATGAACAACTAAGAACATGCTCAAAATGAATAAAAAGTGTTAGCAAAGGAATAGAAGGTATAAAGAAAAATAGATGGAGATTTTAGAACTGAAAAATACAATATCCCAAAAAAAATCAATGGATGGAAGAATGGAGGGGACAGAAGAAAGAATGAGCCTGAAGATAGAACAAGAGAAGTTATCTAATCTGAACAATGGAGAAAAAAATGGACTGAAAAAAAATGAACTGAGGTTCAGGGACCTGTAGACTATACCAAAATATCTAACATTTGCACTGTCAGAGCCCTGGAAGGAGAGGAGAAAGAGGGTAGACCTCAAAAAGTGTTTAAAGAATTCATGTTTGAAAATTGCCCAAATTTGGCTAAAGACATAAGCTTACAGGTTAAAGAAGCTGAGTGAACCCCAAACAAGATAAACACAAATAAATCCCCATCATGACACATCATTAGTCAAACTTTTGAAAACTAAAGACAAAAGATAAAAATATTGAAAGCAGCAAAAGGGAAACAATGGCTTATGAGTAGAGTAGAAAACAATTAGAAAGTCACAGGATTTCTCATCTAAGACATTGGAGGCTAGAAGAAAGAAGCACATTTTTCAAGTGCCAAAAGAAAAGAACAGCCAGCCCAGAATTCTGTATGCAGTGAAAATATGCGTCAGGAATAAAGCGGAAATCAAGACATTCTCAAATGAAGGAAGACTAAGAGCTTTTGTTGCTAGCAGACCTACTGTGATGGTTAATTTTAGATGTCAATCTGACTTGATTAAGGAATACCTAGAAACCTGGTAAAGCATTATTTTTGGGTGTGTCTGTGAAGATGCTTCCAGCAAAGATTAGTGTGTGGGTCTGAGTGGACTAGCTGGGGGAGATCCACCCGCAATGTGGGCAGGCACCATCCAATCTGCTAGGGGTTCAGAAAGAACAAAAACAGAGAAAAGGTGAATGTGTCACTCTATCTGCCAGAACTGGGATGCACTTTTTCCTTTCTTGTCCTAGGAAAACAACTCCAGGCTCCCCAGCCTTTGAACTCTAGGACTTACACAAAAGTCACCCTCCCTCCCCAACCAACTGGGTTCTCAGACCTTTGTCCTTGGACTCGGAGTTACATCACTGACTTCCCTGGTTCTGCAGCCTTGGAGCTTAGACCCCGCCACACTACCAGCATCCCAGAGCCTCCAGTTTGCAGACGACCTGTCAAGAGATTTCTCAGCCTCCACAATTGTGTGAGCCAATCCCTCTAATAAATCCCCTTACGCTTCACTTGAACTACTAACATGTTATCGCTAATTGACTGTTTTAAGTTATGTAAATATAATGTAATACCTAGAGCAACCACTACAAAATTTACAGAGATAAACTAAAAAAAATTATACAAAGAGATACACTCAAAAACCTTGCAGACAAATCAAAATAGAATTCTAAAATAATATTCAAGAAATCAATAGAAAAACAAGAAAAAAATAGAAAAACTAAAAATAGAAGCAACAAACAGAAAACAAAATATGGGTTGGAAGACTTAAGTCTCAACAGATTACGAATTACCTTATAAACAAACAGTCTACTTTATTTCTAAAAGGCAAAACTCAGAAACAACTAAAATGCCCAGTAAGTGAATGGCTAGACAAATTGTTGTACATCCACACAGGGAATCCTACTCAGCCATAAAAAGAAATGAACTATTGATACACAAAATAGCTTGACTGGATCCCAAGGGCCTTATGATGAATGAAGAGGCTGATTTCAAAACACTTATACTGTATGATTCCATTTACATAACATTCTGGAAATGACACAATTATAGAGGTGGAAAACAGATTAGTGGCCAGTGATTAGGAGTGGTCCGAGGAATGTGGATGGATGTGAGTACAAAGAGGTAACACAAGTGCTATGTTTGTGGTGATGGAATAGTTCTTTGTGTTGATCATAGTGGTAATTACATGAATCCGCATGTGATAAAATGGCATAGAGCTATATGTACACTCATTGCATCAATGTCAATTTCCTGGTTTTGATGTACTATAGTTATATAAGATGTAATTCACTGGGGAAAACTGAGTGAAGGGTACAAATGACTTTTTGCAGAAGTTTATAATAATTAAAAATTATAATTATAAAGTAATGTATTTATAATTATAAATATAAGTATCATTATAATTATAAAATATTTATAATTATTTTTAAATAATGGTATTTTTAAATAATTGTAGATTTTAAATAATTGTAGGTTTAGATAATTGTAGATTCCCAGGAGAATCTACAATTATCTAAAAATAGAGTTTAAAAAGTCTCATAAAAGTCTCATAAAAGGCATGGTGGCTTACACCTGTAATTCCCAGCACTTTGAGAGGCCAAGATGGGTGAATTGTTTGAGTTCAAGAGTTCGAGACCAGCGTGGGCAACATGGCAAAACTCTGCCCTAGAAAACACACACACACACAAAATTAGCTGGATATGTTGGCGCGTACCTGTAGTTTAAGCTACTCGAAATGCTGATGTGGATCACCTGAGCCCAGCACGTCAAGGCTGCAGTGAGCCATGATGGTGCAGTTGCACTCCAGCCTGAGTAACGGAGCAAGATAAAAAAAAAATAACATAAACTATACATATGTGTGTATGTGTGTGTATAAAGTCTAGAAAAGCAATGATAGGCACTACAAAAAGTTAGCAGAGTTATGAACGTATCTGTGTTATTTCAATATTTTTTAAAAGAATGCCTTTATGAACTTCTCATATAAAAAAGAAATAAAAGTAATGTAAAACTGTAAAAAATTCAGATGTACATAAAAATATAAACAAGATGGAAATTGCCTGTTCTGTGATGCCACAGATAATTTCATTAATTCACCTAACAAATATTTACTGAATACATCCTATAGAGCTATGATCTATCACGATTTTAGTGTGCATTTCAGACCTTTCCTGTACCTCCAGAGTTATATACAAATTGTAATCATTCATTGATATGTATTGTTACAAGCGTAATATGTACAGCTGGCCCTCTGGATCCACAGGTTCCAAAACTACGGATTCAACCAACCTCGGGTTTGAAGTATTAGGGGAAAAACCCAAAGATAATAAGACAACAATAAAAAATAATGGAAGTAAAAGCAATACAGTATACCAACTATTTACATAGGATTTCCATTGTATTAGATATTATAAGTAATTGAGAGATGATTTAAAGTGTATGACAGGATGTGTATAGGTTATATGCAAATACTATGCTATTTTATATCAGGGACTGGAGCAGCCTTAGATTTTGTTATTTATTGGGGGCCCTAGAACCAATCCCCTACCAATACCAAAGGACAACTGTTACATCATAAGCTCTTATTACTTAACATTCATTATTCATTCATTCAGCATATATTTATTGAGCATCTATGTTAGCCAATATCATGCTAGGTTCTGAGAATGGAAAGGTGAATAAATTGTCTGTTCCTTAACAAAATTTACTGATATGGTTTGTCTTTGTGTCCCCACCCAAATCTCATCTCAAATTATAATCCCCACGTGTTGAGGGAGGGGCTTGCTGGGAGGTGATTGGATCATGGGGGTGGTTTCCTCCATGCTGTTCTCATGATAATGAGGAGCTCTCACGAGATCTGATGGTTTAAAAGGGGCAGGTTCCCCTGCGTGCACGCTCTCTCTCTCTCCTGCTGCCATGTAAGACATGCCTTGCTTCCTCTTCACCTTCTTCCATGATTGTAAGTTTCCTGAGGCCTCCCTAGCCCTGTGGAACTGTGAGTCAATTAAACCTCTTTTATTTAGAAATTACCCAGTCTCAGGTAGCATCTTTATAGCAGTGTGAAAACTAATATGCTTACAATATAGTGGGAGAGAATGTCACTAAAGAAAGAATATTTCCAAGAAGTATACAATTATAGATTATGTCAAGTTCAGACAACTGTAAACAATGTTCTGAATATCCATCTGTGAAAGGAAAGGGTGATGGCTATGATGGCAAGATACCATGGCATGTTTATTATTGATGGGAATGAGCCAGTAGAAAGAGGTTAAAAATACAAGAGCAAGAGAAGGGAATCCTGGATTTATAGAAAGCTTCCTTAGAAGGAAGAAGCCGGAGAACAAGTTAAAGGGTTGGCTTCAAATAGAAGCGAACTGCCTCAACTGAAATAAGCAAGAGTGAGGATGACTGAAAATATACCTTAGTTTGTAGATTCAGAGGTTTGAAGAATTGCCAAAATATGGGACAATGTCATCTGCCTAGAGCAAAGGAGTATATTGGAAGTTCTGAGGTTTGAAGAGAATGGAGTTTTTAAGTAGTAGTTTGGGGAAAGCATGCTGAATAGAGAAGGGCAGTAACTGGGCATGCTTCATTAAGAACCTGTATTCTGTCATGTGGGGCAGATTCTAAATATTTTCAGCTCTCTTACTGCAGGCAAGATAAAGGCAAAGGAGTAGGTATTAGAAGAGAGAGACAAACTTCTAGAGGGAACTAAATTTTTGAAGAGGATTGTCTTCCAACTGGGAAGAGAGGGAAAGCTTTTTGAGGGGAGTAGATCTGAGCTGGGCAAGAGAACACACTTGCTAGAGAAAGAAAATGGCCAGAGAGAGAAAAGGGGAGAAAAAAGTCTGGGGGAGATGGAGATAAAAGCAGAGTAGTGGGGGATTTCTGGCCTAGGTGCAGGAATGTCCTTTTATCTTCCAAAGTAAATGTGGTCACAGTAATATTAACAGTTTGTCATCTGATGTTGTGAAATTGTTTCCATATATTATTTAGACTCTCAGACCTGACAATCTATGGAGGAATTCCCAGGCATCTTTAGCTGCTACAGAGATGCATGAATGAAGGACAAGTATATTATCCTCCACACATTAGAAGAGAGGCTCCAGGGAGCAACAGGAGGCAAAAGTTCTTCTTTTCTTTTTTTTTTTTTTTTTTTTTGAGATAGTCTTGCTCTATCACCCAGGATGGAGTGCAGTGGCATGATCTTGGCTCACTACAACCTCCACCTCCCAGGCTCAAGTGATTCTCATGCCTCAGCCTCCCGAGTAGCTAGGGTTAAAGGCACATGCCACCACACCTAGCTAATTTTTTTTATTTTTAGTAAAGACTGGGTTTCACCATGTTGGCCAGGCTGGTCTTGAACTCCTGACCTCTAGTCATCTGCCTGTCTTGGCCTCCCAAAGTGCTGGGATTACAGGTGTGAGCCACACTGTGCCCGGCCAACATTTATCATTTGTGTTGAGACTATCCCAACCTTTCTCCTCTATTTTGAAATACAAAATAAATTATTGATTACTATAGTCACCCTACTGTGCTGTGGAACGCTACAACTTATTCCTTCTGTCTAACCATATTTTCGCTCCTTTTAACTTCTCTTCATCTCCTTCTCCCTCCTTATCCTTCCCAGCCTCTGGTAACCACAATTTTACTCTCTATCTCCATGGAGTCAACTTTTTTTTAGCTCCCACATATGAGCACCAAACTTCAATGTAAGACCCAAAACTATGCAGCTATTCCAAGAAAACGATTTGAGAAAATGCTTGAAAATGTTGGTCTGGGCAATGATTTTTTTTTTTTTTTTAATTAAGACTTTCTGAAGAAAAGGGCATACTTTTCACTGAAAAAGTTTGAGTTTTTTAAATGAGCAGATACTCATGCATTACTAGTGCAGCCAAAAATTATCAAAAGTAGGGAAGAATGCAAAATAGCGTGTGCCTCTTAACTAAAGAACTGTTAAGATACAAAACTTGGCTCTTTGCTGCCTTTCCCGCACTGCCAAGAGGGAAACATGAATTAGTTACATTGCCGTGGTGCTCACTGGGAGTTCGCTGTATGGACCAGATGGGTACTGCTCCGAATTTCCATTCAAGTCTGACATTCTTTTGTCAGCGTTTGTGTAACCGGTTTTCCTTGCATTCAGAGGAAAGACAGCATGGAAGTATGGATGGGAAGGTTGAGACGATTGGATACTGTATGGTAACCTCGATCGCAGCTCTCCTATGAGACTTGCTTCTTGGATTCTGAGTCACTTAAGCTTGCCCCTTCTCTTTCCTGACCCTCTTCCGTTTCCCCTTAGATTGGAGATTCTCCTCAGATTCTAAGTCTCTGAAATTATTAGTGTTGGCAGCCCCTGGGCCCATGGAGGGGTCTCAAGTCTTCAGTTCTCAAAGATCACCTTTTAAGCTTCATTCGGAACATGACACAGCCACACGAGTCCTAGCCCTGAATCTCACGAAGACCTCAGTACACCTGGAAAAGGCAGCACACCCAGTTACGACACTACTAGAGACGTCACACGCCTCAGCACCCATCCGCTCCCAGCCCAGAACGAGCGCACGCGCAGAACGAGAGAGCGGCCACCCAGGGATCGGCGCTATCTGCACAGCGGTTACAGTCTCGGAAAGGCCTGGCTTCTTCGTGGCTTTGTGGAGATCCCTTACAGCGGCCATTTGATTAGCACCCGAAGAGATTCAAAGGAAGCAGTTGTTCCGTCCCCAACATATTTCCGTTTCAAACCACCCACTTCCGGTTTTTCAGCCGGTTCCGGTCCCGCCCTTCACTTCCGGTCGCTTTCGGTCTCTCAGCGGCCGGTTTCTGCGTCCGCTGCCGCAGGTTCCACCGCGCTCCAGGTGAGGGGTTGCGGGGCACCCTGGCGCGCTGCCCTTGGAGACGCTGTTGGGGCTCGGGGACAGTGGCTTTGCGGCCCGCGCGGCGTGGCTTGCACTGCGGCGGGCTGGGGATAGTGTCTGTCCTAGTCTGACGCCCAGGCCCCTAGCCCCGGCCCGCTTAGTCGCGGGGGCCGCTGTCCTCCCATCCAGCAGTCTAGCCTATTTGGAGGGCTTTCTGTTTCCCAGTGGGTTTTGCGTCCCCAAACTTCATTCCTCCGTCTTCTCAGGCTTGTCCATCCCTCCCCTCAACCTCCTTGTTGAAGGCATCCCGGCCTTTTTGGTTCTGGAGCCTCCACCTGCCTCCTAATGCTCCCCTAAGTCAGTTAGCACAGCCCCCGACCCTGCACCACCTCGCAGTTGTTGCTGGTGTGCGGTTCTCGCCGGAGTTCTTAGTGCTTCACGGTTATCTTTTGCTGGGATTGTTGAAAGTTAACCTCCCGTTAATTCCCAAAGTGTTACTTTTACTGCTATACTTTAAAATTTCTTCATTTGCCACTTTTTAGGTTTGTGGTCCCGGGCAAGTTTAATTTCTTTTCAGGATTCTCATTTGTATAATGAGGACAACAGCTGTTGGTTCAGGATTGTGAAGCTTCAATGAGATAATTGTTTAGCATGTTTTTATTCCATCATGAACACCATTTGTATTGTGTTTTACAGTTTACAAAGTGCTGTCACAGGTGTTACTTCATACCTTAACACTACTCCTGTCCAGTGAATATTAGTAGCCTCATCTTGTTGAGAAGACTGAGGCCAAGAGGTGGATTGACTAGGCAAAGTCAACACAGTATGTTAGGTAGAACTCCAACCTAAACAGCTATTCTTGACCCTAGGTTGACCATATGGAAGTGTATTCTTTGCTTGCTTGTTTGGGTTTGCCAACTTCACTCCTCCCCACACCCCAAATCATTTTTCAGCTTATAAATCTGATGGGATCTGAAATGATACAAAATACTAAGAAAGAAGGTTAAATGTGAAAGCAAAATAGCTCATGCATTTATATCACACTGCTTCATTGGTGTGAACGGTCTTAATGATGAAATAAGGTTCAGTAACTTTTAAACAAATCTTAAAGACATATGCATTTACAATTTTTATGGTGTTTGTTTCGCTTGGCCCTTTAAGGCATTTGCCAACTTGGAATTTCCACTTGTGGGATAGGTGCTTCGTAACGTTTTTATGCTGCTTTATTAACCATATAGAGCCCATGCCCTCTGGCACATTTTTTTTAAGGCTGAAAACATTGAAGAGCCTGTAGTACTGACTCTCAAATTTGAGCATTCATCAGAGGTGAGGAGGACTGACCTTGTTAAAACACAGATTCCTAGGTCCCTTCTCTCCACCCCAATTACATTTCTACCAAATTACCAAGTGAGGTCAATGCTGTTCGTTAGCCCAGGGACCATGCTTTGAAAACCACTAGTCTAGAAGAGCAATCACTTGTCCAGGGTCACCTGGAACTCAGATGATTTCACTCCAAACTCTGCACTACTACGCATCACAATATATGCGATATTAGTGCTGGTTGCCTTTCTAGCTCTCGTAGGATTCCCTTTTATTCTTATGTCTTACAGAAAATATTTAAACTGTATTTCAGTTTAACTCAAAAGGTCCACTTTTAATTGAAGAATATAACATTTGTTATAGTTCTGTCTAAAATGGAATACGTTACCCTAAATTAAGACACTTGCTTTACATTTTCAGTAGAACACATTGTAAACATAGGAGTAAATATACATTTATAGTTCATATTTGTATTCATATATGAGTAAATATAAATATGAATTTATGGCTCTCTCTTCTAATTGGCCTTTTAGTAGGAGACACTGTTTTTAAATTATTTTTGGAAGTGGAGATTAAAAATTTAACCTCTTTCTTGCAGTTGGTCCTAATAGTTGCATGAAGAGTGCAATCAAATGTTTCATCAAATAAGTGAAAGCATTGGAAATACCAATACCTTGAGATTAGAAAATCCAGTTCTCTGGACTGTGGGAGGAATGAGTTTAATGAAAAATAGAAAGCTTTATGCAGGAAGAGACATATGTTTGGTTATTTACATGAGTGGCAGCCACTATATAATCTTTGTGTGCTTAGATCTGTACCCATGGGTTTTGTATTTTCTGATTGATATGGTTTGGCTGTGTCCCTACCAAAATCTCAACTTGAATTGTATCTCCCAGAATTCCCACTTATTGTGGGAGGGACCCAGTGGGAGGTAATTGAATCATGGGGGCCGATTTTTCCCGTGCTATTCTTGTGAATAAGTGAATAAGTCTCATGAGATCTGATGGATTTATCAGGGGTTTCCGCTTTTCTGTCTTCCTCATTCTCTCTTGCCACTGCCATGTAAGAAGTGCTTTTTACCTTCTGCCATGATTCTGAGGCCTCCCTAGCCATTGTGGAACTGTAAGTAGCTGGGATTACAGGCGCCCACCACCACCTCTGGCTAATTTTTTTTTGTATTTTTAGTAGAGATGGGGTTTCACCACATTGGCCAGGCTGGTCTTGAACTCCTGACCTAAGGTGATTCACCTGCCTCAGCCTCCCAAAGTTCTGGGATTACAGGCATGAGCCACTGTGGCCAGCCTTGGGTATGTCTTAGCAGCATGAAAACAGACTAATACGGTAAATTGGTACTAGTAGAGTGGGGCATTGCTGAAAAGATACCCGAAAACGTGGAAGCAACTTTGGAACTGGGTAACAGGCAGAGGTTGGAACAGTTTGGAGGGCTCAGAAGAAGACAGGAAAATGTGGGAAAGTTTGGAACTTCCTAGAGACTTGTTGAATGGCTTTGCCCAAAATTCTGATAGCTATATGAACCATAAGGTCCAGGCTGAGGTGGTCTCAGATGGAAATGAGGAACTTGTTGGGAACTGGAGTAAAAGTGACTCTTGTTATGTATTAGCAAAGGTACTGGCAACATTTTGCCCCTGCCCTAGAGATTTGTGGAACTTTGAACTTCAGAAAGATGATTTAGGGTATCTGGCAGAAGAAATTTCTAAGCAGCAAAGCACTCAAGAGGTGATTTGGGTACTGTTAAAGGCACTCAGTTTTATAAGGGAAGCAGAGCATAGAAGTTTGGAAAATTAGCAGCCTGACTATGCAGTAGAAAAGAAAAACGCATTTTCTGTGGAGAAATTCAAGCTGGCTGCAGAAATCTGCGTAAGTATCAAGGAGCCTAATGTTAATCCCCTAGACCGTGGGGAAAATGTCTCCAGGCTATGTCAAAGACCTTCATGGCAGCCCCTCCCAGCACAGGCCCGGAGGCCCAGGAAGGAAAAAAGGTTTCGTGGGCCCGGCCCAGGGTCCCCGCGCTGTGTGCAGCCTAGGGACTTGGTGCCCTGTATCCCAGCCACTCCAGCCATGGCTGAAAGGGGCCAACTTACAGCTTGGGCTGTGGCTTCAGAGGGTGGAAGCCTCAAGCCTTGGTAGCTTCCATATGGTGTTGAGCCTGTGGGTACACAGAAGTCAAGAATTGAGGTTTGGGAACCTGTGCCTAGATTTCAGAAGATATATGGAAACTCTTGGACGCCCTGGCAAAAGTTTGCTGCAGGGGTGGGGCCCTCATGGGGAACTTCTGCTAGGACAGTGTGGAAGGGAATTGTGGGGTCAGAGCCCCCATACAGAGTCCCTACTGGGGCACTGCCTAGTGGAGCTGAGAGAAGAGGGCCACCACCCTCCAGGCCCCAGAATGGCAGATCTGACAACAGCTTGTACTGTGTGCCTGGAAAATCCACAGACACTCAATGCCAGCCCGTGAAAGCAGCTGGGAGGGAGGGTTTACCTTGCAAAGCCACAGGGGTGGAGCTATCCAAGACCATAGGAACCCACCTCTTGCATCAGTGTGACCTGGATGTGAGATCTGGAGTCAAAGGAGATCATTTCGGAGCTTTAACATTTGACTGCCCCGCTGGATTTCGGACTTGCATGGGCCCTGTAACCCCTTTGTTTTGGCCAATTTCTCCCATTTGGAATGGCTATATTTACTCAATACCTGTACCCCCATTATACCTAGGAAGTAAATAGCTTTCTTTTGATTTTACAGGCTCATAGGCAGAAAGGACTTAACTTGTCTTAGATGAGACTTTGGACTGTGGACTTTTGAGTTAATGCTGAAATGAATTAAGACTTTGGGGGACTGTTGGGAAGGCATGATTGGTTTTGAAATGTGAGGACATGAGATTTGGAGGGGCCAGGGGCAGAATGGTACAGTTTGACTGTGTGCCCACCAAAATCTCAACTTGAATGATATCTCCCATAATTCCTATGTGTTATGAGAGGGACCCAGGGGAAGGTAATTGAATCTTGGGGGGTGGTCTTTCCCATGCTATTCTCATGACAATGAATAAGTCTCATGAGATCTGATGGGTTTATCAGGGGTTTCCGCTTTTGCTTCTTCCTCATTCTGTCTTGCCACTGCCATGTAAGAAGTGCTTTTTGCCTTCCACCATGATTCTGAGGCCTCCCCAGCCATTCTGCAACTGTAAAGTCCAATTAAACCTCTTTCTCTTCCCAGTCTTGGGTATGTCTTTATTGGCAGTGTGAAAACAGACTAATACACTGATCTTTGATGCCTTAACTCTTGTATGTTCAACTGAAGAGATACAATTGTGGAGGAGAAGAAACATAAGATTTAGTCAGAAGACCTGTTCTGTAACTAGCTATGTGTCTATGTACAGATTGTATAGCCTCTCAAAACTCCTGTTTCCTTAATTGTAAAAGAGGGAAAACTTACCAAATTACTTTCTCTAATGAGATTGTGTAAAAACTTCAATTCATAAAATATGAAACAAAGAATGGCTATTTACTATTTATTTAGCACAGTGCCTGCCTGGAACATAGTAAGCTTTTAGTTTAAAAAGATTTTTGTTTAACCAATACTTAATTTATGTAGTGTTTACTAGGTGCCAGGCACTATGTACCTTGTAAATGTTAATTAAGTTAATCCTCATAAAAGCCCTAAGAAGTAGGTAGTATCATCATCCCTATTTTACAGATGAGGAAACCTAGACACTGAGAGTCAAGTAACTTCTCAAAGTCAGATGGCTAAGTGGGAGAGATCTGGGATCTGAACCCAGGTCATCTGGCTCTAGAATCTGTGTTCTTAACTACACCACACTACCTTTCAAATGTTAAATGAACATGGATGGTCTGTCAGGGAAGGACTTGCTTGTAGCATCAACCTGACCAAATAGAACAGGAGGAATGGTAGCTCATAATTGCACATTTCCAGTTGAACAGTGAGACTCAGAGTATTAGAAAGTAGTAACTCTAAGCCAAAAATTAGGAGTGTGGGGGAATTTAACTTTGAGTCCTAGTATCTTTTGGTGTTCTGGTAGCACTCCTGTATGGACAAAAATCCTCTCTATCATAAGTTGTAAAATAAGGCTTAAACTGTACACATAAAACTTAAAAGTTTGGCTTCAATAAACAGTATCTATTTTAACTTGTTCATTTTTGTCTTCCTTTCCAGGTATTTTTTTTTCTGAAGGAAAGCTGCTTCCTCATATGTTTCAAGAATGGCTCTCCCTATCATTGTAAAATGGGGTGGACAGGAGTATTCAGTGACCACACTTTCAGAAGATGATACTGTGCTCGATCTCAAACAGTTTCTCAAGACCCTTACAGGAGTTCTTCCAGAACGCCAAAAGTTACTTGGACTCAAAGTTAAAGGTAATTCTCTCCCCTCTTCAGATTTTTTGCATTGAATTTTTAGTATTATGAATTTTAATAATTATTTTGAATATAATTGTTTAATAATTTATACTTGCTATTTGTAGTTTAGTAAGTCTCTCCCTTTCGAGATTTCTCTGGTAGAAATATTCTTAAAATTGTTTTAGTGGTAAAAGTAAGAATATTAAAGTGTTCTCGAAAATACCATGATTATTAAGATTACTTTTGATGTTTTAGACAGTCAGTATTTGCTTGTTAAACCTTTGGCACAGAAGTCCCGGATGAAACTCATTTATTTTCTGACATCTACCTTTTAGCACAGTGTTTCGTTGTAACGAGGGCCTCGTACTCTTCCCAAATTATCTTTTCTGTTTCAAAAGTAAAGACAACATTTAAAAATTACAGGCAGCATTCATATCCAGTTTAAAAGGGATTTTTTTTATGGTGTTTTGTGATTATCATATTGAAGAGTGAGTTTTGAGTAACAGTAAATCTGCAGTTTTCTTAGGCACTCAATTTTTAAGGCTTCCTGGAAAACAGTAATATTCATCTTGAACAACAGAATAAAACATGAATTAATTTTGTTTAGGTAGTTGAATAAAGGTGTTCATCTAACATAGAATTGGGGAGAAAATAACCCTTGTATTAATTTTGACTTCTTCGTGTCTTAGATATGACTAATTCAGCAGAAACAATTTGTTAATGTAGGAAAAAACAAAACAACAAAAATTGCTGTGACATCTGTACCAAACCTTTTAATGTTAGGGTTTTATATAATGGAATAGTGAAACCAGCACCTGAACTTTAGTGAGAAAACAGTCATTTGCTTGTATTGTAGGCAAACCTGCAGAAAATGATGTTAAGCTTGGAGCTCTCAAACTGAAACCAAATACTAAAATCATGATGATGGGAACTCGTGAGGAGAGCTTGGTAAATGTTTACTTTTTGTTACCATTTGTCCATTTGAAGATATTATGATTTATACTACACTGTTGTATTATAGTTTTAATTGTGGTAAAATTGTCAGTCTAGCAATCAATGAAAAATAAAACCCGCACCGTGAATGTGTTATTAACTGTATAAGTATAGTAGTAGCACAAATGATCAAATTTAATATGGTAAATCTGCCCAGGAAACATACATAACGAATTATTAATTGTGGAAATTTTCCAGTATGGGCTTAAAAGACTCTGGAACTCAAATTGTATCTCTCATTTTATTTTTATGCTATGCATGTATTTGTTATATTAAGGATAATATGGTAGAACAAAACTTTTTCCATCTTAATAGGAAGATGTCTTAGGTCCACCCCCTGACAATGATGATGTTGTTAATGACTTTGATATTGAAGATGAAGTAGTTGAAGTAGAAAATAGGTAAGTGCTTTTCGCTTTAGAAGTAATCAGTTGTCATGTGAGAACAAGTGAATATTTTATCTAATTATATGTTTTCCATTAGGGAAGAAAACCTACTGAAAATTTCTCGCAGAGTGAAAGAGTACAAAGTGGAAATTTTGAATCCTCCCAGGGAAGGGAAAAAGCTTTTGGTGCTAGATGTTGATTATACATTATTTGGTAAGTCAGTTAAGAATGCTTTTCATTTTCTGTTACCCACAACAACTCTTTTTTTCTTTTCTTTGTTTTTTTTTTTTCTTAGCAACTCATGGTTCTCGTGAAATACTTGAAAACTTTTCTTATTACAAAAGTAAATTGCTCATTGTAAAAAATACAGATAAGCAAAAAAAAAAGTCATCTGTAATCCTGATACCCAAAGATGACCACTCTTAGTAATTTGATATATATCTTTTAGACTGTTTGTATGGATCTCCTCTAAATCTTTTATTTAATAACACATTGAACATCTTCTCAGTAAAATATTGTTTATTATGAATGATATATATATATGTGTGTGTGTGTATATATATTTTTTTATTTTTTTGGCCAGAAAGTATTCTAGTTTATGGATGCATCATCATTTAACCATGTTATTCCCTGTTGATTATAAATAATTTTTTATAAGGAATATTTTAAAAATTATGTTTGATATTTTATCACTAGTTTTCTGTTTAGTTATATTCAAGCAGATTCTTGAATTTAAAATTTCTCATGTAGGCCAGGTGCAGTGGCTCACATATGTATCCTGGCACTTTGGAAGGCTGAGGTGGGAGGATTGCTTGAGCTCAGGAGTTGGAAATCAACCTGGGCAACAGAGCAAGACCTCATCTCTAATAAAAACTAAAAATACTCGCTGGATGTGGTGGTATGCACCTAGTCCCAGCTACTTTAGGAGGCTGAGGTGGGAGGATCACTTGAGCCCGGATTAAGACTGCAGTGAGCTATGGAGTGCCACTGCACTCCAACCTGGGTGACAGAGTAAGACCCTGTCTCAAAAAAAAAGAAAGAAAAAAATGTTTTGTGTTCATTGAAAAAGAAAGATGTTCCTTTTATGTCTAATGTTGGCAAGAAATAGTTAACTTCTGATACTGGAATTTATTTCTAACCCTAAACCTAAAACATAAGTTAATGTACAGTTTTTAAAAATTTAATTAATTGGTTAATTGGCCTGTCATTTTGATGAAATGTGATTATATCTGCAAGGTAGATGACTAAAGGTGAGTATAAGTGGACATAGTTTGTTTTTCATTATTAAAAAATAACATCTAAACTTTAGAGACTAGGTGAGAAAAAAATTTTCAGTTTACTACTTAAGCCTGAATTTTCAGTATTGCTTTTTGCAAATTGAACAAAATTGATCGACTAAAATTGGATCTTAAGGATTTTAAATTGTGTTTTGAAAGACATCTTTTTGTCAGCCAACGTAATTCAGTCTGAAGCAGTTTGCAATGAAATGTTTATGTTTGCATTTCGTAATATATTACATTTAATAATAATTGGTATTAGGTACTTGTTCATGATGGTAAACTAATAATTATTTATGATCAATTTTCTTTTAGACCACAGGTCTTGTGCAGAGACTGGGGTAGAATTAATGCGGCCATATCTTCATGAATTTCTAACATCTGCCTATGAAGATTATGACATTGTTATTTGGTGTAAGCTGTATTTTTTTGTTTAGATTTCCGTGGAAATAGGTTGTTCCATATATTATTGTGCTGTATAAAATGTGACTTAAAATGACCTGTGTTTAAATATGAAATAGTTTTCATTTTTTAGCAAATTTCTAAAATGAAGCATGTATCACAATATAAACTTAAACATATATTGGCCAAATACCAGTGAGATAGTTAATTTAACTATAGGACATGAGTACATTATAGTGTAAGAATAAAAATGACTAATTTTCCCAATGACCCCACCTTGATTTGAAGTTTTTCCTTCTGATTTTTTTTTTTTTTAACTAGGCACATATCTTTAGGGTCTCGCTGTGTTGCCCAGACTGGTTTTGAACTCCTGGGCTCAAGTGATCCTCCTGCCTTGGCCTCCCAAAGTGCTGGATTACAGGCATAAGCCAATGTGCCCAGCCTTTCCTTCTGATCTTTGCTGTGAAATTCTTGATGCTTCAGAATATTTTTCTTTTCTCCTTTTTTCCTGACTCCAGTTTTAAAATACTTGGAAAAAGGTGTTTAAAACAAAATCACAGTGATATAGTTCTCTGGAAATAAAGGCAACTTGAATTACTTAAGGAAAAATTAATATGTGGACTAAAGCCAGTGACATTGAAATTGTGGTCTGCGGACCATTTCAAGAATGTACAGGTCTGTGATAAGATACTGAGTTTGTTCCAAGAAGTAAATATACTGTAATCGTAAGCACACTATTCAGTTCAATTAACGTTTTTTGGTAGCAAGATTTTCTTGGAAAATGAAGCAATGCATTGATTTACATCCCTCCTCCCCACAAATATTTAAAGTTGCCTCTTGGCAATGTCATAAGCAGAGAAGAGTTATCCTGACTGAATTAAATGAAGTCCCATCAAGTAAAGGTGCTACATTTCATTGTACTAGGTCTTTGAGAGAAATTATGTTAGTTGTTGCAGTCTGTAAATTCATTTTGTATTTTTCCTTATAATCAGAGTACTTCCGTTGTTTGTGATATGTGAGTTCCATGTGAGTTCACAGCTGTTAAGATTAAAATTATTGTCAAAATATATAATTTTCTGGTTTAGTAAGATAAGGTGAAGAAAGCTTGCTGGTTTGTTTAGCAACTTTGACATCTAAGATGATATTTGAGAAAAAAGTTTATCCTTTAAATGTTATTAAACTAGACTTATAAAATTTGAGAACCTTTTACAATAGTATATTTAAATTATTTTTATAAACTGTGATATTTTGTGGTAGTTCATTGAAAAGAGTACTTCACTTTGGAGCTAAATAGACTAGGATTTTAATTCTGGCTCTGTTCTTACTGTGTGACACTGGACAGGTCACTTAATCTTTCTGAGCCTTAGTTCCCTCACTTGAGAAATGAAGATATCTAAATACATATTACAGGTTAGTTGTAAGAATAGAAGTATCAATATAGCAACTAGTACTATGTCTGACATATAGTTACTTAATAATTAGAAACTTTTTATTAGCTGTGGGTCTTTTTGTTTTTCGTCTGATAATTACAGATACAAAGTAAGTACCGGATTAAAATTTTTTTCTATCTTATGATTATTTTCATTGGAGATACAATAGTCTTTAAAATTTTAGCTCAACTGACCAGTTTTGTACGTGTAAGGTGATTCTTCTGTTTTTTTGTATGTGTGCATGCTGAAGATTTTTTATTTTGAGAACTCAGGTTCCTCTTTTGCTTTTAAAAATCACACACACACACACACACACACACACACACACACTTCAAATAATTAAATTGCTTTTTCTCTTTTTAAACATTTTACTTGGTTATACCTGTATAGTTTAGTCCAGTAAACCAGGAGAGCACATAAAGATGAGGATTTAATTTTAGTATTAATGATCTCAAAGCTGGTTAATGTCTGACAATGAGCAGATACATGATGCAGGTATACTTCATGAATTTGTCTCATTTCTTGTTAGAAGCTGCTAGACTCAGTGAGCTTTAATTTGCTGAGACTGACAAAATGCAGATTTTCACTGAACCTGACTAGCTGGTTTTCAACATAAACTTTTGACACATAACAATATGCTTATATTGACACTATGTATACCTGTGCATTGCCTAGAAGTAGGAACATGGAAAAAAGTGATCCAGGCACCCAAGTTTAAGTTTGGAATTGATAGAGTGTCAGGGCTGATTTAAAAAGAGAGTTTAGGTCTTGATTTATAAATTTCCTAGGTTCAGAGTTCTTTTGAGCATGGATTACCTGTATCTTACAGATAAAAGTTGTTTAAAATTTATTCTGTCTTGAAGACACACTGCAGTAAGTTTACTTTTATCAATATTTAAAAGAAAATTACCATAAGTATGCTAGGGACTGTTAATTCTGATGCATTTAAACTTTTAGTTTTGCTTAGAAAACTTACTTATACAGATTTTTTTTAAAGAAATTCAAGCTTTTCATATGTATTGTATTATCATTCCTCGTGTTTTAGCTGCAACAAATATGAAGTGGATTGAAGCTAAAATGAAAGTAAGTGTTAGAAAGCAATCCATTTAAAAATATTTTCAAACTGCATTTGTCTTGTTAAAAGTTCTAGAACTGAATTAATTTTATTCTTACTGGAGGGCACTTAGTAGATAGATAAATGCCATTATTGGGAGTAGAGGTGTTTTTAAAGTGTGTTTAATAAGTGGATTGTACTGAATCCCTAAGTCTTTTTTAAGAAAAAGTATAACTAAGCTTGTCCCCTCCCCCACATTCTTCCTCATTTTACAATAATACTTTATTTTCCTTCTTTTGCTCTAGTGTGCAATACTTAAAGAGTCAGTATTCTCCTAAAATGGTAAATTAGGAAGTAATCTATTTCTATTTTCCTTGGTTTACCATTTATTGACTTGGCTAAGTGAAACTAAAATACTTCCTAGTTGTTTAGCAAGATGTAGTGGCCAGTGGTGTAGAAAGTTGGCATTATGAGAAATTGCAGCTAGAATATTCAGAAAATCTGAAATTTTCCACACTACTATGTTTTAACCTCACAAATATTTGTGTTTATAGGAGCTGGGAGTGAGCACAAATGCAAATTATAAGATTACTTTCATGTTGGATAGTGCTGCTATGATAACAGTACATACTCCAAGGAGAGGATTAATAGACGTAAGAAGTCATTTTATTTCTATTTAATGACACCATGGTTATTTTCCAGTGTACTTTTTATGTTTATACCTATGGAGTAAATAGTGTAGAGATTCATCTGAGTGAATAATAAAGTGGTTGAGTTTTGACATAGGAAAATGTATTTAAGGTTAAAAGATTTTTTTTTTTTTTTTTTTTTTTTTTTGAGATGGAGTCTCATTGTGCCGCCCAGGCTGGAGTGCAGTGGTGCAATCTCGCTCACGCAAGCTCCGCCTCCCAGGTTCACGCCATTCTCCTGCCTCAGCCTCCTGAGTAGCTGGGACTACAGGCACCCGCCACCACGCCCGGCTAATTTTTTCGTATTTTCAGTAGAGACGGAGTTTCACTGTTGTTAGCCAGGATGGTCTCGATCTCCTGACCTCGTGATCCGCCTGCCTCGGCCTCCCAAAGTGCTGGGATTATGGGCGTGAGCCACTGTGCCCAGCCAAGGTTAAAAGATTTGAATTTTAATGATAAAATTAGGGATCTTGAAGTAGGACTGTCAAGAAAGGAACTTGTGATTGTGGGTAATTGACCTGTGTTGATGACAGCACAATGTTACTGGGCAGAGTAGGTGAGAAAAATACTGAATATTATCAAGGAAGATACTAGAAACAAGCGAAAACACTCACCCTGCCCTGTTTGAAACTGGTAATAAAAGCAGATGCATCATGATGCATGTACTTTGGGATGATGCTGAAGAATAGCAACAAGAACAATCAGAGAAAAGGGTTTGGCTAACCAGTTATTTTACTCATCAAGTAACTACTCATACTATTAAGTATCTACTGTCTGGAAGGCCCTGTGATAGGCACTGTTGGGAATAAAGAGATGAGTGAGACACAGTCCATATCATTTGAAAGCACCCAAACTGTTAGCTGGGCTGGATAATGCATGCCTGTAATCCCAGCTACTCAGGAGGCTGAGGCAGGAGAATTGCTCAAACCCAGGGGGCGGTGGTTGCAGTGAGCTAAGATTGAGCCACTGCACTCCAGCCTGGGTGACAGAGCAAGATTCTGTCTCAACAAAATAAAGTAAAATAAAAGCACCCAAACTAATAGGAATTGAGGAGAACTTAGGATACGAGGAAACCTTAGGGGAGACAGTATTAAAATTATCAAAACCATAAATAGAATGATTTAAGGGCATGGGGACTTGTTCTATAAAGGAAATACTGCATGTATCGAGAAAAAGATAACTTACTATATACTAAAGTAAAATAATACATTTACAAAATCTTAACATTAAAAATTACTTAGGGAAATGTTAAACATGTTTTATAACAGTGAAAAATTAAAGGAATAAAAATAATCCTCAATATCCAGCAATAGGGCATTGGATATATAAATTACTGCTACCCATATAAGGGACTGTAGCTCGTCATTTGATGTAGTAGGATATGTAATGATTTAGAAATTTTCATGACACATTTAAGTGAAAGAAGTATTTTAGAGAACACTGTTGTAAGCCGTTAGAAAATAGTTCTTAACCTTTGTTTGGTTCAGGATTACCCTTAATTTAACAAAGAACCTGTCAACTCTCTGAGGCTGCTCTTGTTTATAAAAATGCCTGGAGTCAATGTATCAGAATATTGAGTTGTTGCCCTTGGTACTGACTAGATTATTGATTTAAAATTTTCCTTTATGCTTTTCAGTATTTTCATGTTTTTTTTCTGTAGTTAGCAATATTACTTTTCTAATTGAGAGCAAAGTAGTTTGTGTTTTGGGGAACATAGGTGCTTGACCTAATTAACAAATGACAGCACTTTTTAAGAGGATGTAGGATTTTTATTCTGGATGTCATAAAAAATGACCTCTGTTGTCATATTTCTTGAGGCTTTTGTTAGCTAAAAATCCACAAAATATGGCTTATTGTATTAATTCTTATATATTTGTCTTCATTTCGTGGGGGGAGTAGGGGGCGGTTTCTATTTCGGTAGTAAACAAGATCAGTAGCAAAAAAAAATCAGGAAAGTAAAATTTTAGTAAATTAAAATATTTCATTAACATTTTTTGTAATAGGCAAGACAATAGGAAGGAAAAAGCTTTCTCCAAATTAAATTATAGGAGGAAAAAAATTTTTAAGTTACAACTTTTATCACTATTTATTTCTTACCACTTAATCTCATATATTTATTATTACATTCTGTTCTCATAATACCGTAAGACTTCTGTCTTCAGCAAAAGTAATTTTCTAGAAATTTAAAAAATTTTCTGAATGTGTAATACATTTGCATGACTAAAAAAATAGTAAAGTACATAATGAAAAGTCATCTTTCACCTGGTACCTAGCCACAATCAGTGTTATTTCCTGTGTGGTCTTACAGAGACTTTACACAAATACCAACAGGTAAGACTATATAAGAAATTATTTATTTGAAGCTTCAGTTTAAGAATTCAGAAATAAGAGTAAGAATTTGTAAAATATGGTGCTTCCGAAGTTAAGCAATCAAATTCCCTAGAAATTATGCACCTGTGCCACTGAGTTAAAGACAAAACGAGTTTTTCCTCTATAAAATATTCAAATTATTAATTGAAAAAGCCAAATACAGTTTTTTTTTGACTAGGGTGTTCTAGTTTTGAAAGCAGACTCCATGTGACTCCCAAGCTCTGAGAAGGAATGTGTTAACCAAGGAAGTCATGTGACTGCATAGCAGACATCTAAACAATTACTTTGGATTTTTAAAAAATTAAATAATTTATTTATTTTACCCAAAATCTTCACGTTAAAATTATGGAAAGTTTTATAATGGGTTTAGTTCAGTTGGACATGAACAAACCTTTCAGAAGTTTTAATATTGCAAAATGCATTGTGCTTTAAAGTGGGTTGCATTTAATGATTAGCTCACACCTGTCTTACAGGGGGAAAGGAACACTTTGGCATTGTTCTGCAGGGCAGTTTGCAGTATTCCTGCTTTTAAGACAGGATGAAATATTGATAAAATTTGAGTTAAATGTAAACTTTTATTCTAAGGTAAAGCCTCTTGGTGTTATATGGGGAAAGTTTTCGGAGTTTTACAGCAAGAAAAACACCATTATGTTTGATGACATAGGGAGAAATTTTCTAATGAACCCACAGAATGGACTAAAGGTAAGACATACTTTTACTTGTTATGTGCTCATGTAATCTGGGCTGTGTGGTAGAACTTTTGTAGTAAGCACTGTTGAATTTCATATATTTTTGGAAGTACTGTATTCTTATGTCATAGGCGAGAAAAGTTTAAGAATAATTCATATAGAAATTGAACTTTGTCTTTTTTGCATTGATGTCTCCATAGTTAGCTAGTTCATCCAAGTATTTGTTTGTTTATTTATTTATTTATTTTTGAGACGGGATCTCACTCTGTCGCCCAGGCTAGAGTGTGGTGGTGCGATCTCGGCTCGCTGCAATCTCCACCTCCTGGGTTCAAGTGATTCTCCTGCCTCAGCCTCCTGAGTAGCTAGGATTACAGGCACGCACCACCACACCCAGCTAATTTTTGTATTTTTAGTAGAGACAGGGTTTCACCATGTTGACCAGGCTGATCTCAGGCTCCTGTCCTCGTGATCTGCCCACCTCGACCTCCCACAAGTGCTGGGATTACAGGCATGAGCCACTGCGCCCGGCCCAAGTGTTTTATTTTTAATTAGCTCTGTGGGAGCAACATGGGCTTCCCAACATTGACTTTTAGCATCCAAAGTGAAATCATTAGTTATTTTTTTAGGTATACAAATCTTGGCATTTTAAACATTCTGGTTAGCTTGAGAAATGGCAGTAAGGGTACTTTGTTTTTTCTTTTTAAACTGAAACTAAAGACGTTTTTGAAAATTCCTAGACGGCAAGTACAGATCTTAGAATTAGACATTGCCAGAGCTAGAAGGAACCACAGTCATCTCTTGCCTACCTTCTTAACTTTGGAAACAGTCTGAGGTTGAAGAAGTTCCTGACTTGCCCAAGATTGTATATGTAACTGGCTAATGACAGAATTTGGGTTAGACTCTAGTGACTTGGTTCCTAGGTCAGTGACAATCTTAGCATGCAACTGCATGCAGTCTTATGTGACATTTCATCCTGGTAACAGTATAAAATTGGTAAGAGTGAAATTTGAAATTTAAAAGTTTCTGGTACCCATAGTTGATTACATGTTGGCGCAATATGAAAATGGAAAAGATAGCTCTATACTATGGCACTATTGCACATGGAGTCTCCATTCGAAGTGGCAGTCCTGACACTGAGATGTTTTCATTCTCAGTCCTAAACTTTTCTACTAGCTGGGTCCTTGGTAGTTTTAAAAGACAAGAGAGAAAAACTTAAAAGTACATTTTTTAAACCTTTCTTACAGACTGTTGATTTGAGTTTTTGTTTACAATGAGGATATTTTAGGGAAAGAATACTAATCTAGGTAGTGAATTGCCATAAGTATAAAAACTGTTGACTTGGAAGAAAAGTGGTTATGTTGTCCTTAATGGTTTCTGTTTAAGGCTTGGAGAGAAGTGCTTTTCTTAATATGTACTGCACCAGGTAAAGGTACAAAAATGTATTCTTGAGTCTTGAGAAGAAATGTGGTTGATGTAAACCTAATTGTTTGTGAAACGAATGGTTATTACCTGTTCTTGCAAGGAGGTGATCCCATGATGGTCAAGGAATAATTTTGGAGGAGACGTTTAACTTTAAAAAAAAAAATACAATCATTAGTTTCATGTTTGTTTAAAAGAAACTTTGTTTTCCTAACCAACATTTGAGCTCCATTCATCTCTTGATGCAGGGAGAGATGTTATTGTAAATGTCTAGTTCTTTATGTTACTTTACAGTAGGGTTTTTAAAAGACTGTACTCAGTAGACCCACTGAAGGAATTCCTAAAAATACGTATGTCCCCATCCCCTAAATTCTAATTCCAGAGGTAGATTTAGACACTCCACAGGCTGTCCTTGTGTGTCTTTTATTGAAAACCTCTTTTTTATAAAATTAATCTACCCAAGATAACACTTCATGAAAACCTCTTTTAAGGTTAAAGATTAAAGGTTAAGATTAAGATTAAAGATCTGCCCACGTCGGCATAGAAACAGGTGGGGTTTTCTGACAGGGTCTTGCTCTGTCACCCAGGCTGGAGTGCAGTGGCATGATCAGAGCTCATTGCAGCCTCGACTTCCCTTGCTCCAGTGATCCTCACATGTCAGCCTCCCAAGTAACTGGGACTACAGGCGCACGTTACCACACCTGGCTAATTTTTGTATTTTTGGTAGAGACAAGGTTTCGCCATGTTGCCTAGGCTGGTCTCGAGGTCCTGCACTCAAGCGATCCACCTATCTCGGCCTCTCAAAGTGCAGGATTACAGGCATGAGCCACTGCGCCCAGCCCAGAAAGAGTTCTAAAATGGAGAAATATCCTCAAATGCTGTGTTTTGTTATCATGCTTTCATAATGCACTTGGTAGAAATCTCAAAGATTTCATGTAGATCTTAAAAATAAGACTGCTCATTTTTAAAATAGTTAACTTCTATTAAACATAAGCTTGTCAGTCATAAGGTTTGAAGTACATGGAAGGTACTGTGAATATGAATTTAGAATTACACTAAAAGAATGTGAATCTTGGTCATGGATAAAGCAGTTTATCGGCTGAAAACTCCATTTTTATTGTCTGTACAAGGAAATTATGATATAGGAGAATTCAGCTTATCTAGACAGTCTTAAGTTTCTAAAAATGCTTCCTTGACCTGAGACAAGATGATGGTTTCCTGTCCTTTTAGTGATCACTTAGATCAGTTTTTAAAAATGTACAGTAAACAGTGGTTATACTGGAGCAAGTGAAGTCAATTAGGTGCATAGATTTTCACCCTTAATTTGTTTATTTAAAATTTTAGAACCAGAATCATTAGAATATTTTAGTTTTGTTGTTTAATAGTGCTTAAGAGCAAATGTTTGGAAAGTAAAAATAACTTAGCAGAGCCTTGGGTTGAAAATCTTATTTACTACCCACCAACCCTGTAATTTCCTGCTGTTTAAATTTGGACACTTTGGTACATTATATATTAATTGCTTAAAAGTTAATTTGTTACCTTTCAGTCCTTAGGAAGTGAATGAAGGAATACTTTAAAACATTACCATATCACCCAGGATTATGCAGAAACTCATTTCACTACATCCTCATATCATGACTCTGTTTACTCCCATCCCCAGGGCCTAAGCAAGGCCCTGTAAAGCGTCGTCTTCAGCCCCCACATTCACTGCTGCTCGGAAACAGCACTGCTGCACTACCTTTTTGGAAGTGGGATCTCCCACAAATGCTGATTTCTGAGGAGACTCCCTTTGACAGCTCTTGACTGGTGCCCTTCAAGCAGTATGGGAGCCAGCTAACAGTGTGGAGGTCACTGGCACCAAGCTGTTCTGATGAGAGTAGAACACCTGGGAAAATTTTCTTCTGTCCATTTCAGATGGGTGGTGTTTTTCCAATGACAGAAGAAAAGTATGTAAAAAATACTTAAACCCTTCCCTACACTTAATAGGTATGGTAGTAGACTCCTTTGGGCTCACTCATTGTTCTTGCTTCTCAGTAAGTGACAATGATTAAATATCATTCATTTTTCAGTGTTAACTGTGTAAAATTAATAACTAATGACCAAAAAAAAAAAAAACTAATGACCAATTTGCATTTTCTCCAAATCAAAAGAATATACTAATACTTTGCTAAGTATGATGAAATCAGTCCTTACATGTGTGCTTTAGGAATATGTGTGCTTTAGGAATATGTATGATTTTTTTTTAACGATAACAGAAAAATTCAAATGTAAACAGAACTATATAAAATTGCTTAAACCCCCATGTAGATATCATTCAGTTTAAATTAGCTTATTAATTCATGGATGGTTATTGTTTGCTCTATACGCTACTTCCCTCTCCTTAATATTTTGAAGTAAATCTTAGTCATATCATATTATCTAAAATTAATTTAAAATTATTGAAAGACTATCTTGAGTTGTATAAAGATATTTGAGCAGGTGTCTTTTACAAAACAGCAGAATTCTTTACTGAAGCTATAAAATAAGGAAAAGTGCATAAATTTATAGTTCAACAAACTGTAAAGATAATTCTTGTAAAAAATTTTATTCCACTAAAATTACTCATGATTTTCCTTTCCAAAGATAAACACTATTACCATCTTGATTTATAGTCCTCTAGTCTTTTTAAGCATAGATTTATGCACAAATCTAGATGAAGATTGCATATAAACATATGCATTCATAGCACCGCCACTCAAGTCAAGATATGGTATTCCTTACTAATTGCAGTCCCCTACCTCGGTCTATTATTCTGACATGTGTGGTTTGAAATAATGCTTTTTAAACTCTTTTTCATCATAAAATAGATCAGCCTTAAACATTTGGAAAATATGGCAGTTCTTTTTATGGAAAACTCTTGCATAATTAAAAATGATTTTAACAGAGAATTTAATGATAAAGAAAAATGCTTATGATAAAATGTAGGAGGAAACAGGTTATATAAATGTATAATGATATCTCAGCTATATAAAAATTTAATAGAAAAATAAAATAAAAATCATCGTTAAAATTTATCTCACTGTACTGTTAGATCAAGCTGGTATTGGGGTTAAATTTTTATGAATAAAATAATGTGAATGAAATTAATTAGAAGCAACTAGAATGATAGGAGGCGGGAAAGGCTAAGTAGTTTTGCAAAGTAGAGTAGCTGTGTATGGATTCAAGTGCAATAAGAAAGCTGGTGTTGTCAGGTTCAGATTGAAAAGATAATGTTAGGTAAAATAGGTAGAAGAGTTTGTAATTTGTAAACATTATACATGACTTTCTATTTAGGCTAATATAAAAGTAATTTTTAGTATTTATGTTCTTGGTGATATTTTAACCTCATTAACTCTAATTGAAATGATAGTATAGATTTGTTAGTTTTCCTTATCACATTGTGATGTGTTGAGTAATGTTTGTTTCCTAATAGATAAGGCCTTTTATGAAAGCGCACCTAAATCGTGATAAAGACAAAGAACTTTTAAAATTAACTCAGTACCTCAAGGAGATAGCAAAATTAGATGACTTTTTGGATCTAAATCACAAATATTGGGAAAGGTAAGTTTTAATTGCTTATTTATTTTCTCTTTACATCAATGAAGAAAAAATTATCATTTTTCATCAGTGACCCCAGTATATATATAGCTGTCTTAATTTTTATTTAAAATAGGTGACTTCTAAAAACATTTTCTAATCCAGTGACCTACCCCCAAAAGTATTTTCCCCTTTCATCTTAACCTCTAACTTGTTCATAAACATACCTCTTGTAAACTCTTTAATACTTCTAGAAGAGAGAACTTGAGAGACTAGCATATGTTGGTGATGCTGCCTGTAAATTATTTTGTGATGTTAGGTAAGCTACTCCTTTATGAATCACATGGAATATAATCCCTCTTCTCATACTGTAACTTAATGTCAGGATAAGATAAAACACATGTAAAAATTTCATAAATAGTATTAAAAATTACCAGTAACTTGAGTGTAGCAGAGAAATTAGAAAAGTTTATCCTACTAAAAAAACAATTACTCATAATTTTCCTTTTTAAAGATAACCACTGTTACCATCTTGGTATATAGTCTTTCAGTCTTTTATCTAAACCCAAATGTTTGCACAAATCTATATAGACGTTGCCTATAAACATCAAGGTTTTGAGACAGAGAAAAGTCCCCAGAGAAGTGGAAGGTATTACTATGTATTACAGTATTTGGGGGGGAATTAGATCTTTGAGGATCTGGTTCCAGTAATACAGCACCAAAAGAAACTATTTGTGTAATAATAACACTTTGGCTTTTCAGATTCCACTTTTGACTTTTCAGATCAGTTTGACACAAGTCTTCTAAGAGTCTATAATCCTAATAGGAAGATAAAGCAGACATTTTTACCCCCATCTTTAAATTGCAAATGATGTAACTGAGTCATGGAGATAGTAAATACTTAGTGCAGTGCCACAAAGTGAGCAAATTGTACCAGCAAAACATGTCCAAGTTTGCTGATTTTAGGAACTCTTTCCCCATCCCCACACCACCAATTATAGTAGTTTGTAAATGTTAGAAATAGAGATCAAGTTTTTAATTTAGTGGTAGATTTCTATTAAACAATATGAAAAACACTTGTTTGCTTAGTAATGTCTTATATCTTTTACACTCTTGATCAAAGACCTTTAGCATCTTTTGCCCACTGTCTTGATGTAACAAAAATAAGATCTTTATGGAGTTTGATCTGTATTTGGAAGTTACAATACTAGTTAATATAGTGACTTTCACATTGGAAGTAAGGCAGTATGGAGTGGTAGTCAATGAGTATGACCTCTGGAGCCTTGTTTTGAATCTAGGCTCTTCCACTTTCTAGCTGTGTGAATTTGGGCAAATTGCTTAACCTCTTTGTGCCTGTAAAATAGGAATAATTCTAATAGTAACTCCTCAGAGCTGTTGTGAAGACTAAATGAATTAATACATGTACTTAGAACTGTGCGTGCACATAATCAGTAGATGTAAGTGACTATTAAGAATACTCATCTTGAAATGTTTTGTCATTAGAACAAACTCCTTTGGGAGCAAAGTTAGGTTATCTTCATGAATTTAGCATGATACAGCTTTGACATCTTTATTTTATTTCTTGCAGATATCTCTCAAAGAAGCAAGGACAGTAGTTACAAGTTATACTGGCAGTTATTGAAGATACTTAAGATCCAAGAACTTCTTGCTTTTATGCTAGAAATCATTATGATAGTGCTGGACACTGAAGCAAATACCATACTGCTTATACTTGGTCTTCCAGTTTTTTGTAAATTTAATTTTATATTTTTTGAAGATGATAGCAATATGCTAAAAAATGCTTGTCCCCTATATGAATATTCTGTTACGCTTGAAAAATATTTTCTCCAGCGTTGGTTACTGACCACCCCACCCTCCCACCACACACACACACACACACACACACACACACACACACACACACACACAAAGTGGAGAAAAATGTATACTCAACAATGTCATTTTGTGACTTTGGAAACAAGTTATGTTTTGTGTTTTTGTCTCATTGTGTTATTGTCTGACTAAATCTAAAACCAAACCCATGTTGAAACTAGTACTTTTCCCTTTAAAAACAAACCAAAAAAAAAAACAAAAAAAAACTTTTTAATTAAAGAACCTAGTTTGCTATGCTTAAAATTACCAAGAATTTTTTATTTCTTTGTCATAGACACAATTTCTCTTCTGTATGCCACTAGTTACATTTCTAAATTCTGAGCGGTCTCAGTTAGGCCTGTATGTGTGTACATGTCCAAGTAAAGCTGGAAAATGTCAGTCTTGACACAGCTGTGTCTTAGTATGAGAAACAGAAGACTGAAGAATAAAAACTAAGGAACAAGAATGAGTCTCTTTTTGGTGGCTAAGTAGAATCTTCCTAAAACCATTGTCATAAAAGCAGTTAAAGGCAATAAATTTTTAAAAGGGACATATCACTGATTCATTCCTAAAAAGCATGAACAAAAAGTTTTTGTTCTGTTCCAGCTATATCTTGTCTAAGTGCTAACACTGTTTCAGTGAAAATATCTAGCCATAAGATTAAAAAAATATATTATTTGCAATGCTTAAGCCTGCAGATACGTAATGTGACCACTGTTTTGTGTTGACAATATTGCTTTATACAGTTCTTGTATTTGAAAGGAATTGATCCTTTTAAAGAAACATGGTGTATATTGTTCTTACAGGACTAATTTCAGTGGTGTAAATAATAAATATCTTTTCTTAAAACATTCGTTATCTGTTCTATATTACCACATATATTTTACCTCTTTGTTGAATGACAAAATGAACATTATATTCAGGCAAGGATCTCTTGCAAAAACTTAAATGTGTATGGTGATGTTAAAGGTGTGTATATCACTATTTATACATTCAGGAGTAGTTTTAGCAGCTAATCAGATACATAAAATTACTTAATTCTAATAAGTACCTTTTTTCAGAAATATATACTATTTTCTTTGTGACAGGTTTTGAGGATATACAGTGCAGAAGAGTTTGAGGACTCTAAAGTGATTCAATTAAAATATATTTCTTAATTATGAAGTAAAATTTAAATATTTAAGGATAGAACAGAAATTTTAGAGTATTCATTTTTCATTGGTACATTTTTCCCACTGTAAAAGACAACTTATTCCAAAGTACGCACGGAAAGGGCTTAATCTTCTCAAGAAAATGGAACACTTAAACTATTAACATAGGTCAAGAACGGGCAGACATTTTCGAAATCAGTATAAACTAAAATACAAAAGTTAGCAAATCACAGGGAGCAAAGTAGAATTTTACAAAAACATATTCTGCCATTAGGTGGTGCCCAAACCAAAGCTTCTTAGCTGCTGTGCTTAATTAAGCCACTCCGGAGAACATTGTCATTGAGCTTGTTGAGATAACGTGCTATATGTGATTAATACCATTATAGAGTGTGGGAGTTTTCATTTGTCTTCTGCATCTCATGGCTTATTGAACAGCTCCATCTCTATATATCTATGTGTGTGGCACACACAATTGAATCAATAGATCACTTAATTTGGATGCATATTTTGGTGAAACCACAAATTATTTTTATCAGATACATGTGTTAAGCATTAAAACAGTATTATACGAAGTATATTTAGCCTAAAAACTACAGAACATCAGTAAATCTTTGATTCAGAGGGAAGTTTCTAATTTCCCCTCAGGTCTTTGTTACCGAAATCAGTTATTGGACTAATGATACCTATAGCAGCTCTTCAGTGTAAAAGGTAAGGAATGGAAAAACAGGTTGTTACAGTAAGCAACTGAAACTTATTTTTTATTCATGGAAAGTAAAATAGTTCCTTGAGAGGAAGAGGAACTACAGGATAGGGACTGGGAAAAAAGGATATGCAAAAAAACGCAGATTAGTTGCATTTTAGGTTATTGCTTGGTTTTTAGGTATTAATAACAATTGGGTGGTCAGAATGGTAATAAAACATGAATAATAAACGGTTGAGTTTTCTCATCCCAAGTACTCAACAGAGCTCTCTCAAGGGACGAACTGTTATGGTCTCCAATGAAGTATTTTACATCAAAATTCAATCTTCTTATGAACTAGCCCAAGAAATGTCTGTGAAGATTAAATGCTTAGATATTTATGTAAAGATTTAGTTTTGCTACGTGAGTCTTGGTGAGACATCTGAATATTTTAAATTTTTAATTGACAGTTGTTTATGGGGTACAATATAGTGTTTTGATACATATATCCAATGTGGAATGATTGAATCAGGCTAATTAGCATATTCACCTCAAATATTTATCATTTCCTGGTAGTGAAAACATTTTAAATCCTCTTTTTTAGCTGTTTTGAAGTATACGTTATTATTAACTGTAGTCACTATGCTGTGCAATAGATCACCAGAATGTATTCCTCTTATTAAACTGAAACTTTGTACTCTTTGACCAACATCTCATCTTTCCCCATCCACCACCACCGCCCTCCCCAACCTCTGGTAACCGCTTTTACTCTCTGCTTCTGTGAGTTTGACTTTTTAGATTTCTACGTATAAGTGAGATAGTATTGTGTCTCTCTGTACCTGGCTTATTTCATTTAGCATAATGTCCTTTAGCTTCATTCATGTCACAAATGACAGAATTTCCTGAGTTTTTTAAGGCTGAATAGTATTCATATATATATACACCATATTTTAAAAATCCATTCATCCCTTGATAAGTACTTTGTTTTTTTCTATATCTTGGCTATTGTAAATAATGCTGCAGTGATCCTGGGATTGCAGGCATCTCTTCAGAGTGCTTAGTGTTTAAATCTTAAGAGAATCTTTTTGTAATCAGTTTCATAGATTTAGCAAAGACTTCTGAGAAATTAGTGCCTTATAAGAACTGAAATCAATACGAAGCATCCTGTAGGGCTAAAAATGGTGTCAGTTATCTAGTAATGTCAATGAGCTTCCATGTAAAGTGTTTAAAATCTTGCACACCTCCCACATTAATAATTTCGTAAAAACACTTTGGAAGTAAGCAAGCACTTAAATGCAAACATAAGGATATTTCCTGATATGAACTGTTACTCATTAAAATGCTGGTTTGCTTCCAAAAAGCTTTAAAAGCTGAACTTACAGCTTTTAAGAACATTTGTAAACAGTAGAAACAAAACCTTAAAAATATCAAAAACAAAGACTGCTAAGCTTTAATGATGTTTCCATAAACCAATATGGCTATGATGAACACACATTAGTGTATGTGTATAATTTGTTACACTAAAGGCCAAACTGATGACTTTTCAGGAATCTAGAGGTAAATCAATTATTTAATTGAATACAAATCCCTCTTACTTTTATTCCCAGTTCTTAATTCTCTGGAGCACTGATTGCTATTACTTCTTGTTGGATAATCTGTGAGGAGAACTGCTGTAGCTTCCTAAATAAGGCTTTTGAAAGAGCCAGTGGTTTGTCAGAAAAACATGTGACTAAAATCCCTCTTTATTGGCAACAGGACCTTGGGCAAGTCACTTCAACTCATTTAACTTTTGCTTCCTTCTACTTAAAAAAATTCTGCACCTGTCTGCCTTTCCCATAGGCTGTGGCAAAGTCAAATGAGACAGTTCCCATGGAAGGACTTGGAAGCAGCAAAGGCTTATATGAATGTCAGATGTTAAAAGTAGCACAGAGCATGTTGCTATCATCGAGCCCTATCATTCCTGAAATATAGTTACCAAAAGTGAAATCTTAAAAGGAAGACTTTTCTTGATAATTTTACAAATACTATCTTGGTTTTCCTAAGATTTCTAAATAATCAAGGAAAGGAGAATAAGGAAACCTCTGAAGACCTAGATCTTTTGGTAAGTATCCAGCTGCTTTTACGTCTGCAAATTCCATTTAGTATTGGTTTGGACTGGAAGTCCAGCTGTCCCTCTCCCTCCACCCCCAACCTTAAAGTGACTATGACTGAACCTTAACAGCATTATAATACCTTTTTTATAGTGAAATATTTACATGATTTTAATCTTCTAACTTTGGAAATCAATTGTTCCCAGATAGAAGCTTGCTTATTTTGCCATGCCATGTAAAAATGAAAAGTCATTCAAAAGCAATGAGTTTTAAAACTTTTTTTCTTGTAAAGATATGCTAAGGTGTAAACATTCATGGGTTTTGTTTGTTTGTTTGTTTTTTCTGACAAGTTTGGCAGAATAAACCATGCAGGAAGCAGGCAGTCAACATTTAATGTATATTTATTAGTTCCTACTATATCTGAGGCACTGTTCTTCAAGGGTTAAACACAAGATTTTTCTACCCTCACAGAGCTTATATTTGAGTGAGGGAAACAATGAAGAAACAAGATAATTTCAAATAGAGGTCCTATAAAAATATAATAATATGAGAGAAAATGATGGTGATTCACATTACATGACCTAAGGTGGGAAGATGGAATTTGAGCTGAGATCTGAATGAAAGCCACCATTTGGAATGTGCAGAGAGAGGATGTGGAAATCTTAAGGGGCAAATAAAAGGAAGAAATGAAAAAAAGTACAAAAGTATGGAGAAGAATATTGTGGAAGGCAGGATCAAGGTAGGCAGATTCAGGTAAGAGTGGGAGGTAAGCTGTGGCCTGGTGTGAGGTGAGGTTGGAGAGGCAGGCAGAGCCCGTGGGAAAGGTAGGATGTTGTACATCACCATAAGCAGTCTGGCGAATTCTACGTGAAATGTCAGGAACCAGTGAAGGGTGTTAAGCATAGAATGACAATCTAATTTTTTTTAACAGCCTTATTGAGATAGAATTTACATATCACAAATTTACCCATTTGAAGTGTGCAGTTCAATGGTTTTTAGTGTATTTAGAGAGCTGTACAACCATCACTGTAAGCTAATTTTAGAACCTGATTTATTTTTAAAAGGATCATTCCGGTTCTTGTGTGAGAATGGGTTATCGAAGGGCAAAAGTAGAAAGGACAAGACTCATTAGGAGATGAGAGATGTTCAATGTGACCAGGAGAAGGTATGCATTTCTTCACTCCCTTGTAGCATCATCTTCCAGCTACCTATTGAGCCCCTGTGCTATACCAGGCCACGTGTGAGGTGCCACATCTTCCATGGTAAAGAAGACAGATATGACCCCTGCCCTATGGGAGCATGCAGCTGCAAGACTGTGTGCACCACAAACTTAGCCCTTCCAGCTTTACCACTGGGTAAGTGATGTGATTTGAAGAATAGAGAACTCAATATATCAAAGTCAGCATATGACAAATATTTCTCACCCACCTATGCCCACAGTGAAAAAGCCCCCTGTGATTCCACCCAACCCTTCTGCCCAGAGGCTAGACCCAGGATTAAGTGTCCAGCTTGGGCATGCATGGCCTATGCCAGCAGGGGCACAGCAGAGGTCTGCACACATAGGAAGATAGATCAAAGGCCCCCTTCCATTTCTCCTCTCCAGAGTGTTCCAGTAAGAACATCCCCTTCTAGCTATTTCACACATGGACAACCAAGAAATAGTCATTTACAGAGCATTTTGCATTTGTACAATTTCACTCGTTATTTCTCCCCCAGTACCTAATGGGGGCTGCAGCGTGTACTCTGTTCGTGGTTAAATTCTGCTGCCAGAAGTTTCCTCCAGCTCCTGATGCCCCGAACCCCTCCCTCCAGCATTCCTGTGGCTCATCTTGCAAACTGATTCAAAGGTGCTTTGTTGCAATCTGATCTTTCAGGACACATACTGCTATAAAGCTTTTGAAATTTTAGTCAGAGCAAAAAACAAAAGCAAAAATATAAGCCTAAACATCCCCTGAGGGGAAAATAATGAAGGAGCTCTTAAGCACTATTGCAGATAATGCTTAATTTTAAGAAGACATGTTTTTTTTAAAAGAATGTGGACTACTTCCTGGTTTAGACTTGGAAGGGTGTACGTGTCCAGAAATTTATCTATTTCTTCTAGATTTTCTAGTTTATTTACATAGAGGTGTTTCTAGTATTCTCTGATGGTAGTCTGTATATCTGTTTTGGTACCAGTACCATGCTGTTTTGGTTACTGTAGCCTTGTAGTATAGTTTGAAGTCAGGTAGCGTGATGCATCCAGTTTTGTTCTTTTTGCTTAGGATTGTCTTGGCTATGCAGGCTCTTTTTTGATTTCATATGAAATTTAAAGTAGTTTTTTCTAATTCTGTGAAGAAAGTCAATCGTAGCTTGATGGGGGTAGCATTGAATCTATAAATTACTTTGGGCAGTATGGCCATTTTCATGAGACTGATTCTTCCTATCCATGAGCATGGAATGTTTTTCCATTTGTTTGTGTCCTCTCTTATTTCCTTGAGCAGTGGTTTGTAGTTCTCCTTGAAGAGGTCCTTCACATCCCTTGTAAGTTGTATTCCTAGGTATTTTATTCTCTTTGTAGCAATTGTGAATGGGAGTTCACTCATGATTTGGCTCTCTGTTTGACTATTATTGGTGTATAGGAATGCTTGTGATTTTTGCACATTGATTTTGTATCCTGAGACTTTGCTGAAGTTGCTTATCAGCTTAAGGAGATTTTGGACTGAGAAGATGGGGTTTTCTAAATAGACAGTCATATTATCTGAAAACAGAAACAATTTGACTTCCTCTCTTCCTATTTGAATACCCTCTATTTCTTTCTCTTGCCTGATTTCCCGGGCCAGAACTTCCAATACTATGTTGAATAGGAGTGGTGAGAGAGGGCATCCTTGTCTTGTGCCAGATTTCAAATGGAATGCCTCCAGTTTTTTCCCATTCAGTATGATATGGGCTGTGGGTTTGTCATAAATAGCTCTTATTATTTTGAGATACATTCCATCAATACCTAGTTTGTTGAGAGTTTTCAGCATGAAGGGTTGTTGAATTTTGTCGAAGGCCTTTTCTGCATCTATTGAGATAATCACGTGTTTTTGTCCTTGGTTCTGTTTATGTGATGGATTACGTTTATTGATTTGCATATGTTGAACCTGCCTTGCATCCCAGGGATGAAGCCGACTTGATCATGGTGGATAAGCTTTTTGATGTGCTGCTGGATTCGGTTTGCCAGTATTTTATTGAGGATTTTCACATCGACGTTCATCAGGGATACTGGCCTGAAATTTTCTTTTTTTGGTGTGTTTCTGCCAGGTTTTGGTATCAGGGTGATGCTGGCCTCATAAAATAAGTTAGGGAGGATTCCCTCTTTTTCTATAGTTTGGAATAGTTTCAGAAGGAACGGTACCACCTCCTCTTTGTACCTCTGGTAGAATTTGGGTGTGAATCCATCTGGTCCTGAACTTTTTTGCTTGGTAGGCTATTAATTACTGCCTCAATTTCAGAACTTGTTATTGGCCTGTCTAGGGATTTGACTTCTTCCTTGTTTAGTCTTGGGAGGGTATATGTGGACACATAGACACAGGGAGGGGAACATCACACACTGGGGCCTGTCAGAGGGTGAAAGGCTAGGGGAGGGATAGCATTAGGAGAAATACCTAATGTAGATGTCAGGTTGATGGGTGCAGCAAACCACCATGGCACGTGTATACCTATGTAATAAACCTGGAAGTTCTGCACATGTACCCCATAACTTATAATAATAAGAAGAAAGTGGACTAAATATTCTTTATTTTCCCTTAGTTGGTTCTTTGCTCAAAGAAAAATTTGCATCATTGTTTTGGTGGATTTGGTAGACCTGTTTAATTAATGTCAGACCTAATGGTTTAAAAGATCTTGGAGCAAAAAGGTGTAATACCTTTTCCTCACTCATTTTGAGGTCCACAGCCAACATTTCTATAGGAAATACAGGTTAGCAAGAGAAAAGCATAACAAACTCAATCAAGTTTCATGTGACACTGGAGCCTTCAGAAATGAAGGCCCAAAGACCCAGGGAAAATTGCATTTTTATGCTTAGGTTCAATGAAGAATGGACAGCCATGTAGAAATGTGATTGGACAAAAAGGTTATGCTCTAACGGTAATAAACAGCGGACCCCAGCAAGGCCTGTTTGTTCGGATTCTTCTTGGCCTCTTCATACGGGATTTTTTCCCTGCTGGGTGTGGGGCAAGACCCTTCTGGAATGAGGGTCTTATGGCCTATTTTCAGAGGAGGTAGGTCAGAGAATGACCTCTCGAGGTTTTACGGCTTGCTTCGGGAGAGAGGGGTTCTAGTTTCTATGACCCGCTTTGGAGAAGAGGGATCCTCATTCCCATGACCTGCTTGGGAGGAAAACGGGAGAAGGAGAAAGGAGTGTGGAGAAGGCCAAAGGGAACTTCTTGCTTCCGAGGTCCTTCCCATCTTTTACAGTTCAAAGTACTCAGCATGCCAAAGTGTCATGCTTTGGAGTATAGTGTTCCGAGCCTTAACAATCTTTAATAGCTATACATGATTATTTTTATTTTTATGGGCAATTTCTATTTGTTTAAGAAATACAATTTTTTTTTCATTACATGTAATCTCACCACCCACAGGTAACAATGGTTTACATTGTGATATACATCCCTCTGGGCTTTTTTCTATGCCTATGTGTACTGATAAAATATATGTGCAAAAATGGATAGGTATGTCTCAGTGGCTCTCTGTGCTTAAATTAGTCCAAATGGTTATTGTTAGATGCATATAGTTGAAAGCCTCAGGAAGCAAAGACTGTATGTCTATTTTTTTTGTATTCTTCCCAGGTACATAGTAAGCCTTTGAACTTGATAGATATATGATCAACCTGAGTTGAATTAACAAATGAATGTATAAACAGACAAGCCATAAAACAGGTACTTATTTAATGTCACTATTTTAATAACATTTGCTTCTTTAAATGCTTCCCTCTGTGATGAGAGTAATGACAAATATATAACACATATTTATTTCCCTTTTCTTTTTGCATCCTGGCTTATTGATTTTTCAGTCTACCATTTAGGAGGATATATTGATATAAGGAAAATATTTTTATGACAGCTTATTACAAGAGAAAATTTTAAAATTCTGGTTACTGATGTAATGTTGGATGGGTGAACTACTATAGCTTTATGTCTCCACGATGTATGAGGGATATTTTCATTCATCTCTTAAATGCATTCTGCCTTTAGTGTAATAGTCAATTGATTCATGTAGTTTACAAATGCTTTCACAAGAGAATAATAGAAGGGCACAGGCCAGGTGCGGTGGCTCAGCCTGTAATCCTGGCACTTTGGGAGGCCGAGGTGGGCAGTTCATGAGGTCAGGAGATCGAGACCGTCCTGGCTAACATGGTGAAACCCCGTCTCTACTTAAAATACAAAAAAAAATTAGCCGGGTGTGATGGCATGTGCCTATAGTCCCAGCTACTTGGGAGGCTGAGGCAGGAGAATGGCGTGAACCTGGGAGGTGGAGCTTGCAGTGAGCCGAGATTGCGCCACTGCACTCCGGCCTGGGTGGCAAGGCGGGACTCCTTCTCAAAAAAAAAAATGGAAGGGCACAGCACCATATCTAAATGCCATAGTTATTTATCATAAATTGTTATTCTCTGAGAATTCTGGGAGCTTGAGATTATCGTCCATCCTGGTTAATAGGACACTGGTAGGTGTTATGCTGGTGCTGTCGAGCAGCAAATCATTTAAAGCCAAGTGCTACAATTTGCTGGCTGCCATCCAGTTCACTGAGTAACTAACTAAGCAGTCACACATCCAACCCCACAGTGGGGTGCTGTGAACATGTATGGAAGCCCCATATCTTCAAGGAGGTCCTACCAGGACCACAGGTTACTAAAACTTCTCCGATAGTGCCCACGGTGAACCCGTATTATTGTTCCTCTATCAGGTAGCTCAATATATATGAAAAGATAGTGGAATCTGCTAGGTGATACAGGTGAGGGAAGATCCTTTGATTTGAGTTGATGACAGGAATTCAGCTGAGTCATGTTTTAGGATGCAGGCTCATACCTAGAACCATCTTGAAAGTACCATCTGGGAGCAAGAGGGCAGGGCATGGATGCCCTGTTGAACATGGGCTTTGAGGCGAACAGACCTGGGATGGATATCTAGTCCCAGAGTCGTGTGGGATCTAGGGCTAGAAACTTCACCTTCCTGTATTAGTTTTCTATTGCTGCATAACCAGTTACCACATAGCTGGTGTCTTATAATCACACATTTATTATCTTGTAGCTTCAACAGTCAGGATCAGCTTAGCTGGATCCTCTGTTCAGGGTCTCACAAGCCTGCAATCAAGGTGTCGGCCAGGGTTGTGTCCATCTGAAAGCTTGACTGGGCAAGAATCTGCTTCCAGACTCCTGTGGATTGTTGGCAGACTTCAGTTCCTTGAGGTCATGTGACTGAACGTATGTCTGAAGCCTGTGCCTTGTTGTCAGTTTTAGCTGCCCTGAGGTTCCCATGATCCTTGCCACATGAGCAAGGATCCTTGCCACATGAACCTCTAATATGGCTGCTTTCCTACCTCAAGAGAGTTTCTGACTCCAGTATGCTGAAATGGAGTTGTCTTGCATTGCGTGAAATAATTATGGAAGTGACATCTCATCACGTTTGCCATATTCTCTTAGAGTCAAGTGACAGGTCCCACCTACACTCAGGAGAGGGGATTACACAAATGTGTGAACAGCAGAAGGTAGAAACATTGAGGGTTATGGTACAGTCTGTTTGCCACAATCCCTGAATCCATTCTTTAAAAAGTTGGTATAAAAATACCTACTTTAGAGGGTTGTTATGTGAATTCAAAACAAGATAACATATATCGAGTGTTTACGTGGTACCTGGCACATAGTGAGCATTCAATAAATGTCACTGATGATGGTAAAGATGATAATCATGGTGATAACCAGTGGATATCCTGATAAATGCCTATAATCTCCTTAAATCATATATGTCTTTCTAAGGACTCACCACAATATGAGGAATTTCAAGTTTTGAACTTGACTCTCTCAAAGGATAATGGTCAACTCAGTTATCTACATGACATGGAGAGGAGGGTGATGGAATTGATTATCTAAGGCAGGATATAATTCAGGAAAATATCTAACTTGACTTTGTAATAAAGATTTTTTCTTTCCCTGATTGTTCTGCGCACACATATTATTCCATATCACAGAGGTATGCTAATTACCCTAATTTATTTACTTTCTCCCCATTGATGGACTCTTAGTTTGAATCTAATTTTTACTATTACCAGCAATGCTGCAGAGGACATCCTTCTAGACATATTCTTATGCTCTTTTGTGTTTTTGTAGGAAAAAGTTGTACAGCCATTTATAGACAGCTTATTACATATCCGACATTGTGTTATGTGCCAGGTGAATAAGATATATATGGTTCCTTCCCTCATGGAGCTCACAGCCATTAAAATTACATGTATTAAAAGAATAATTTTGAGTATGGGGTGTATATTATAGGAGGACATAACATAGTAGGGAGGAGGGAGAGGTGAGGTCACACCCAAGCACAGGAAGATAAGCAAGATTTTGAGGTCAAATGAGAAGAGTTAGGCCATCTCTAGAAAAGAAGTGAAATCTTAGGATCTGGGGAATCAGAACTTGGACAACATTGGAGCCAAGTTCCTGGGATCTTGAAATTACTCTTAAAAAATTCACATGTACAAATCTCAGACTGTTAATTCAGAAATAAGATTGTATTTTTCTATTAGAAAAATTATTTTAAGATCCCTTATTTTTCTGAGTAGCAGAAACTTAACCTTCGTCAATATGAGGTTTCCTGTCTTTTTCCCAGTGTTGGGTCTAAGCACTGGGGTCTTACATCATGCCAAGACATTCGGTATATGGAATTGAGATGAAGAGGTATCTGGTCTTTAGTAGTCACCTAGTGTATTAGTCTGTTTTCAAGCTGCTGGTAAAGACATACCCGAGACTGGGCAATTTACAAAAGAAAGAGGTTTATGAGCCAGGTGCGGTGGCTCACGCCTGTAATCCCAGCACTTTGGGAAGCTGAAGCGGGTGGATCACCTGAGGTCGGGAGTTTGAGACCAGCCTGATCAACGTGAAGAAACCCCGTCTCTACTAAAAATAGAAAAAATTAGCTGGGCGTGGTGGTGCTTGCCTGTAATCCCAGCTACTTGGGAGGCTGAGGCAGGAGAATTGCTTGAACCCGGGAGGTGGAGGTTGCAGTGAGCCAAGATCGCGCCATCGCACTCCAGCCTGGGCAACAAGAGAGAAACTCCATCTCAAAAAAAAAAAAAAAGAAAGGTTTATGGACTTACAGTTCCACATGGCTGAGGAGGCCTCACAATCAGGGTGGAAGGCAAGGAGGAGCAAGTCACATCTTACATGGATGGCAGCAGGCAAAGAAGGCTTTTGCAGAGAAACTCTCATTTTTAAAACTATCAGATCTTGTGAGACCCATTCACTATCAAGAGAACAGTATGGGGAAGACCTGCCCCATGATTCAATCATCTCCTACTGGGTCCTTCCCACAACACGTAGGAATTATGGGAGCTACAAGATGAAATCTGGGTAGGGACAGAGAACCTAATAATATCATTCTGCCCCCGACCCATTCCAAATCTCATATCTTCATATTTCAAAACCATCATGCCTTCCCATTAGTCCCCCAAAGTCTCAACTCATTTCAGCATTAACTCAAAAGTTCACAGTACAAAGTCTCATCCAAGGCAAGTCAAGTGTCTTCCACTTATGAACTTGTGAAATCAGAAGCAAGTTAGTTACTTCTTAGATAAAATGGGGGTACAGGCATTGCATAAATACAGCCATTCCAAATAAGAGAAATTGGCCAAAACAAAGGGGCTACAGGCCCCATGCAATTCTAAAATCCAGCAGAGCAGTCAAATCTTAAAGCTCCAGAATGATCTCCTTCAACTCCATGTCTCACATTCAGGTCATGCTGAAGTAGGTGCCCGAGGTCTTGGGCAGCTCTGCCCCTGTGACTTTGCAAGGTACAGCCTCTCTCCCGGCTGCCTTCACAATCTGGCATTGAGTGTCTGCAGCTTTTCCAGGTGCACAGTGCAAGCTGTCAGTGGATCTACCATTCTGCGGTCTGGAGGATGGTGGCCTTTTTCTCACAGCTTCACTAGGTTGTGCCCCAGTAGGAACTCTGTGCGGTGGGTCCCACCCCATAATCCCCTTCCGCACTGCCCTAGCAGAGGTTCTCCATGAGGACTCCACCCCTGCAGCAAACTTCTGCCTGGGCATCCAGGAATTTTCACACATTTTCTGAAATCCAGGCACAGGTTCCCAAACCTCAGTTCTTGACTTCTGTGCACTTGCAGGCTCAACATCATATGGAAGCTGCCAAGGCTTGAGGCGTGGACCCTCTGAAGCCACAGCCTGAGCTGTACATTGGCCCCTTTCAGCCATGGCTGGAGTGGTTGGGACACAGGGCACCAAGTCCCTAGGCTGCACACAGCATGGGGACCCTGGGCCTGGCCCATGAAACTATCTTTTCCTCCTAGGCCTCCTGGCCTGTGATGGGAGGGGATGTTGTGAAGACCTCTGACATGCCTTGGAGAAATTTTCTTCATTATCTTGGGGATTAACATTTGGCTCCTTGTTACTTATGCAAATTTCTGCAGCCAGCTTGAATTTCTTCTCAGAAAATGGGATTTTCTTTTCTATCATTGTCAGGCTGCAAATTTTCTGAACTTTTATGCTCTGCTTCCCTTATAAAACTGAATGCCTTTAACAGCACCCAAGTCACCTCTTGAATGCTTTGCTGCTTAGAAATTTCTTCCACCAGATACCCTAAATCATCTCTCTCAAGTTAAAAGTTCTACAGATCTCTAGGACAGGGTCAAAATGCCACCAGTCTCTTTGCTATAATATAAGAAGAGTCACCTTTACTCCAGTTCCCAACAAGTTCCTCATTTCCATCTGAGTCCACCTCAGCCTGGACTCTATTGTCCATATCACTATCAGCATTTTGGGCAAAGCCATTCAACAAGTCTCTAGGGAGTTCCAAACTTTCCCACATTTTTCTGTCTTCTTCTAAGCCCTCCAAACTGTTCCAACCTCTGCCTACTACCCAGTTCCGAAGTCACTGCCACACTTTTGGTTATCTTTTTATAAGAACCCCACTCCTGGTGCCGATTTACTATATTAGTCCATGTTCACACTGCTGATAATGACATACCTGAGACTGGACAATTTACAAAAGAAAGGTTTATTGGTCTTACAGTTCCACATGGCTGGGGAGGCCTCACATTCATGGCAGAAGGCAAGGAGGAACAAGCCACATCTTATGTGGATGGAAGCAGGCAAAGAGAGCTTGTGCAGAGAAACTCATGTTTTTAAAACCATCAGATCTCAAGAGACTCATTCACTATCAAGAGAACAACATGGGAATGACCCACTCCATGATTCAATCATCTTCCACCAGGTCCCTCCCATGATACATGGGAATTATGGGAGCTACAAGATGAGATATGGGTGGGGACACAGAGCCAAACCATATCACTAGTCATGCTGGCATCTGCTAAGATCTCCAAAATCTGCCCTGGACCTTGGCCACTGATCCACATAGGTCACTGCTACACCATCCCTTGTTCTAAGTCAGGTCGATGAATGTTCCTTGTTACATCTATACTTCTGCTGAATGCATAGAATTCCTGTGCTTCCCTCAACCCTAGGACATTAAGTGGAGCTAAAACCCTGTGGTACTTCAGAGCCACTCTTAGCAGAATAAAGTCATCTTTTTGTCATCACTCTGTGCTGAGTTAAGGGGAAACTCTTGCAAGGCTGTTTAGGTTCCCTCTGTCTAGGCACATCCTGCAGTCATTTCTTCTCTGAGGTTGTGGCACCTCTTTTAGGCTCTGCCAGGGAAGAGAGACACACATTACTTTGCTCTGTAATCCCATAAACCTTCATGTTGTTCTCCAGGGGTTCCTTTCTGGGCTCACTTTTCCCTCATACATTCTCTCTTCCTCAATTCTGGAAGAACTTAATTTAATTGGTGGGGAAGGATAGAAAACTTTGATATAATGCATCACTTTGATCTAACTCATCACATATGTTCTCAAATTTATTGCCTGGTTTCCAAGATTCAAAATCTGAGAGCAGGAGGCCCCTTTCAGGGCCCTTTTGCCCCACTGCCCCCTCCCCCAAGCATGGAAATAAAGGAAAATTTTGAGTCCTCTCAAGGGAAATTCCAGGCACTTGGCTAGCCTTGAGAAATAAATGAGCAACCTGATAAGCAAAAAGGTAATAATAACTTAAAACAATAGCCACCCAAGTAAGTTAGAGACACAGATATTTGGTTCCCTATAAAAACTAAAGATAACATCTTGACATATGTCCCTGAGTTATTTTTCAGAAACGCAGACTCCCACCAGATGGAAAATGTTACATAGGCTGTCACACAGATTGAACTCTGACTGCCATTCCTTGTTCTAATTTTCTTCCTGAGGGGCCTGAAGAAAGTCATGCACACAGTCCAAACCTGAACATTCCTTTCTGTGGACCCCAAGTTTTTAAGACACAGCTTTATTTTCTTAACCAATTGCAAATCAAAGAATCACTGAATCTATTTATGACCTATAAGCCCTGGCTTCAACATATCCTCCTGCCTTTTTGAGCCAAACCAATGTATAACCTCCATGTATTGATTTACAATTTTGCCTATAACTTCTGCTTTCCAGAAATGTACCCCTGCCCTTAAAATCTCTTGCTGATAAGCCATGGGGAGTTTGGGCCTTAAGCATTATCTGACCAATTCTCCTTGCTTGGTATCCTACAATAAATCCTTTTCTTTCTCTCATTGAACATCTTTTTTTATAATTAATGAATAATTTATTTTGTTTTTGTTGCTGCTGTTTACCTACAGCTGTTTATCTCACAGCAAATCTTGATGTCAGCATTTGGCTTTGCTGTGCCAAGTGAGCAGACCCAAGTTCAGTTCAATAACAAATCCAAAAGCCTTTGTTCTCTGCTATTCTTTGAGTTATCTATTCCTTGAGGCAATGAATGACTGAATGGGGGTAGGGATGCAGAGGAAGACCAAGAGGTACAAAAAATATATAGAAAATTTTTAAAAAATATTTTACAATTATTTACCAACTACAAATAGCACTTTTTATTTATTAGTGATGAGGTTCAAGACACATCACCCCAATATATGAGTGTACTGGACTAGAATATATCACCCCAAAATATGCTCCTTTAGCATAAGGATTATGTTGATCTAATTATTTTAAGAAACAGCAGACCTAGGAGAAGCTCTGAAAACAAGAGTAGAAATTACACTTTTGTAAGGAAAATTTGCATTTACAAAGGAAATCTCCAATTTAAGGGTGTTTTCCTCTCTGCACCAGGAAGAGAAGGATGACTGTACATCATTATACATGCCTACCAATGGAGAAGACACTGACTTAAATCTGCATAACAAACCTAATGCTGTTTTATGGTGTTTTGCCTGGCCATCTTGGCAAAGCTGGACCTTCCCCACCCCGCTCCCTTTTTTTTGTTTCGGTAGATGGAATTCAAACCACCTCTTAGAGAATTACTCATTTTCCCTGTGTATCTCCCGTGGTATAAATGAGACATACATGTTTGTTTTTCTGTGGTTAATCTGTCTTTTGTTATAGGAATTTTAGTTGTATCAGCTAAAAATCATGAAAAGTAGAAAAAAAATTATTTTTTCTCTGCTACATTAGACATGCAATAAATATGTGTGTTTGAGGCTGGGTGTAGTGGCTCATGTCTGTAATTCCAGCACTTTGGGAGGTCAAGGCAGGCGGATCACTTGAGGTCAGGAGTTCGAGACCAGCGTGACCAACACGATGAAACCTTATCTCTACTAAAAATACAAAATTAGCTGGGCACAGTGGTGCATGCCTGTAATTCCAGCTACTTGGGAAGCTGAGTGTTATAAATAAACTTTTGGCGCCACAAAAGAAATAGCACTCAAACATAAATTTAATTTTCTCAGCAAGGCAATTTTACTTCTATAGAAAAGTGTGACTCGTGGATGGAGCAATGGTGAGAGCACACCTGAACAAGGGAGGGGAAGGGCTTTTTATTCCTGACACAGGTAGCCCCTACTGCTATGTCGTTCCCTTATTGGCTAGGGTTGGACCACACAGTCTAAGATAATTCTGATTGGCTATTTTAAAGAGAGAAGGAGAACAAGTCGGAGTGGCGGGGTGAGTAGTTTGGTGGGAAGGGCAGTTACAGAAAAGAGAACTCAGGATGATTCAGGTCAGAGCAGGTGACCAGGGATGACTCAGATGGAACAGATGACCAGGGGTGACTCAGGACAGAGCAGGTGACCAGGGGAACAGATGTGAACTGCTGATTAGAACTGGTGGAAAAAGTTGTTTACTGAAACTATGGGCGAGGAGAATGAGGAAGTTAAACTTTAAAATGGAGAACAAAGAACTGAACATACTGACATACTGATTCTTTGAAGAGAAATTTAGAACTCACTGTATTCAACATGAGGCAGGAGAATCACTTGAACCCTGGAGGTGGAGGTTGCAGTGAGCCGAGATCACGCCATTGCATTCCAGCCTGGGCAACAAGAGTGAAACTCGGTCTCAAACAAAACAAAACAAAACAAAACAAAACAAAACAAAACAAAACAAAACATGTTTGAATCTGCTTAACACAACATTTTTAGACGGACCTCTTTTGATGTTCCTAAATCAGGCTGTTAAGGACTATCTTCCATGGGAAAAGGTGACTTAAGAGTGGCAATCACTGATACAGTAAAGTTCTGCTTTGCTGCTTTGCAAAACTTTGCTTTATTCTCATTTTCTGGGGGGGATGTATCCTAAGCCTTAGGCAAGAATTACTTAAATTTAAAATTACACTTAGGTACATGAATATTCATAGCAGCATTAGCCATAATAGTAAAAAACTGGAAACAACCCAAATGTCCATCAATTGATAAACGGGTAAATAAAATGTGGCATATCAATGCAATCAAATATTGCTCAGGAACAAAAGGAATGAAGTACTGATACATGCTGCAACATGTATGAACCTTGAAAATATTATGCTAAGTAAAAGAAGAAAGTCACAAAGGACCACATATTATATAATTCAATTTATATAAAATGTCCAGAATAGACAAACCCACAGAGACAGAAAGTAGATTGTGGTTGCCTAGGAACATGCAGAGAAGGAGGGATACTGGGATTGGGATTTGTGTTAGTCTGTTTTGCATTACTATAAAAGAATACCTAAGGCTGAGTAGTTTGTAAAGAAGAGAGGTTTATTTAGCTCACAGTTCTGCGGCTGTTCAGGAAGCACGGTGTCAGCATCCGCTCTGCTTCTGGTGAGGCCTCAGGGAGCTTACAGTTATGGTGGAATGCAAAGAGGGAGCTGGCATATCATATGGCAAGAGAGGAAGTGAGAGAGAGGGGAGAGGCCCCAGGCTCCTTTAAACAATTAGCTGTCACGTAAACTAATAGAGCAAGAACTCACTCATCACCAAGAGGATGGCTCAAGCCATTCATGAGGGTTCCACTCCCATGACCCAAACAGCTCTCATCAGGTCCCACTTCCAACATTGGGGATCAAATTTCAACATGAGATTTGGAGGGACAAATATGCAAACCATATCAGGTGTTGATGGTGAAGGGGTGCTGTGTTTCTTTTTGGGGTATTGAAAATATTCCAGAATTTATTGTGGTGATGGGAGCACAACTCTGTAAGTGTATAAAACCTGTTGAATTAGACACCTTAAAAGAGTCACTTGTAGAGTATGTGAACTATACCTCATTACAGCTGTTAGAAAAATGTATACCTTGGTGGTCAAATTGTAGTAGCTAGTGGTGGCTTCAGTTTGCGGAGTTAGAAGAGTAAAGTCAAATATGAGGGTTTTTATATTTTGGGTAACTTTTTCATTACCTAAAAGTGAAATTTTCTCTTTTTGTGGATCTTAGGTGGAATGTAATGTAAGGGAGAAAACCTTTCTCTCTACCCTCTTAAGGTTTGATCATTGAGTCTGGGAAGTAAATAGACAGTAGATAGATTAACAGGAAAAAACAATTTTAATTATGTGCATAGGCATGGGAATCTCACAAAAGATGAGACTCAAAGAAGGGCTAGATGATTAAAGTTTATATAGCATCCTGAGCTACAGAAAGGAATTGGGGCTTGGAGCTTAATTTGGGGGTGGGGCATGACACAAATTATGGGAGGGAAAGGAGAGGAAATGCATGGTGAATAAAAGTTGTCTTGTTATGCAGATAAACAGTCTCCAGAGTAATAAAGGTTGTCTTGGAGCACCCCTCAGAACAGGTGATAGTTTGTGATAATGTCTGGGCTTGGCAATTACCTTCAGTCTGTTCTCCTCCTGTGATACAGTTAATTTTTCCTAATTAATGAGATTCCTGGGGAGGAAACTCATGGCAATTGAGTGCCTTTTTGGAAGATCTATCTTTAGGCAGACGAGGCAAGTTCAGAGACCACCCTTCCCTGTGCTTTTGAAACAGGGGTGAGAGACAGCAGGGCAGAAGTTCAGGGAGGCTTTTTGGTTCTCCCTTAGTTCAAAGCACTCTGCATGAAAGCCCCAAACTTTGGGGTATCATTTTCAGAGCCCCAACAGTAAACTTACAAATTTGCCTATTTGTGTAGACTTGCCTCTTGAGGGTCAGTAGTCAGTATTTTTCTTACTCAGTGAAATTTCAAAATTTACAGAATTGAAATCACTCGGACTTAAATTTTAAAATGTACTTGTGTAAAGAAGATACATATAGTAAAATCCTTTGAAAGCAGACATTGAATCTTTCTGAAAAATGATAGGACATTTGCAGTTTTTATGTGATGATCTAGTTAAATCCATTTGATTTCTTCCCCCTGTTCTGCCTTCTCTTACTGTCCATTCCTCTTCTGGTAGAAAGAGTTGACTGCCTGTGTACAGGTGGCAGAGTTGTTTTCTGTTCATCAGAGTCAGTAGTAGTAAAATTCAGTTGCTGGATTAGCCAAGTGTGCTCTGAATTCTGACCTCTTCAATACAATAACATTTTGCATGACTAAGTCTGTACAGTTTGTTCCAAAACATTACCCTGCAAAGCAGTCTGCAAAGCAGCTTGATCCATGCTTGGACAGCCATCCCCAGCTTGGTCCTCCAGGTTTGTGGACAAGGATCTGGGACACTGAGGGCTTGTAGAGAGTAGATATGGATTGGATTAAGCACAAATGGCAACCCTAGACTACACAGGAAAGTCGTAGTCGGCCACACCTTGGGCTTCCTATGACAGCAGCATATCAGTGCTAACGAGCCAGGGCTTGCAAGCCAAGGCACACCAATGCATTTGCAAACTCCAGAGTCACCATAAGAAAGTCATTTATTCCAACGCTTGTAGAGAGAGGCTGCTTGTCTCTAACAGTATATGTGCAGTGTTGAAAGTAAATCTTTAGATAAGTTAAATTTAACCAAATTTAATTGAGCGAAGAATGACTTGTCAATAGGGCAGCTCTCAGAACCAGCAGAAGTTGAGAGAACTCTGCTCCCCGATATGGGCTGACAGCAAATGAACAGAAAATGGAAGTGAGGTACAGAGACAGCTTGGTTGGTTACAGCTAGGTGTTTGCTTTATTTGAGCATGGTCTGATCAGTTGGTAACCTATAATTGATTGGAGGTTTGCTGCTGTGTTTTACTGCTGAGGCTCAGCTATTAGCTACAAAAATATATTAAATTAGCTTTCAGTCAGTTCATACCAAGTTAGGTTGCATGCAGTTCATTACATAGGGACTCAAGGTATGGAGTCAGCCTCAGATCAAGTTTAGATTAATTAAACAGTGGAGAGAGGGCAGATGTCAGTTTCAGAATCATGGCTGATTGGAAAATGTTTTCCCTTTCTGGACTTTTTGGGTAGGGAGACCTTTCCTTCTCAGATCCTCCAAAAGGCCTTCCTATCTCCACCAACAACAACTCCAAGAAATGTCTTTTTATTTTTAAATACATGCTCAGAGAATACAGAGAATCCAAAAGAAGGAATTAAAAAAAAGTAACAAACTAAGACATAGTCATTGTCACTACTTTGGTATATGTTAATGCTATCTAACAGAAGTAGAAGGTGAATGACAAATATGAGTCATATATTTAATTAAAAAATTTAATGTAGCCAGGTGCAGTGCTCTTGCCCATAATCCCAGCACTTTGGGAGGCCAAGACGGGAGGACTGCTTGAGCCTAGGAGGTCAAGACCAACCTGAGCAACATAGTGAGAACCCCCAGCTCTACAAAACAAAAATACTGTACTCCCATTAAAAAAGGTTTAAAAAGGTGAAATTAATGTTAATAATACTTTAAACTTGATATATATTATTTTATCATACAATCAACTTAAAAATTATTATTATTATTATTATTTTTGAGACGGAGTCTTGCTGTTGTTGGCCCGGGCTAGAGTGCAATGGCATGATCTTGGCTCATGGCAACCTCTGCCTCCCGGGTTCCAGCAATTCTCCTGCCTCGGCCTCCCGAGTAGCTGAGTTTACAGGCACCTGCCACCATGCCTGGCTAATTTTTGTATTTTTTATTAGAGACAGGGTTTCACCATGTTGGCTAGGCTGGTCTCGAACTCCTGACCTCAGGTGATCCACCCACCTCGGCCTCCCAAAGTGCTGGGATTACAGCTGTGAGCCACCGTGCCCAGCAACTTAAAAATTATTAATAGGATATTTTACATTCTTTCATACTATCTTTGTTTTTTATTATTTTATTTTATTTTAGAGACAGGGTCACCCAGGTCGGAGTATACTGGTGTGATGATAGCTCACTGCAGCTCGGACCTCTCAGGCTTAAGCAATCCTCCAGCCTCGGCCTCCCAAGTAGCTAGGACAACAGATGTGCACCACCATGCTGGGCTAATTGTTTTGTTTTTTGTAGAGACAGGGTCTATATGTTGTCCGGCCTCTTTCATATTGTCTTTGAGACCCAGAGTGTATTTTGCATGTACAGCACATCCCGCCATGTTTCCAACTGAGGTGCTCAATAGCTGTGGCTGGCGCCTATTGTACTGACCAGCACAGATGGATATTGTTGTGAATCTTTACCCCAAATTTGGTTCAGATGCTATACCAAAGGAGGGCACACCCAGGCTTTCTGAGCAGCTTGCCCAGGTGTGGGTGTGGTGCAGAGAGGTAAGAGAGAGAGGCAAGGCTTAAAAGCTGTCCACAGTTACACATCAAAAAAAAGGAGTCAGACTCTATATATACATTATATTAATATTTATATCTATCTATCTATCCATCCCTATATCAGACCTCAAGGAAATATATTCAAAACTACATGTTGAAAAAATTAAGCAGAGAGAAGTAGATGGGAAGGTACTAAAAATGCAAGACTTAGCAAAAGAAGGCTGTATATATATAGCAAAAGGGGACACACAACAACCCCTCCCACTAGCAAATGCAGCCCAATCATTGCCCCTAAAACAGAACCTTGCACTTGCTTCTCCTTTCCTGAAATGCGCCTCCTGCCCCAAGGCACACAGCTTCTCCCTCACTTCTTTCTGTTCTCTGTTCAAATCTCACCACACCTACCTCTTCTGAGGGGCTTTCCTTGTTCATGCTATCTAAATTAGAGGTTCCTCTGCCCCTGTGATTCTTAATGTTACTGCAAAGCAGCTACCACTTAAAGAATTTGTAGTCTATCTCCCCTGAATAAACTGGAAGCTCAAAACGGGGGAGTTCAGGTCTGTTTTGTCTGCTGGTTTGGCCCCAGAATTTAGAAAAGAGGCCGGCACACAGTAGATTCTCAGTAAAATAGTGTTGAGTGAATGGTTGCTTAGGAGAAGGAAACAGGGAGGGTACTTGGAAAAAAGGAGCAAGAAGGCCACCATTGGTGAGAATAAGTGTTTTATAAAACACAGGTTATGGTTTTCCTTCTTTAAGAAAAGTAGTTTTGTTTTCAAGTGCCAAGAATAACATTAGGCTACTAAGGATTTCTGGACTGCTTTGGGGTTTGTTTTAATGAATAGATGGAAATTACATCTATTTAGCATTAATTTTTATGTGTAAGTGGGTACACCCGAATTGAATAAAAGCAGTTCTCTTGAATAATTAAAACATCCTCTTCACCCTGCAAAGCATTTAGCACACTCCTCTCCCAAAAATTCTATTAATGGCAACTAAAATCATAAGGTTTAAATGCAAAATAAAGAAGGCATTTTTCTTTATGGTGGCACAGAAGTGAATACCTCAAAACCGGGCAGACCCGAGAGTCAGATACCAAGGGTTCTGTGGAGTCAACATGATGGTCTCTGATAACATCAAAAGTTAGGAATGTTTTACTAAAAAGAATATAGGAAGAATAAAGAATTCTTGTTTACAGTAGAATTCAAACTAATAAACATAGAAAGAAGGATAGAAATAGAAAATCACCATTAGGCGAAATTACTGTTGCTTGCAAGCAAGTATCATCTACGTATGACAAAATCTGTTGGTAGAAGTATGATGAGAAAAAGGGTACTAACATAGTCTTAAAGGGTCTCTCCACAAGATATATTAATTCCAAAAGAAAAAAAGAGTACTACAGGGGAGAACACTGGTGGACAGACACAACCTAAACAAAGTGATCAAAGTTAATTTCACCAGTACTGAGAGACATTGATTTCATGCCCCTCCTGATGAGATTCACTGAGAAGGGCACAGTATTACTGCTGTAGGATGCTTGACAAAAATGTAGAACCCAAATTTAATCATGAAGAAACATGAGACAAATGTCACTTGAGGGACATTTTACAAAATAACTGCTCCTAGCTCTTCAAATGTGTCAAGGTAATGCGTGGTTAAGGAAGACCAAGGAACCTTCCCAGACTTGAGGTGATTATAGGGCATGAAACTAAATTCAGTGTTGTGTCTTAGATTGTATCCTGGACGAGGAAAAGCACATTGGTGGAAAAATTAGCAAAATTTGAATAAGGTCTATCTATTAGGTAGTAGTATTGATCAATGTTAATTTTACTGTTTTGGATAACTATACCAAGTTTATGTTAACATTAGAGAAACCCGGTGATAGTAATATGGGACTTCTGTGAACTATTTTGGCCATATTTTTCTAATTCTGAAATTAATTCAGAATGAAAAGTTGAAAAGAAAGTATCTTTAGTTGGCAATCTTCTGGGAATTTGAACAGGAACTGCCAAAATGGGAGTCAGGAGACCCAGGCTCAAGTTTGAGCCCTGGCATTAATCCTGGTGTTTGGGCACGGCACCAAACTCTGTCCTTCTGTTTTGTCATCTATAAAACTGTGTTCTGCAGAATTTAGGAGTGTTGAGAAGAGGCCTTAGGGCTCTCAGTGGTGAATAGGGGACAGGGAATGAGTGGGTGTGAGGCTCCAGCCAGAGCAGCTCTGCTTTTGCCTACTTTATATATAGGACTTCATAAAAAACTAACTTTTAATTATGCAAAAAATATATATTTTCCTTGTAAGAAATTAGAACGTTGCAGATGCAACTAAAGCCCCTTTGGCCACCATACTCCCCAATTCCTGTGTATCTTGGAATTGCATTTAAGATTTCCATTTGAACAAAGGGACCCTGGCTCAAACAAGTTGGGGGACCATTGGGCTGGTTAACCCTTAAACACCCCAAACACTCAATAAAGAGGAGTTTCAGGGAAATGGACAAGCCATGGCTGGAGGATGTTCTACAAGGTTGAGCAGAAACCCATGCAATAATTTGCTGAAATAGGGCATTGCTCTGAGTGCTGTGATTCCAGGGAGATGTCACTGCTGTGTGCTGGCTGTATGCCCAGCAAAGGGCTGGTGGCTGGAAGGACATAGCTTTCTGAGTTAGGACTGGAAGGCTTCTGTACATGTCCAAAGTCAACCTTCATATTCATGGGGAGGGAAAAAGAAGTGGGCTTTAGGATTGCCTCTCCTTGTTGGCCTGCTCTGAGAAAAACAATCGCGGGAGGGTGAGGCGGGAGAATCGCTTGAGCCCAGGAGTTTGAGGCTGCAGGTTAGAAGCTGCCGTGAGCTTTGATTGTGCCACTGCACTCCAGCCTGGGCGATGGAGCACTGGGTCCTGTGAGCCTTGACTCATTTAACCCCCACAGCACCCAGTAGATGGTGGCACTATTAGCATACTTGTTTTAGAGGTGAGGACACACACACAAAGAGATAAGGAATTGCCTAAGAGCAAAAAGCTGGTAAGTGGTGAGCCCAGGTGTGAGCCTTGCTTCAGGATCAAGTGCGCACCCCTGTGCTCTGGACTCCTTCCAGGTGTTGTTTCTCTTGCTGGCATTTTAACTTCATTACACCTATCTGTATGTTGGTCGTGGGAAGGAGGAAGCTCACCGAACACTGTGGCTTACCCAAGATTTGTCCCTCGACTTTCCCTCTTCACCAAACCCCAGAGCCACTGGCGGAATGTTCAGTTCCTTGGAATCCCACATGCCCGGGTTAGCTCCTTTTGCAAGCAGCCTGATGGATAGAAGTGAAGGGATGGTGCTCCTTATGAAAGGAGACGGGGGAGCTTAGTGAGCAGCGGCAGGGCCCTGCAGCCCGTCACACGCTAGCATCCACCGGGTTGAGTGGCTGCGCACGACCGCGGCGGGCGGGCGGGCGCGCTGCCGGAACGCTCTAGGCCTCCTGCGGAACCCAGGCCTGCGTGAAGGTAAATGCAAATCAGCTCCGCCCAGCGCTTCCCGCAGAAGGAGGGTTTTCTGTGTGCGCGTCTGGTTTCCTCCGCCTTCAGCCAGAATGCTGGCTTTATTTTTGCGGTTTATGAGCTTGAGACAGGGAATTCATTTCCTTGGTATAATATGACCCTCTGGAGAAAGTCTTGTCCAGATATATTTTGCTCCCAAACGCCGCCCTAGAAGAAGGACTACACTGAAATGAAACGGAGATGATTAAAGTCTGATTTATAGGTAAGGTGAATTGGTAGGATTATGCCAAATTCATTACATCCAGAGAAGGTGAAAGGGAATGAAAGGGCTCCTCCCGGGAGATGGAAACCTTTGTAAAAATAAATATTTATGGTGCACATACCTTTAACTCAGCTAGTAGCCAGGTTATATTTTATTATATTCACCACCATTTCCCTTTTCTGTTTCTCACCAGGCTGTACAAGCCCTGAAAGCAAGAACGGGGTTCACGGCATCTTGATACCCCCATGTGGGGACGTTTTGGCGATTTTATTTACAAGAAAGGGATTTTACACCGGAGAGGCTTTTAAATATGCTAACAGACTGGACCAGCTTTCTCATCCCCACTGGCTGATTAATGATTCCTCCATGCCAACCCGGTTCTCAGAGACACCAAGGCCAGGTAAAAACCACCCCTTCATCCCCTAAACCTTGCAAGAAGCACAGGGTCCAGAATTATGCTTCTTTCAGGTTCTAAATAGCACAATAAAACTAATAACAATAAGCTTTTAGTTATTAGATCAGGTACATTTTACTTTACAGTAAGCTTTTACTTATTGGATCAGGTACATTTTAAAGCAATTTTTGAACATTATTTCATTTGATCCTCACAACCACACTATGAGGTAGGTACTATCATTCCATTTGAAGGATGAGAAAACTGAGGCTCGAAGATGTTAAATAACTTGTTCAAGATCACAGCTAGTCAGTGGACATAGCTGCCATTCACTGAGTGCTTCCTGTGAGCCAGGCACGGTGACCATCACATTAAACCAATTATTTATTTCATGCAATAGTGCCCTTGATCCTTAGGAAGTGGCCTCCAGTGCTTAGAATTCCAAGCATTTGGTCCTCTGGAGATGAGAAACCATGGGAAGGCAGGGGCTCACTCACCCCTGTATCCAAAAAGTTGAGGATGGTGCCAAGGACAGAGACGGTACCAGGGACTCCAAAAATACTGAATGAAAGGACAGTAGAGGTGCTTTCCTGTGGGATCCCCAATCTCTCCCCGCCTTCAGGTGAGTCCTGCTGATGCTCAGGCTGCCCTTGGAACAGGGACCTTGGCCATAGTTTCCTTATCTGTAATAATGGGATGAGAATTCCTCCTGCACAGGGTTGTTAGGGACCTCGTGAGGCAGCTTCTATGGCTGCCTTTGGTGCTTAGTTTTCTCACTTTCTTCTTGAACATGGGAGTGGGGAGACGGACTCCTAAGGGTATGACACTTGAAGATTTCAGGAGGGGGCCTGCAGGTTTATGTCCTCACTTGTTTTACACCTCACAGAGGTCAGCGAAGCAGGGTATCACCAAAGCCCCACCTGATGTCTCTGGAAATCGAGTACTCCGTGTCTTCACCAGGCCCATGCCAGCTGTGAGGGGCAGAACCAGGTTTTCTGACACCAAACCCCAGGTTTCTTCCTGTGCTGGCATGGGTCCTTTTTCTGACTTGGCCAGCAGCCTCTCATAGATGGGGGTCTGATTAAATAGTTCTGGTGATGGGTGGAGTGATGGTTGCACAACAATATGAATGTATTTAATGCCACTGAACTGTACACCTGAAAATGGTTAAAATGTTACATTTTATGTTATGAATATTTCACCACAATAAAAAAAAGAAACAAATATGGATCTGTCTCTCTCACATGTCAAGAAATCTGGGGTAGGTAGATACAGTGGTTGGTTCAGCTGCTCCATGATGCCATGAGGATCTGGAGTCTGGCTTTTTTCTTTTCTTTTCTTTTTCTTTTTCTTTCTTTTTTTTTTTTTTGAGACAAAGTCTCACTCTGTTGCCCAGGCTGGAGTGCAATTGTGTGATCTCTGCTTACTGCAAACTCTGCCTCCTAAGTTCAAGTGATTCTCCTGCCTCAGCCTCCCAAGTAGCTGGGATTATAGGAGTGTACCACCATGCCCAGCTAATGTTTGTACTTTTTTGGTAGAGACGGGGTTTCACCATGTTGACCAGGCTGGTCTTGAACTCCTGACCTTAGGTGATCTGCCCACCTCAGTCTCCCAAAGTGCTGGGATTACAGGCATGAGCCACAGCGCCTAGCCTGAAGTCTCTAGCTTGAGTTTTTGCATGATGGCTTTCATACTGGGCACAAGGTGTCCTCTGAAGCTTCTCGAGATTTTTTTCTGCTCAAGAGAGGAGGATGGAAGGAAAGGGTGATGCTAGACATGGCTCTGTCTTTCATCAGAAAAGCCAAAGCTTCTCAGCAACCCTCCCAGCAGAATTTTCTTATATCTCATTGGCCAGAACTCAGTGTTTTGGCTTTGCTGGGCAACAAAGGTGGCTGAAAAAGTGGTCGCTAAACTTACCAACATTTAGAGCTGAAGAGGGCATCGGGGAGAAAACAGTTGGGAATGAGTATTGATTGGAAAACCAGCAGGCTGTTTCCAACACCCTGCTCAAGGTCACAAGTCTGTTATGTAACCATAGTTGGGACTGGAGTCTGCTCCTCTGATTCCCAGTCCTAAGATCTTTGGCTTAGACATTTAGTACATTTTGTAGTGGCTAGATTTACAATAAAAAGGACAGTCCTGGAGACTATCTTTAAAGAAGAAAAACTCTGCATTGCATGCACTGAAATTAATCGAATGCTAAGAGGTCATGTCGCAAAAGCACTGGGCATGGTGGGAGCCAGAACATCTCACCTCTGCCCCAGGCTGGCCAGAAATTTGGGGAAAGGTCCCAGTTCTCAGTGCTTATGAAATGTGATTAGTTATTTATTTTTTAAAAATCTGGTTAGTGTTGTTCATTAAATGTCCGTTAAGTACTTTGGTAACTGCAGATGAAAGACCCTGTAGGGGGACAAACACTTGTTATTAACAACCATATGCTGTCAAGTGTGGGCTTATAACACGGGACCATATGCTCCAAAGGTTGGCAAAGAATGACAGAAGCCACCCACCATTCCTCCAGGCCAGGAGCAGAGTGGCATAGGGCTCCAGGGGACACTGAAAATCAGGAATGTAAACAAACACCCCTATTATAATTACCCTGCCATTGCAAGGAAGCCTGAATGTGCACACTTGGATTTTTGGGATAGCAGGAAATTGGACTGCATTCCCTCTGATCCCACCATCTCCTCCTTCCATGGGAAGCACCAAGGGGAATTTGCAGGCCCTGCCCATTCTTTAGCCCAAAGTTGGCACCCTCTCTTCTCTGATGAGTCTTCCTGGATGGTGCTGGGTTACACAGATCCTTCTTTTTCATTCTCACCCCAGGCTACCATATATCCTGAACATTTTAGCGTGTAATGATAGTGAAGTTAACTTTTCATCCTGCCTTATAAGCAGTGTTAGGAGTGGGCACTGTTTGGGAGACACAATGCAAGGCTTTTTGAAACTTCCCAACCCTGAGGGCTAGCACATGTCCATATATACGGCAAACTCTCAATAAATACTAGAGCTGGACCTAAGAGCTGAGATGTCCATGGCTGTACCAGGTTAGAGTTTTATTTCATGATTCTTGGGATACCAGTAGAGTCGATTCCAGGATAGAGGGTGGAATAAGTGAGAGCTTCCACCCCTAAAAAAGGCACAATGCAGTTCAGTGCCCTTGCAAAGGATCCTTCCTTGTCAGATTACAGGGACATCCCCTGAGCTCAGGAAGACACTGACTTTGGAAATACTATAAGGGGAAAGAGCAACTCTGCAAAATTTGGAATGGGATCACTTCAAGAAAGGGCAATGCTTAAATGATAGGGGAAAAAATGCACCCCTGGTAGACTTGCAAGCAGAGTACTCAAATCAGCTGAGAATGCCCAAAATATGATTACAAAGAAGAGTTTTTATTAGTTCAGCCTCAGAATGCAAAAATAAATAAATAAATAAACAAACAGGAAACAAATGTAATCACTTTACAGAGCGCACATACATTACTTAAAAGTAGCACCTTCATGGAGCCATATTTTCTGGTCATAATTGTGTATCAGGTTCATTCATGCTAATGAGAAAGGGATTCCAGATTTTCTTTGCATCTGTCTGCTTCTCACAGGGCTGTTAAGAAGCCACCTGCCATTCTGACAATTTCATGTCCTTAGCCATAACTACTTGTCCTCTCTCTTGAATCTTAAGATCTTTTTGCCTTCCAGACACTTACGGTGTTTCTGTGTCATCCTCCTGTGTCTTTTAGAGAGGTGGGGGTGAGGACTGCCATGGAAGCTAAAGCTGAATTTTAATTTCAATCATTTTTTTTTTTGAGACAGGGTCTCATTCTGTCACCTAGGCTGGTATGCAGTGGCACAATCACGGCTCACCATAGCCTTGACCTCCTGGGCTCAAGAGATCCTCCTGCCTCATCCTCCTGAACAGCTGGGACCACAAGCATGAGCCACCACGCCTGGCTAATTTTAAATTTTTTTTGTAGAGACGGGGTCTTGTTATGTTTCCCAGGCTGGTCAATCATTTTTTTCTAGCCCTTTTAAAATTCAGGCATCCAAAGATTAAACTTGCTTAGAAGTGTAAGTGGCCCTAAATTGCTTTATCAACACCATCTCCAGGAAGTCTTCACAGACATGGGAACTAGCATCTTGTTCTCCTGGATCTTCTCAACAGGTTTGCATTGTCAGGTTTCCATGTAAGTATCTCTTGCGTTCCCATCCATCACAAGTGTATGATGGCACTGGTATCAGAACACTGCATTCTTCCTGATTGTCATAAAACTGATGTACTTGCAGCCTTGCTTGAAAAGTTGTCAGTACAAATAAAATTAAATTCACATTTTGCATAATAGGGACTGATCCTGATGGATCAGGTCATAAGAGTATGAAACATTCCATACATCCTGGCAGACAAACGTTAAATAACAGTAATATACTAATAAATACATAAATTACTTAAATATTTAAATAGCATGAAGGCCCATGGCAACTTGAGAGCTGGAAAATCTATACATAAATTAGCTGATTGTTTCAATGAGCATTTAGCATCTAACTATACAAATACAGCAAAGATATCATTGTGATCCTAAAAAAACGTTTTAAAGCAAATCAGATAGAAATTATCTTTTTGGGTCTATTCCGTTGTGTCTTTAAACATTTTGCTTAATATCTTCCACTTTTCCTCCAAATTTTCATCCTGGATCAGAACCTGGAAGAGAATGCCAAAAGTTGATGTGGGGTGACATTGTAACAGCAATGTCTCTTCTTATTTCTCACAACATATGATCCTGGGCAACTGGGTTTCAGGGATTTCATGCCAGAAGGCCCAGGCCTTCCTTATGTGGCCTGGAATTTGGCTGGCACCATGCTTGCCAGAGGCTTTCTTGAGGGTTTTCTTAAAATAATATCTGATTGTGTTACTTCCTTGCTGAAAACCCTTCAGTGGGTTTCAGGGCCCGGGGCCCCCAGAACAAGATTCTGAGTCCTGCAAGCTTGCAAGTCCTCCATGCTCTGCCTCCTGGCTACCTCTCTCTTTTCTTTGCCTTTCTCTTTAGGAGGCCAGAACCCCGGTCTGTTTTCTTTCCTGCAATATCCCTGTGGCCAGCACAGTGTCCTACATAACAAAGGCACCAAATAAATATCTGTTAGTGAATAAATGTATGTTTCTGATTCTGGCAACTGGGTGCTGGCCACTCCATCCCCCTTTCCTCTCCAACACAGCCCCCAATCATATCCCTGCATCCAGGTGCACTGAGAGTGCAGGCCTGGGCTGGCCTTTGAGGGCCTGCTCACCTAACTGCAGGGCACAGATGCCCATTCGCTCCAAGATGAGCTATAGTAGCGGTCCTGGGCCCGCACGCTAATGCTGGCATTTTTGCGGCAGATGACCGTGGCTGAGGTCTTGTCCGTGAAGACTCTATCTTTCTGCAAAAGAGAAGGAAAGCTGTGAAGACCCCTTGGCAACATAGTCACAGGGTAAGCTGAGCCTGTTTCTGCAATGCATACTCTCCCAAAACAAGCCCATCTTGGTCTTAGGGCACTGTGCTTGCAATTCACAGGGGTGTGCATAGAACTTGCACCACCTACTGGCAGACACTCCACATGTAGGTGCAGCTTTTGTACTTTGTAAGCCCTTGAGGGAGAAATCGTTTGGCCCAGCTTTCATCTTTCTAGCACAATTGCCTTGCCTCAAGACCCCATGGCCACTCACCCAGTCCTGAGCTGATGGTGAGAGAGAGACAGATTTGCTCTAGCCATCCCTGAGATATTGAGAAATACCATATCCTGATCATTTCATCAGAAAACTTGCCTTCAAATTCTGGCACTGCTACTTAATAGCTGTGTAACTTCAGGAAAATGTCTTAGGTTCTCTGTGTCTGTTTCCTCACTTATAAATAGGGATAACAATAATGCCTACTTCATAGAATTATAGTTCAAGGTAAAAATCACGTCAAACTCTTAGCAAGTCTTTAGCACATAGGAAGCACTCAATATCACCTATTAGTCATACAGATCTTAAATAGGGAAAGTACTTGCCAAGATGTAAAATAATATTTAGGTAAATATCTATTCCAGGATAGCCTCCCTACCTAATTATTTTCCCAGAGAGTAACTAGCTCACTGAATTTCTACCACATGCTAAATGCTATGCTGAATTAGGGCTTTGTCCAGTGATTTTAAAAGTGGGGTGAAAGGAGTCTGGGGCGGTACAAAAGGGCCTCTGGAACCTTGCAACAGGCAAAGGAATTCTGCTGTAAGGTGAGGAAGCTGGGAAGCCAATATCTTAGCCTCTATAAGTGTAGACATTCTGTTTAGTAAAATAATTTTATAATATCTGGAACAGCCAGGAGCTATCCATTTTGGGGGCGATATCTCTTGCCTGTTCTATCATTCATTACATGCACTCAGTTGAAACAACAATTTTAGGCTTCTGGAGCCCAGGTCTCCTCTATCAGGACTAATTCTGAGTGCCAAGATCAATGACCAACATCAGAGGTAGTGGAGTGGTTAGGTGCATGGCCTTTCTGTCTGGCAGATTGAGTTTATGTCTTGGTTATGTCATTTCCTAGCTGGGTGACCTTGGTAAAGTCACTTAACCTCTCTGAGTCTTCAATCACTTGTGAAATGATGATAATACTACTGGCTACCAACCATCCTTTTCTTGGGGTTGGGCTACTGTCCAATGAGCACGTAGTGAGGGCAGTGCTGCTAACACCTACACAAAATTCCTGCATCAGCTACAGCTTTACTTTACCTTGCCACAGTTTCTGGAAAAAAGGAAAGCCTCTTTTCCACAAAAAAGGGGGTAAAAAAACAAGAATAACATCAGCTACCTTTGTTGCGTTAATTTTGTAGATTAAGTGAAATAAACATGGAAAACCCTTGGCACAGCTCTAGACACATAGAAAAGTGCTAAGAAAAGTAATTATGCATCACATAATAACATTTCAGTCAAAGAAGGATCACATATATGACCAGTGGTCCTATATTGTTATAATATTGTATTTTTGCTATATCTTTTCTGTTTAGATATACAAACCATTGTGTTGTAATTGCCTACAGTATTCAGTACAGGAACATGCTGTACAGGTTTGCAGCCTAGGAGCAATAGGCTATACCATAAAGCCTAGAAGCGTAGTAGGCTATACCATCTAGGTTTGTGTGGGTACACCATATATGTTTGCACAATGATATAGCTGCCTAAAGATGAATTTCTCAGAATGTATCCCTGTTGTTAAGTGATACATGGATGTCATTGTTATTATCATCATTCATCTTCTCACTTTATGGTGGGCCTCCGTAAAACTGACCAAGGAATATACTGCACCTGAATCACTTCTTACCTTTTCTCTCTTGCTCTTGCCCTGGACCTGAACGCAGAATGTCAGGGAGAAGTAGGAATGTGGAGTACTCCAGGTGTCAGGGTACTCCCAGCTGACCTCCACCTGCCGAGAATTCTTTAATGGCTTCAGCTGCAAGTTCTTGGGTGGGTCAGGTTTGACTGTGGAAGAGGATAAACATGCTTTATTTTCCTAATAAGGCTTTGGAGTTCAGTGGTTTTGGCTTATGATCTCACTTGCACCTTTGATCAGCTGTGAGTCCACTGGATAGTTACTTAACTTCTGTGAGCACCTGGCTGGCAAATGTGAGGCACCTCTGCCGCAGGTGCTCACGCTGGTGCCTCGGGAAGGCAGTCATTATCAATGGCCACATCTCAGATCCACATGTATTGCAGGATCTGAGAGATGCTCAGAATCCTCATCACTGAACAATCAGATGGGACCGCACAGTGAGAAGACCTCTGCTTTAATGGTTATGGGCCATGCATTGAAGGACCACCCTGTCTGTGCTAATCCCTCACTTTGCACTGAACATGGAACTAAGCTGAGCCTCTCCCTGGGGATGAGATGATAGATTTTCTATTTACTGCCCTTTCTTTTGTCTTTTCATAGCTTTTGGTGCGGACATGTCTTGGAGCAGTTACAGTCAATTGTCTCTATGCTCAATTTGCTTGTTTATTCCATGAATACTGAGCGCCCATTATGTTCCAGCCACTGGACTGTGCATGAAGGATACAGCAGTGAGTTTCACAAAGACTCCTTCCTCAATTAGGTCTTCTAGATAAGAGGAGGCAGAGACATGCTAGGGTGTGTGGTTGGGCTCTGTAGGCCTGGCACTGCTCCACACAAAGATCACGGCTCCTAGCAGGTGCTTCGCACATATGCTTCCCTCTGCTCTTAACACAACTGACATCTTTCCTTTTGGTGTCAGCTAAATGTCACCTCCTCAGAGAGGCCTTCCTTGGCCACCCTATGTGAACTAGACCCCACCCACCAAGTACAAACCCTCCATAAGTTTTGAAGCAAGTTCTCTGGTTCTATTACACTTTATCATGCTGCCTGGTCAATGAATAAATAGTAAAGGAAATGACTTATGGTGAAATCCCTATCTGCCAATTAAAAAAAAAGATGTCCATTTTGGAAGGGTTTATATTCTAAGAAAGAAGTCCCTTTTCAAATGCTAAGGAAGGATTGGTTGGGAATAATTGCCATTAGTAAGGAAGCCCTGGTTCTGAATATGAATATTATGCTTGATTAGGCTCTGGGATTCATCATGGAAACTATCTGGCAGCTGAATCAAAGTGCAGTAAAGAGCAGCTGTAGTGGAGTGGATCTGGATTTGAACGGCTAGCTGTAAGATCTGAGATCTGGGGCAAGTTGCTTAACTTTTCTAAGACTCAATTTCCTCTTCCTTAAAATGCAGATAACAGTATCTACATCGTATTTTGTTTTTGGATGCAGAATAAAAGAGATGATGCTTGTCAACCACCTACCCCACAGTGCATGGGGCATTGTGAACACGTGACAAATAGTATCTTTCCTTATGGAGCACATATAATCATCCAAAACTCACTGATGTCCCTGATGAAGAAGCTGCTGGTGTAGTTTTCATACTTGAGCTTGTGAACGGCATCCACCATGACCTCAATGGGCAGACTCTCCTCAGCAGCTGGGCAGGCACTGTCCTCCTGGCACTCCACTGAGTACTCATACTCCTTGTTGTCCCCTCTGACTCTCTCTGCAGAGAGTGTAGCAGCTCCGCACGTCACCCCTTGGGGGTCAGAAGAGCTGAAGTCAAAGACAGAAATTAGCCTGTGTTACACATTGGGGAGAGAGTTCCTAGTGATTGTAGCCAGTAAGGCAGGTAAGGCCTCAACTGTTGTCTGAGGACACAGTTTCTCCAACTGGGCTGATTTCTACCCAGAGGGTAAGAAACTGCCCTCCCCAGGAGAAAAAGCTTAAATTCAAGAGCACTTACATGTCTCTGGACTAAATGAATATGGAAGTTTTTGTTTGTTTTAGATCTAGAATCTCTGATTATTAAACCCCCTTGTTAAAAACTTAAATTCATTTTTTCCCATTTTAATTATAAAATCAATACACAAATCAGTACACACTAATTATAAAAGTAAAGATGATAAAGATCCATATAAAGGAAAGAAGTGTATGTCTCCTTCATCCTTAACTGCTCTCCACAGGTTTAAGTACTAATAATAGCTTGTTGTATCCTTCCAGACCTTCCTTTTTCTTTTTCTTTCTCTCTCTCTCTCTCTTTTTTTTTTTAAGAGACAGGGTTTTGCTCTGCCACCCAGGCTGGAGTGAAGTGGTGGAATCAGACCCCACTGTAGCCTCAAACTCCTAGGCTCAAGTGATCCCCTCCCTCTGCCTCCCAAGTAGCTGGGACTACAGGTGTGTGCCACCACACCCACCTAATTTTTTTATTTTTAATATTTTCTGAGATGGGGTCTCACTGTGTTGCCTAGGCTGGTCTTGAACTCCTGGCCTCAAGCAATCATTCTGTCTCAGCCTCCCAAAGAGTTAGGATTTCAGGTGTGAGCCACTGTGCCTGGCCAGAACTTTTTCAATGAATATTCAAGATAATTGTATACACATTTTATATATATATATATATATACACACACACACACACACACATATGTATACACACATTATATATATAATCCATGTTATATACATCTCTACATTATATATATCCACTATATATATTTTACTTATACATATAGATTTTATTTTTATGAACTAGGATCAAATTGTATACATATGATTATGTAACCATCCTTTTCCCCTCTGAACATATTATGGGGAGCTCTCCATGACAAAACATATGGGTTGGGTTATCCACTTCAATGACTGCACATTAAGCAAGAGTATAGTGTACCATGTTTTATTTAACCATTCCTCTGCTGATTATGTCTTTATGCACTTGGAGAAACATTTCTTTAGTAAGCATTTTCCTTTTAAAGATGAAAAAGTGAGACCCCAATGCTTAATTTACTCAGTGAAATAATGGTAAAGTCAGGATGATCACCTGGGGTTTGCTTCGGTGATGATTAAAGTAAGCCACATGGGGGTTAACACATAGGTCTTGTATTTATGGAAGTTGCTTTCTTACGGAAAGTCCAGGTGCATTGGACCAACAGCGAACTTCAGATTAGTGGTGTCAGCAGAAGTAAAAGGAGTTGAGGTGGCCCTGGGAAAATTTCGGGAGGCCTCATCGAGTTTTGGAGTCTGCTTCAGGGCCCCTAAGATCTACGCCCTGGAGCTCTTGTTTTTATTTTTGACTCAAGGTGCAATTTCAGCAAGTCATTTGTAGCTTTGAATTCTCCGTTTATCCCTTTCTTTGGTGCTATGAGGCTTCAGGAAGCATGGCCAGGCAATTTGGATGAGTGGGTTCAAACACAGCAGAGACTATTCTCAGTTCCCAATAATATCCTGCCCCAACACATACATTTATTCAAGCAATCGGCTAAAATCTCCATGTTCTTTCTTCAATGTAGACAAGGAAGGGCGGTTGAAAAAACACGGGTTTGACTTTGCTTTTCCCATTATCATTAACTGATAGGTCACTGAGAGGTTGCCCTTAATTTCTTAATGAAATAGTTCTAGAAAAATGCTGAGAAACCAGAGCAGTTTCACTCACCCTCTGCTGCTTTTGACACTGAATGTCAAATCAGTACTGATTGTCGTCAGCCACCAGCAGGTGAAACGTCCAGAATAATTCTTGGCCTCGCATCTTAGAAAGGTCTTATTTTTGGGTTCTGGATTTGAAAAAAACAAAAATTCAATATTTAGGAGTTTTTTGCAGAAAGGTTTTGATTGTGATGAATCACAGATCACCAGATGGTACAGGGTGAAGTTCTTCCATGCGTTGCCTCTTGGGTAGCTCCATAAGGATTGGGAGTATCCCAGTGGGGTGTTGATTCTGCAGAGTACACTACACACCTAACATGCCTGGCAGAGGCATTCATTTTTTGAAGGCTATCACCCCAGTGCAGAGTGATACACTATCGGTTAATTTCCATTAGCCATTAAATAATATCACCATTATTTAAAGAAAACATGAGGCTAAGCATTCAGACTGATCATGAAACTCCCTTAATATGAGATTTTGATGGTTGATAACCCAAAGGGTCCAGGAAAGCAAAGGAAAATGGAGGTTAACATCAATTAACATCAATAAGAGACTTGATGTTAATTCATTACACTCACCATGACTTGGCTTTTCAATTTGTTGTTGTTGTTGTTTTTAACTCTTATGAGCGAAAGAGAAAATTGATACTATCCAAGGGTATAGAATTACCTTTCTGGTCCTTTAAAATATCAGTGGACCAAATTCCATCTTCCTTTTTGTGAAGCAGCAGGAGCGAATGGCTTAGAACCTCGCCTCCTTTGTGACAGGTGTACTGGCCAGCATCTCCAAACTCTTTGACTTGGATGGTCAGGGTTTTGCCAGAGCCTAAGACCTCACTGCTCTGGTCCAAGGTCCAGGTGATACCATCTTCTTCAGGGGTGTCACAGGTGAGGACCACCATTTCTCCAGGGGCATCCGGATACCAATCCAATTCTACGACATAAACTGGAATGCACATAAAGTGGAGAACCAGGCTGTAAGCTCCAGGAACTCTGGGACTGTGTTTTATTAACCCTTCGGGCATCCCCATTGCCTAAACACAACCTTGTTTACAACAAGTATTTGGCAAATGCTTGCTGAGATGATCTCAAGGCATGAGACCCTGCTTGGGCTCAAGGTCATGGAAAAGAGAAACAAAGAGTTTTATAGCTGCCATCGACTCATTGACTGGAAGGCTGCCTTTAATAGTAACCTTTGATTATTTAGCAGATTGGAAACACCTTAATATACCAAAAACTGCAAACAGCACAAGACTCTTTGCCAAAGGTCTGGGGGAGAGAAACTTCCAGCACAATTTCAGTTTCATAGAGAATACGGCAGGGCACAATATTCAGCAGAGTAACATAGTGGTTAAAAGCTCAGGGTGTCGAGAACAACGAACCAAGACTGTCATCCTGTCTCCACTAACCAGCTGGGGGATTTGGAACAAGGTATTTCATTATCATGAGCCTCAGTTTCCTCATCTGTAAAATGATAATAATAACAGTATCTGCCTTACATTTGACTGAGGATTAAATGAAAAAAAAAAAAAGCACGTAAAGTACTTAGCACAGTGTCTGCCACACAGTAAATTCGGTGTTAGTTATCGTTACTTATAGACTGAGGAGTCAGCCAACTGTACAGAGAAACTCTCTTAACAATTTTCCATGGATATTTAAGGATTTCGTTCCCTCTGTTTTAAATCACCAGTGGAGATTTTCATTCTCTCTGCATTATTATTATTATTATTATTATTTTTAGCTATCTTACACTCTTATGAAGCAGTCCAGTAGAGCTTAGTCTTCCCATTTAATGAAGAAGCGTACTGAGGCCAACGATCTAAGCATGGTCACAGCAAGTCAGAAGTACAAGGGCTACAGCTCAGACCTTTTGTCTCTTGGGCTTTGCAAGGGATGCCTAATGCTAGTGTCTAAACTGGCCTTTGAGGAATGGCTTAGTATAGTATTTCAGAGTGTGTCATAGCAAAGCTTCATTCATTTTTTTAATCCATGCATAAATTATTAATTGAATAGAATTGTTTAATGTAGTAGTTCCCAAAGCATGATCGATGAAACACCATCAGCAGCATCACCTTGGAATAGATCAGAAATGCAAATTCTCAGCTGCTGAATCAGAAACCTTGGGATGGATTTAGTTATATGGTTCTTAAGCTCTCCAGATGGTGCTGATGCCTGCTCAAGTTTATGAGTCACAGTGGTTGAGAGCCTGCATTTTGGAGTGGCAGAGGCCTGGATTTAGAAGCAGCTCTAGCCCTTGCTCCAGTCTTGTGGCCTTTGGCAAGACATTCAACTACTGTAAGCCTCAGTGTCATCATCTTTAAAATGAGAAAAATATTAGCCCTTGCTTTAGAAGGTGGATATGTGGATTATATAAGCTCATACACAGTGCCCTTACATGCTTTATAAATGGTGGTTCTCGTTATTGGCCTCTGGATGTAAAGCATTGTAGAATATAAAGTTTTCACTTTACATCAATTGGATTATAAGGACTGAATGGATAACAAAAATAAGAGGTCAAAAGCATTTGGGGTCCAACTCTGGGGAAATGATTAGCTGTGCTGATGTAAAACCATGTGGCACTTTTGGCTTTTTCTTGGTTTTTTTTTTGTCCCCCTGACACCTGAAGAGCATGGTTACTTTCCTGTCCCAACTGAGGCTCGGAAGCCCTAGAAGATGTTTGCTCAACAGCAGGGAAAACAGCTGCAGGAGGAAAGCTGAAGAGGAGCATCAAGAACCTGGCACTTAGCCTCACTGCATCGTCTGCCCTCCTAAGTCACACCTCGGAGAGTTTCTCACACTGATTTTCTGGAATTTCTGTGGTTTACCAAATCAGAAGTCACTAAGGGGTCAAATATGCCAGGACCAAGGTTCCTGAGCTCGCTAACAATCCCAGGGTTGGAAGGGATCTGCCATATACCCCTGGCTCAGGCCTTTGCCTTTACTTAAGAGAGTGTCTAAATCTCTCAAATTCTCATGGAGAAGGGGTGGCTGGATTCTGTCTTCCTAAAATTCTTGAGAAGAGAGGAGTGGTCCCAGATTTCTTTCAGGTACCCATTTCAAGATGGTACTTTCTAGAATATCAAAAGATTATTTCTGATCATCAGCTGAAATATTTTCATCCTTAATTTATGTCCATTTCCTCTTATTCAGCTCTCCAAAGACCTGGGAAAAAATTACTTCATGTCCTTGTAAAAACGTTTTCACAAATTTAAGTGCACCAGCTTTGAAGCAAGACAGAATTGGGATCAAGTCCCTGTTCCACCCTTACCAGGTATGTGACATTGGGCAAGTTACTTAATCTCTCTGGCCTCAGTTTCCAACATCTGTAAAATGGGATACAGACAGTCTCTACTTCATATGGCTCTTGTGAGAATTAAGTGAGACAGTGCACTCAATAAACATTAACTATTATTATTATACAATTAAAGATAGTAATCGCCAACATTATGATGTTGGCTTCAGTGATAAAAATCTGAGGGTCTTTCAGGTACAGCCAACGGTCAGAATGCACATTTACTGAGTGTGAGATACTAGAAGGATGGGCAGAACTCCTTATTTTACCATTAACTATTCTATTAGTCTACTAATAATTTTTACTGATCATTGGGATAATAAAAAGTATCTCTTGAATCATGAAAGATATTTTAAACAACCAAAATAGTAATACTAGCTGACATTTACTTTCACTTTACTATCTGTCGAGTTGTATTCTGCATTCATTAACCCACTAAATAACCCACGTGGTAGGCATCCACTTTGTAACATCCAGTTTACAGTTGAGGAAATTCAGGATTAGAGGTGACCCAGCTTAAAGTCACATAACCAGTCATTGACAGACCTAGGACTTGAACCCAAGTCAATGTGAGTCTGAATCCTATGCTTCCTCCAAAGTGCTTGGTCAGAGGTAAGTCATCACAGTGCCAACTGAGGGGGCAGTATCATGTGGTGGAATGAGAAACGAACACAGTTGTTATACTTTGCAAATCCTCTACTTTGGAATTTTAATTGTGTGAAACAGTTTTTAGTAATATTGGAAAATATCATATGTCATATGTCTTTCCCCACCATATCATATATCATATGTCTTTCCCCACCATAGTGTACCAATGTCATCCAATGTGAAAACCAAACAATATAGATACCATCAAAGTAGAAAAGAGAGATATGGCATTGCATTTTCCCAGAGTGATGGCTTTCTCTAGAGGACCCAGTGCATGGTTGCCCATTTCAGTTTGATTTCCCACCAGTGGCTGCCCAAGAGTCCTGGCTTAGAAGTGGGGCCTCCACAGAGAATAATGAGAGGCTGGTTACCATCTTTCTTCAGTTCCCATATGGCCACGAGGGGAGATGCCAGAAAAACCAGGGAAAACCAAGAGATGACCAACTGCTGGTGACACATCTATAAGAAGGGAGAGAAGCAGGGGGAAGAGAAGGAGGAAAAGAGAAGGAAGAGGAAGAAAAAAGAGAAGAAAGAATGTCAATAATTCTTGTTACCTTTGTGAACCATATACACATTCTAGCTACTTTTTTTTTAAATAAAATCTTGATTCTCCCCTTTCTTCTCCATACTGTCAAGCAAATACTAAGTAAATTACAGGAGTTCTATGGCAGTCTGTGGGGAAGAACATCTCTAAATAGAGAACCATAGGGTATTTGGGGCTCTGGAGCTGAAAGAGACCTAAGGCAAGCCATCTGATACAATCCTCTTATTTTTAAGATGAGAAACTTAAAGCTTAGAGAAGGAATGTGACTTTCTGGATCAACATCTAGCAGTTGTTTATTTAGTGCTTACTACATAAAGAGCACTGGGCTAGAAGCAGTTGAGAGAGAAAAAAAGGGCTTACCTGGATCCCGCTTCCTAGGAGCAAATACTTTTACTCAATAAATATTTATTAAGTCAGTGTGTTAAATGCCTCCCCGCCAGCTGGGGAGATGAGCCATACATTTGTATCACTGCAGCACAAAGCAGTGTGTGCTGGAGCACCCAGAACTGAAGGACTTGGGTTAGGGACAGGAACGGTAATACAGAGGCGAACTTTCAGGTTCTGGCAACGACCTGGTCACCAGCCCTTGCTGTAGGGGTTTAGCTTCTCTTGTTTTCCAAGTTCAAAGACTACTCTCTCCCATATAGAGAACCTAGTGGTTCTAAAATTTGAGTGACTGTCAGGATAACCTGGAAGCACTGCTACAACAGACGGCTGAGTCCCACCCCCAGAGTGTCTGATTCAGCAGGCATGAGGGCCTGAGAATATGCATTTCTAGAAAGTTTCCAGGGGAAGCAGATGCTGCTGGCGCTAAGACCACACCTTGAGAACCACTGGTTTAACCCATGTTCAGGGTCCAGAACCCCTGAAAATCAAAGTGTTCATTGGGAAAAGACCACAACATATTGATATATCCACCATGAAATAGTAAAATGCATAATTTTATGTTAAATAAGCCACCATCTGATATAGAAACCAGTCTAGGTTAGTATCCAGGGTTTATGAAAATCTTCCGATTGCAAAAATTACATGCCACTTACGAATGAGGTAGGGATGATTATTGAAACATTCTGAAACAACTCCATTCACCTTGCAGAGCACCCATGGTCTGGAGGAAAGTGGTTCTGAAACCACTGTTTTAAACTATATGAAGGGCAATGCTCAACTGTTTCAGTCAAATACCTTAAAAATGAGCATTCCTGGGTTGGGTGACGGAATATTGACAAATTACAGCTTTGTCAGAACTGCTACTAACTCTAGGCGGACCTTGCTATGTACTTTATTCCCTTATAAAGTTTGTGAGTGGCAGAGACAGGCCTAGAAGTCAAGCCTTCTTGGACACTGCTCAGTGCTGTCACCACAGCATGGAGTTTTAGGGGCATGGCTATCACTTCAGTCTAGGTTATGACTGTAGCAAAGTACTAGCTGGCACAGGGCACCGGTTAGTACATTCACAGGCTTGAAGTTAAACAGACACAGGCTTGAATTTTGGTCCCACCGCTCATTTGCTGTTGAGCAGTGGGAGCAACTTGTTGGCCAAGTTACTCGCTGAGCCTCAGTCTCTTTGTCTATAAAATGGACCTAATACTTATCTCAAAGGCTTGTTGGGAAAGGCAATGAGATAACATATTATAGAAGGCAACCAATAACATATTAACTTGAACCTAGAGGAAGAGGTAAGGGAACAATTCGGTATCTGTGTTTTATATATCATGGATAGTCAAGAAAGTCATTCTAGGCAGTAGGGAAATGTGCACAGAGGTACTGCAATTACATGCGCCTGTAAAACCCAGAGGCTGGCACACTGGAAGGGAAATAGTGGAGATTCCTGGCATCTCCTGGCCACTTACGCTGAGGTATTCCCACTAGCTGTGTGCCCAGCACTTCCTCTGCATGCCTCAGATGCATTTGACAATCTCAGGTGAACTGCACTTCAGGGTCAAGGGAACCCCGGCCATGGTTCTAAGAAGCAACTCCCATTTTAGTATCACCTACATTTGAAACCACAGAGCACTGTCCAGGAGAGGTGATGGTGGTGGGTCTCCTCCTTTGGCTCTCTGGCCCATCAGCTGATACTAGGGAGCGCTATCCCTCAGCCCACATTTCTCAGCATGGTAAGTCTGAGAGTCTTGATGATTAAAACACATTTTTGTGTGTGCAATTTCATAGGTTTTCTAAACTCTTGAAACCCTTGCATGAAGGACAAAGGGACCCCACGTTACACACTCCTACTTCCTGGAGTATGCTAAGGGCTTCCCAACACTGGTGCCAACATCAGCATGCCAATGACGCTTGGGTGGGCATCTCTTTTTTAAGTTTTGTTTGTTACCTTTAATTAGAAAAGGGAGTTATTATTAAAGAATAAAAAGATATAGTCACAGATGGCATGGGTGGCACATGCAAAGATCCCTAGTTTGAGGGCCAGGCAGACTTCTAGAACTGTGTGACTCTGGGTGAGTCACTTGGCCCCTTTAAGCCCCACACTCCTGATCTATAAAATGGGCATGCTACTGTGGTAAGGAGTTAGTGACATAATTCACGTGAAGTGTCATGGTGCCTAGATGAAGTCAGGACCCACTATTTGCTCCCCTCCTTCCACAGCATTTACTACAATGGCAACAATACAGTCTCTTCTTTACTGTTTGTCTTCTCTGCCACACTGAGTGAACTCTCTTATGCCATGGATCATGTCTATCTTGTTTTGCACTTTACCCCCAGAGTCCAGCACAGAGGGATTCCATGACTTATTAGTAGCATGAAGGAATGTACGGAAATCATACAATTTCAGATTCCAGTAAACTAAACTCTAAGAGGTTACCCACATTCCATCTAGTATCTTGCAATTCCTTGTTTGAAAAAGTGGGTCATCACCTGGGGTTTAGTAATCCCTTTGTTAAAATGACATTGTTGTTGCACACAATTTTACCTGGGCAAGTAAAAAAACCTTTTTTTCCCCCTTCTCACAGATTTAAAAACTCTTTAGGAAGCAATAATAGCTTTTCATTTTTTAACTGGGGCCAAAGTTAGTTAATCCACAAGAATGGGGATCCCAGCTGTCATTTTGGTTGATATCACAACTGACGACCAAGACCATCACAAATATGGGAGCAAGTCTGATTTGTAACATTATTATAATTATGAATCCAATTACTTTAAGGAATGCACGAAAGGCTTTTTAAAAATTTCAATAGTAAGGCAGGCACCACTCACTTTAGCTCTATACAATCCTTTAACTGATGGGCATTAACATTTAGGAATATACTTTTATACATCAATACACACCACTTCAAAATAAGATAAAACAAACATTTCCACAAACTATGCATACACACAGATCTTGCTATACAGTTATTATTAGGTGGCTTTTAAAATGGACACTGTACATCGGTCCCTAGAGTACTAAGTTTTCACTAATGTTCCAGCAGATGACTCACCAGGGATGCTTCCAGGAATCCACCAACTCCCTCCTGCCAGCTGCTGGGGTAGCACACTAACGGTTTCTACACCTGGACAGCTGCAGGCCCACAGGGAGGGGAGGGAGGTAGGGGCTTGGGAAGTGCTTACCTTGCTCTGGGCAGGACGGAGAGTCCAATGGCCCTGAAACAGATGTTGTTTCTTCTGCTGCTGTTGCTGGTACTGGAACTTATATACTCTACTCCTTTCTGATGGAAACTTAAACTAGAAACTGACTTGTTGCAACATTGAAAACAACTCTCAAAACCTTCTGGGGGAATTTCAAGAAGTTCCTTTTTTGTTTGTCTCTCTCTGTGTGTGTATCAATAACGAGGAGGGAACATAGACATCAAAATCCCAGGTAATGAACTAAGAGGAAATGACTTTTGGGTGGGGAATAAGGAAGGAGATGGAGATGCTAATTTCTCTGGGTTTACATCATGGCCAAGGTGCTTGGAGACAGCACTAGGCAGATTCCCTGGGTTCCACAGATCGAGGAAGAAGGAAGGCCAAGGGGCGGTCAGACGGGAGGCTGAGTTCATGTCGGGATGGAACAACTGTATGCCCAAGGGCTTAAAAACAAAATCCTGGTTCTTCCCAAGTCAGAGAGGATGAGATGAAGGGCAAAGGGTTTAGTACATCTGGGGCGCCTTCCTCCACATTAGTCCTTTAATTTCAGAAACATACTATTTACCACCCATCTTGGCTCCATGCACCTCTCCCCACATTCCCCGAGTGGGAACACACGCGTGCACACACACACCCATGCACATTTCATACAGACACAGACCTGGGGAGATGATAAAACTGCGTGTACCACTAATAAGACTCAAATATGTGCACATCCTGTGCTCATAGGTACTCGCTCATAGGGGCGGATGGGAGCAGAAAGTGAAATACCCTCAGGGAGGCATACAGACAACCACACTCAAGGCACCCCCCCTTGGGCACCCAGACTACATCCTCATTTCATTTGCACACAAATCTATGGCCCTAGGGGCTCCGTGCAGATGCACAGGAATAGCGGAATAAAGATATCTCTCGTGGTGGAATTTCAAGTTGCTAAGAGGTATGCAAAGGTGTACACCGGTGTGGACCCCCCCATCCCCCGCCCAGTCTGCACGTGAACAGGAACATGTACCTGCACGTATACCAGGTACACGCAGACAGATGCGGGCCATCCCCAGAGCCGCCGACAGAGGTCGCTGCGAGACGGTACCCGCGCCCCACAGTCCACCCGCTCCTCGGAGTCCCCCCGCGCCCCGGAGTCCACCCGCGCCCCGGAGTCCACCCGCGCAGGTCCACTTCTCCATCCCTGCTCTCGACCTCCGCCCCTGCGGTGGGGGAAGTTCCTGGGGCGGTGGCTGGGACCAGGCCGGGTTTTAGGCGGGCGCAGATTTCCGGGCTAACTTTCCTCGCCGTCTCAGCGCGGGAAGGGGGAAATGGGAAACCCGGGCCAGAGCAGCGGAGCTTCCCAGCCGCACACTTCCTCCCTCCAGCCGTTTGTCTCGGCAGGGGAGGGCCCAGGCAGCCAAGCCGGCAGGCCCACTGGTTATCCGACCTTGTGCTCTGGCCGTGGGTGGAGACCTTACATCCAGCTCAGAGCGCCTCCTCCCATCCCCTGTGTCCTCTAGGCCTCCCCAGACTTTGCCTTTTAGCCTTCCAGTGAAACAAGTTCTGTATCCAAGATATACAATTAAGTGGACAAAGCAGATTGCAGGTATGTTTTTTCGTATGATACCATTTGTGGGGTGTGTGTGCGTATGTGTGTAAGTGCACCTGCACTTTTCACAACTGGTATCTCTGAGGCATATGTAACAACTGGGGGAGGGGCTTTTTGTAAACATGTATTAATTTCCTCCGATCCATCACTAAAGTGTACTGAACAGAAATTGACGTGAAGTAGTTTCACTAATTTATTTACAGTGGCTGCACCACCACAGATGAGTCCTTGTGCCCCCCCATAAATAAATACATGCATAAAATAAGACAAGTAAGGTTCAAAATGACACAAATATTTTATTCATGTGTTCGTAAAAGCACCTTGAAAATTAAAAAAAAAAAACTGTAACGTAAAGTCTCAGTAAAAATCCAGCGCCAGTTATGCAAAAGAAGCTTCGAAGTATGCCCTCATCCTCCCTTTTCCGCTCAGATTGCAGCCCGAGGGCTAGTCCTATATGAAAGGGCCCCCAGTGTTCACCTCCACCAGGGACAAGTAATAGGGTTTTAAGAGCATGGGCTCTGGAGTTAGAGAGCTGGATACCCGCACCTGCAAGTTACTTACCTTCGTTAAGCCTCAGTTCCTCACATCTGTAAAATCGGGTTAATAATAGTACCTGATCTCAGGACTGGTGTGAAGATTAATGAGATATGATGGGATGCAGTTAAAGCAGCATCCTGGCTAAACGTTTAATGAATGGCTGCTTGCACTTATTTATTTTTTTATCCTGTCGTGTCCCAGAAAGTCTTTTCGTAGCTCACAAGGGGACATCAAAGATGACAAAGAGGAGTGGAAGAAGACAGAGAGAATCAATGTGAGGAGCCTGGAACAGGGCTCTGAATTGTCTTCCCACAGTGAAATCACTTGTCTATTGCTGAGCCAAGAATTTGACTCTGAGCATCTAGGATGAGAAAGAAGAACTGGCACCTACGCCATCTCTGCCCCTCGGGACTGACTATTTTGGTAAGTTCAGTTCACCCATGGAGGAAGTGGTTCTCGTACTTTATCTGCATGTAACAACAAAATTCAGGTTCTTGGGGCTGATGCTTGGAGATTGTGATTCAGATCTGGGATGGGGCTCAGGAACCTGCATTTTAACAATGGAGGTTCTAATGTGGTCATTGGCAGGTTGTTCTAATGTGGGGGCCACATTAGAGCCTCTCTCGGAGACAGGCTGTACATGGCCAGCCAGCATTCTGGTAATATGAGCCAAATGCCCATTGACCTAATTTTGGAGAAGAGGTTTATCAACATGTCCCACTTCACAATCCAGACCCTGATCCCAGGCAAAATAAACTGATACCTATAAGCTTTCTATTGCTTACCCTATGGGCGAGGAAGGTCTGCTGACAAACAGAGGGCGTGCTGAGCTGCAAGGTTAATGTGTCTGATGATTAAGCTGTGACATGGAGGCAACCCCCTAAAAACCAAAAATAACTTAAAGAATTTTTTTGGCCACAAAAACTTATTTTCTCCTAGAAGAATGCTTTGATCATCTAGTACACATTTCAAATAAAGGAGAAGCCATGTGTACTTATAAAAATTAAAATCTTAGAAAATTACATAAGCAATACATGCATGCATGCTATTGTAAAAACTTCAAACAATACAAATATACATAGAATACAATGTTGAGGCCCTGATTCCTGTGGCTTCCAGAGGTTACCAGTGCCAGCATTCCTGCAGAGCTTCTGAATGCTTCTCTATGTATTTATATCTATCTGGCTATATAAATGGAATCATACTATACATATTGTTCTGCAAGTTGCTCTTTTCTTGCAACAGTCTATTTTGTATTCAGTCACTTGCAGTGACTTGCTAGAGGTCACTTGAACAGATTTCACGTCTGCATCAATTAGGTTGCCCTGGGCTTAGTTTTCTAAGGAGCTCTGCAGTTCCAGGCATCAATCCACTAAGGACTGATAACACCTGGGATAAGAAAAGACTATCTTGTCCTGTTGATGTCTCTTAGGAGCAAATAATTTGCCCTACAAGCTCCATAGCCTTTTCATGAAGTCTCACTTATCACCTGTATACCACTCCCTGACAAGGAGAATGGGCTTATTACAAGGAAAGTGATAGACAAGGCAGGTTTGCCCTACTAGATGGAAAGTGGTAGGCCATTGAGAGTCATGAAACCACCCTCACAGGGTTGACAAGAATTGCATGCTGGGTTCTGGACAGGAATATAGTTATAATTAAGCATTGATTAGGTTGCACGTTGGCCCACTTCCTTGTTGCTCAAAGTCACGTAGCACTAGATCCTGACCATTTGCATCTGCATTATTCCTGTAGATAGGATTTCTGACATTAGGGTCATAAGATTGTGTAGGAATTGATTTGTATCCCTATTGTTCCTTTAGATGGGATCTCTGACATTACAATCAGAACGCTTTTGTTTAAGAATCACTTAAGTTGTTTTTCAGGTCCCCAATTCTACCATATTTCAGTTTGAAAACCCCCACAAAGAAAGGGGATCAGGTTGAAAATACAGCTTCACCCTGTCCCATGACTTCACCATGCACTCTTCAACCAGTCAACCATCTCCAACACATCAGCCCACTCCCAAACTCTTAAAAACCCTAGCCCCAAATGCCACAAGGAGATAGATTTAAGGTTTCTTCCTGTCTCCTCATTTGGTGACCCTACGATTAAACCTCTTTCTCTGCTGCAACCTGGCCTCTCGGCGTATTGACTTGCTGTGTGCAATGGGCAATGAACCTATTATGGATACAGTCACATGTGTCTGTTACATGAGTCCAAGTGATTTGTGCGGCCAGTGAAGTGCAGAAATAGGGCAATTGTGTGGATAATGAAAACTAAGGCTTCTTCCCCCAAATGGTCAGTTGCTTTTGAAGGGATACTTCTAGCCTAGGAGTATGGGAAGTAGCTTCTACCTCCTGCCTCATACATACATGCTCTTACCAAAAGAAGAGTGGAAGTGTCACGGCAGATAGCTAGTCAGACATGAGCAGGGCAGAAGAGGGTTCCCCCGCCACTCCCCGCCCACCACCACTAGGAATGTCAGGCAACCATCAGGTGAGGGTCAGATGGTTATTAAACTGTTTCTCTAAAATAATAATTGGTCACAGCTGGTACCAGGGAAAGGCAGTCTCCCAATAGATAGAACACCTGAAGCTGGTGATTAGCAGCTTCCGGATAAGATCTTAGGAGCTGGGCGAATGGGCTTAAGCATGAGCACTAGGAGGGAAAATGGTCGAATTTAACTGGTGTATGAGCTTCTTCTAAGAACACTCAACTAGTAAGGGAAGAATGCCTCAAGTGAACATGCGTACAATTTCAGTAAACATACTGTGTATGTGGCCCCTCCCAAGTGCTGGCAGGCCACCCCAAGAGAAGAATCAGGGGAGAAGGGAGGCAACCCCCCAGAAGCATGCCAGCATATGCAACCCCAAATCAAAGGTTAAACCATACACTTGAATCTCTCAAGTCACCCTCCCTCTTCCAAGTGTACTTCCTTTTGTTCCTGCTCTAAAACTTTCTCTTTTTTTTTAACTTTTTTTTTGAGATGGAATCGTGCTCTGTCTCCCAGGCTGGAGTGCAGTGGCGCAATCTCGGCTCACTGCAACCTCCACCTCCTGGGTTCAAGCCATTCTCGTGCCTCAGCCTCCTGAGTAGCTGAGATTACAGCTACCACGCCCGGCTAATTTTTGTATTTTTAGTAGAGATGGGGTCTCACCAGGTTGGCCAGGATGTTCTCGAACTCCTGACCTCAAGTGATTCACCCGCCTCGGCCTCCCAAAGTGCTGGGATTACAGGCATGAGCCACTGTGTCTGGCCTCCTGCTCTAAAACTTTTTAAATAAACTTTCCCTCCTGCTCTAAAACTTGCCTGGGTCTCTCACTCTGTCTTAAGCCCTTTGGTCAAATTCTTTCTTCTGAGTAATAGGGACAGGAGACAGAGAAATTCTAGGCAGAAAAGAGTGGGGGTTTTTGGCAAAGACCCACCCTCAAGCCTGGTGCTGTGGCCCAAAGTGAGAACATGTAGTCCTGTTTTCCCACTCCAATGTTGCCGTTTCCCAAACCACCCATGGCCCACCCTGCCCCCACATTCTGCACCCATAAAAACCCCAGGCTCCACTGGCAGAGAGCAGAGAAGGGGAGGAGAGAAGAAGCAGCTGAATGCTGGAGAGAAGCAGTTTGACTTCAGAGGGATGACTTGACAGCAGGACTTCAGGGGAAGAATACCTTCCCGGTCCCTCCCCTTTCCACCTCCCCTTCCTGTGGAGAGCCACTTCCACTGGCAATAAAATCCTCCACATTCACCGCCCTTCAATTCGTTCATGCAACCTGATTTTTCCTGGACACCAAACGAGATCTCAGGTGCCATGGGTGAGGATGCTAAAGGCTGTCACACTGACCCTCTGCCCTTGCAAAAAGGCAGAGGGTTCACTGAGTTGTTAAACACTTAATCCAACCATGGATAGCAAAGCTAAAAAAGTGCACTGTAACATATGTCCTGTGGGGCTGCAGGGGTCATGGGTACTCCACCCTAGATGCTGCTGTGGGGCCTGCACAGAGTTTTGGTCCTGCCGGTGCCCAAAAGCATTTGCTCTGGCTCTTGCACCTGCTCACCTGTGTGCTGCCCCCCCGCCCATGAGGGGTTGAGAGCTGTGGACTGAGTAAGTGAGGCATTCCTGTCAGGAGGACTCTGAAGGGGTCAAGGAAAACCTCATGTTTCATGAGGAGGCAAGAACTGAGGTTAGTTCACCACCACTAACATACTTTGGTGCCACGTGATTTTGGTGCCACGTGACTTAGATACATTCCCTAGTGGTAACAGAAGGTTCTAGAGCACAAAATTTAACAGTGTATATATGAGTGGTATGAGGGCGAATTATTTTTGTTTTCTTTTTAATGATCTCTTAAATTTTCCAGAATGTCTACAATGACCTTGTATTACTTTTCTAATCAGAAAAAAAGAAAAAAGTTACCGAAGAAGAGATAAGTGAAGCACACACAAAAGGCAGAATATATAGTGCATCAAGAATGTGTGTTTTATAATCTGACAGACCTAGTTAGACCATAGTCCATATTTCAAATATAATTACATGTGCTCATAGCTGAGAACCTTCTCCTGGGATGGATGCATTTCACCAGGTCACTGCTGAAATGTTGTACTTTTATGGATGGTGATGAGGAAGCATCTGTTTTAGGTGTGGTATTTCCTGGAGGCAGAAAACTGCTTGAGTTAGCTCATTCAGTTTTTCAGTGGCCTTTCTAATGCATGTTTTGTTTTGTTTTAATGCTTTGCAAAAGATTCCTAGAGTGGAAATTGCCTTTGCAAAAATTATAACAGTGAGAAAATTATGACAGTGAAAGGGATCTGCCCTAACTGTCCCCATCTTGCTTCTGGGTATCTTTGCTCATTCCTGGGTGTGGGCCAAGCTAACTTTGGGAGAAATTTAGTTAAATTATAATGGCCCTTCCCAGATACTAAATTGCCCTTGTAAAACTAATGAAAGGCCACCAAGTTAGGAGGATGAGAGGGGCCTGAATTCTGTTAGGAAGTATGCCTAGCCAGCCATTACTTAGGAGGAATAAAGATTTGCAACTTCCCCAATTACTCCAGCAGATAACATCACTATTTTAGAATCTAAGACTGGCCTTTGGAGATGTCTTTTCAGGTTTTTGCATTTCTGACAACCGGATGGGCCCCACCCAGGAACTGACTCAACACAAGAAGACAGTTTCCACTCCCTATGATTTCATCTCCAACCCAACCAACCAGCATTCCTTACTCCCTGGCTCCCTACTCACCAAGCTATCTTTGAAAAACCACTAACCTCTGAGCCTTCAGTGAGACTGATTTGAGTGATAATAAAACTCCAGCCTCCTGTACAGCCAGCTCTGCATGAATTAAACTTTTTCTCTGTTGCAACTCCCCTGTCTGGATAATTCAGCTCTGTCTGAGCAGTGGTTCAAGGAGAACCCGCTGGGTGGTTAGAATCAGCTTCACTTTCAAAGGGCCTACAATGTCCTCATTAATTTCTTCCCCTTCAAAGATGACTGTGATCACATGTTTTCAATATCGTCCTTCCACCCTTGGCCCATGATAAGGGCAGAGGGTGGTAGATGCAGTCACTACTGAATTTCATTATCCCAGTGGGCATTTTTGGCCTGCTCAACTGGACTGACTGCAGAGCAAGTGTTCCACCTTGACCTTGATTTTGCCATTTGCATATGGAAACCTTTTTTTTTTTTTTCCTTTCTAAATTCAACTCTTTGGTAATCCCAGTGAAAGAAATGGGTGTGTGGGCAACTGGAAGGAAGTGGGTGTGTCCTAGGTTGTAGGATTGCTGAGATGTAGAAATGCTTATGCTAGAAAGGTATGAGAACAGTTGGTCTGGTCTTGCTGTTAGTAGAGACAGATAGAACAAGACAAGGTGGGAACAACATGGAGTGGGCAGATGTTTGTGGTGAAGTCCTGGCATCTATTGTCTGAGGGTCCCCTATCAACATCACCTCCAACCAACAATTATTGAATATTAACCAGCATCCCCTGCATTTATAGGATGAATTGTTAAAGCACCATCCAATAAAGTACATTACTGCTGCTACTCACCCTAGAGCACATAGAATTCTCCTGGAGAGAAATAGATTGACCAAAAATCGGGGCCTGCAATTTGGAGCATCTTCCTTTGTGACAGTTGATTTGGGACTCACATTTAAGGCGCATTTGTTTCTCCATTCACAGAAAATTTATATTAATATTCATCAGGCTTTTATTGTATCTTGTTCTGGAAATCTGCTCTGGAAAATAACTATGACCCCTGGTCTTCTGCCCTGTCATTTTCTCTCTAATTTTTGGCTTTGAAAATTTATCTGTCTATCTGTCTATCTATCTATCTATCTATCTATCTATCTATCTATCTATCTATCTATCTTTATTCTTGATGGTACTTTAAAAAAGTAACTCATGCCTCTAGTTTAAAATAAACTATGCTGGGCATGGTGGCTCACACCTGTAATCCCAGAGCTTTGGGAGGCTGAGGAGGGAGGATTGTTTGAGGCCAGGAGTTTGAGATCAGCCTGGGCAACATGGCGAAAGTCCACCTCTACAAAAAAATTTAAAAAATTAGCCAGGTGTGGTGGCACATGCCTGTGGTCCCAGCTGCTTAGGAGGCTGAGGCAGGAGTATCACTTGAGCCCAGATGGCTGAGGTTACAGTGAGCTGTGATTGGACCATTGCACTCCAGCCTGGGTCACAGAGAGAGACTCTGTCTCAAAAAAAAAAAAAAAAAAAAAAAAAAAGTCAAATAGTACAAAGGTTACTAAGTGTGTCTATCTTCTTGAGGTGCCTCCCTGGTCCCCCAGTGTGAAAGCTGTGTATACCACAGATCCAAATCAAGCTGTCCCAAATACCCTTCAGACTTGGTGATGATCTTCTAGTCATTTTACTTGAACATGGAACAGCCAAATAGACAGAAACCCAATTTCATTTATGTGTTTTAGTAGGTGAGAGATGTTCCTTTTAGACCTGGGGAGACAGAAAGAATCTTAAGACCTTGGCACTGTCACCAGCCAGTTACACTCCAGTTAAGGAGACTTGACGAAGCATGAAAGTTAAATAGTGCCAAAGACAAAAATATGGCAAGGTGGGGTTGATTAGTCACCAAAGGAATTTACATCAAAGGCATTACCATGTTTGTTATGTAGGTGCCAATAATAATGAAATGCCACTCTACGGTATTTGGGAGGCCAGAAAATTTAACAAAAAGGAAAGTGGCATCCTCAGTCTTATTGGAGGCAGCAAAGCAAACAGACACTGGAGATGAATGGTCTTGGGTTTGGGTCCCAGCTCTGTTCTACTAGCTGAATGATCTTGGGCAAAGTACCTCAATTCTCTGAGCCTCATTTTCCTTATAAGATGGGACTACTGATAATATCTACCTCAGAGAACTGATAGAAGGATTAAGTTACATTTGGCATAGAAGATGGATCAATATATGGTAACTCTTATTAAAATTAAATAATATAAAAAAGAATGTGTTTGGTTGCCAAGGGAGTCTAGTCTTCCAATGTAGCAATAATAAGTGTATAACACAGCAAAATTTCATCTTTATTAGATTGCTTGTTTAAGTAGATTTTTTTTTTTTGAGACGGAGTCTCTCTGTGTAGCCCAGGCTGGAGTGCAGTGGCTCGATCTTGGCTCACTGCAAGCTCCGCCTCCCGGGTTCACACCATTCTCCTGCCTCAGCCTCCCAAGTAGCTGGGACTACAGGTGCCCGCCATCACGCCCGGCTAATTTTTTTGTATTTTTAATAGAGACGGGGTTTCACCATGTTAGCCAGGATGGTCTCGATCTCCTGACCTTATGATCCGCCCGCCTCGGCCTCCCAAAGTGCTGGGATTACAGGCGTGAGCCACCGTGCCCGGCCTAAATAGCTATTTTTAATATGATAGAATATGTCCTGAGCACGTACTTTGTGCTAGGTGCTCTGCCCCAGTAGAAGGAACACTGCCCCCACCAGTAATGTGCTCACAGTATTCTAGGGGGCAAAAGAAAAAAAAGCTAAGAGGCAATGACATGGCAGTGTGACACGCCTTGCAATGACAATCACAGCAAGGGTGCTTTAGATGCACACACATCTTCGGGGTGGCGGTGAGGGAAGGTTTTCCAGAATAGATGATGTCTAAGCTGAGATCTACCAAATGGGGGGTTGACCTCAGCAACCACAGTAGTAGACTTTTTGGGTGTGCTTCCTGTGGACCAGTTACTGTGGTGTGTGTTTCATGTGAGTTTTCTCATCTCGTACTCACAACAAAGCTATGAGGTGGAAATTATTCTGCCCACTTTACTGGTGAGGAGACTGAGGCTTAGAGATGTAAAGCTAACTTTCCATGAAAAATGTAGCTAGTAGATGGAGAATCTGGGATTGAAACACATCACGTGTTTGAGTCCATCAGTACCATCTGTCTTGTAAGACCATCCTATATAAAATTTATAAAGTGACAGCAAATCAGGTTAGCAGAAAAGACATTACCCTTAGCTAGGCCATCTATAGGAAGCCAGTGGGAGAAATGGTTTTCTAAGATGTGGGTATGCATGAAATAGGAAGTGTAGATAGCGCTTGGGGAGGAGAGTGATGTGATTCCAGGGGGTTGTGAAAATGAGGCATCCAGACATGAGGATCAGGTAGGGGAGAGGCTGGGCGAAGGAGACCCAGGAAAGAGAGCAACAGTAACTAAGGTGTGGACAGATGAAGGCTGGTACTCATGCTTCTTCCCACTGCAAGAAGAGGAGCCATGTGTCATTTCCTCTCTGTGACTGTGAGCAGCCCTTGGCCCCTGGAACTCCCCAGGTACAACCGGAACAACATCATGGTGCACTGGGCTTACTTTTAAGCCTAGAACATGAAGAGAGCTGGTTAGAAGGGGACAAGCAAAGGACTGGAAGGATTAGGCACACACATTCCACCATGTGCTTGGTGCCATAGAGCAGTTTGAGTCTAGACAAATTGACAGTCACTGCCTAACATTCTCCATTTCTGTTGTCCAGCTGGATAATCAAAGTTCCATAACAGATTCTTTTTGGTTTTAATCATGAGTTGTGTGGGGGACACCAATGGGGCTAAGAATTAATTGTCCATATATCATTTTTTGAATTGAGCCTTTTATTCTAAAACAAGCAAGAAGCATTGGACCTGTCAGTTTCTGAGGCAGAAACTTCCTCTCAGAATGGTGTGTGGGCATTCATGGGATAGTCCTTGAACACTGTCCTTGTCCTAATAAAAGCAGCTTACTTTTATTTAGAGTGCTTGTTTCTTGACAGATTTTACTTAAGAGCTTTATAGTTAGTCCTTTTAACAACCCTTTTCCAAGCAAAGACATGGCTGGTAGAGGCAGAATGAGTAACTTGCCCAATGTCTGCCAGCAAGGAGGTGGCAGAGCTGGGATTCTTGATCGCAAACACCGCCCTTGACTGTCTCTGCCTGTGGCTAGTGATGCAATTGTCCCACGTGTCTATCTGATGGGCTGTTTGCCAGAAAAGCCTTCTGAAATGCTTTGGGCTGCACAGGGCCCCAGTTAAAATGTGTGTATGATTTAAACTGACACTTGTTAACCTTGCGGTTATTTATTGAGTGACAATTACATATCAGGCACCCAGCTAAATTCTGTGAATGTAGTAAGCAGATCAGACCTGGACTCTGTCCTCATAGAGCTAAATAGATATGTGCAGAGGACAAAATGCTATGAAGGAAATGAATGGGTGGTGAGACAGAGAATCACAGGGGAGGGCTCTCTGATGAGGTGGCATTTAAGTTGGGACCTACAGGTGAACCAGGATGAGAATCAGTAAGAAGCCCCTACAATGGGAGAGGGCTTGGCGGGTTGGAGGAATGGAAAGGAGGTTGGTGTGACTTAAGCGCAGAGGAAAGGGAGAGATGCCCAGGGAGTCTGAGGCAGGTGCTGGCCGAGGCACATGGCTGCACAGGCCCCATGTAGTAGGCACATTTAGCACTGAAAATATGTAAAAGTCTCTGAGATGAAACAACCACGATAACCAAAACCAAGACCCAGGTATGCTTTGTCATAGGATCAGGTACCAATGAAGTTCTTGGGAGCTGTGAAACATGGCTGACTTGACCAGACCAGAAGTTTCCAAATCTTCCTTGGTCGCAGAACGCTTAGTGCTTCAGTAATTTTTTCATGGCATCTGTAGGCCAAAAGAAATACCAAATAGATTCATTGATTAACTAGTTAGGGTCAAATCGCTTAAAAGTCTTTATGTGCTAAAAACTTTGTATTGGCCATTTGAAAAAAAATGATACATTGAAACAAAAAAAATATTTTTTTGTATTCTGAAATCATCACAATTACTTACTCATGGGATGTGTGGCCTGCTGGGCACTGTGCAACTCCTTAAACTTTGGAATCAGAGTGGACACTGCCACCTTCATTTCCTGTTCCACACTGATTTCCTTGTGGCACTTGCTTTTTGTCACAGTAACTGCCAAAAACATGGCTTCCCCAAAAGATGCCATCACTGAAAGGAATATGACGTAATCTAATGTTGAAACCATGAACAACCCTGAGTTTGTGCAGTGTTCAACAGATATGGAGGATCCTGTCTTTCCCTTGGAAAATTTAAAATACCTCCCAACAGTCCTGTGAATTTACTATGCTACCCCAGGGTGACCTGGTAGAGAGTTTGGAACCACAGCTAGCCATAGTACTTTCAAACTACTAAAGTTAGATATCTCTTTGCCACCAAATCCCTCCTCAGGGCCATATGTGACCCTGCATTTTGTGCAGGGATTCCAGGAAGCAAAGTTGTCACTCTTTCTGGAAACTGTATCCTATTTGCCCAACCATCAATAGGGGTACCTCTGGAGTGCGAACCCAGCCTGGCTTATTTGAATAGAGGAAAGGAGGAAAGGGGTGAGTAACATGTACAGATGGTCAGCAGTAGTATGAAAGCATGTGAGGTTGAACCAAGAGGAAATGAGTAGGTGATACACAACCATAATTTTGGGGCCCTTGATGAAGAAATGAGTGCTGAAATTCTGAAGGGTTTGTTATTGTGCAGACCTGCAGTTAAGCTGGCTAAGCTTTAGGTGTTGCCTCTGCAGTCAGGAACATCCTGCCAGAAGGCAATTAAAGAGTGGAAGAGCAGAAATGCAGAGAAGGAATTCAACACCTGCTCCACCAGCACGTTCCTTGGTCGCTCTCGTCTGTTTCCCTAGCTGGATCACATTCTTGGTGAATGAGAGAAAGTATGAGGATTAATGAGCAGACCTGTCTTTGGGATACCCTAGAACCATGATGCAATGCAAATATCACAGTATCTCAAAGGACAGTAGCCAGTAGAGCCAGTTGACTTCAAGTCAGTTTAACTTTCTCTTTCTGCATAAAGTCATGTATGCAAATCATCTAGGATGGCTGAGATGCTGATGAAATGAGTTCCCATGGCAACTGGAAGATTATCCTTACATCATCTTTGTGATGAGCAAAGTTCAGTGAAGACCAGAGGGAAGTAAAATTCTTGCTTGTCACTGAACTTGGACTGTTTACTCAACCTCTATTGCTTGGTTTTCTCATCTATAAGATGAGAATAATACTGAGATGGGATTGTTCCCTTGACCTCCTCATGGGACTTGCAACATTGGTGACTTGTTTACTTGGCCACTGCACTCAAACCCCTTGCATGAGGGGGAGCACACAGGAGAGCAGGAGCAGGAGCTGGGGTGATTGCCTTTGGAAGCCATTAGGAACAAACTGTGTACCAGCCTGTGGCAGTGTCTAGGGGTTGTCCATGACCTCTGGAGCCCAAGGGGGCATGTGTTACAAACAATACTCTTTTAGCATTTGCTGTCCACAGACAGCTAAGTGTTTACCCGCTCAGTGGAGGGTTGGGGTGACAGCCTTTCACACCCTGCCCTCTTGATACCCAGGTTCTTGTCCTATGTCCAGGAAGAATCAGGTCACAGGGACTTGAAGGATGGTGAATGTGGAGACTTTATTGAGTGGTGGAGGTGGCTCTCAGTGGGATGGGGAGCTAGAAAGGGGATGGAGTGGGAAGATACTCTTCCTCTGGAGTTCAGCCATTCCTGGCCAAATTCCTCTCCAACCATAGTCTCCGATGTCCAGCTGCCTCTTCTACTCTTGATGTTCAGACACTTCTTCCCTTCTCTCCTTCTCTGCTGCACCGCTCTGCTCCTCTGCCAGTGGAACTTGGAGTTTTTGTGGGTACAGGGTGGGGAGGGAAGTGTGGCATGCCAGGGTGGTTTTAGAAAAGGCAACATTCGAGCGGGAAAACAGGGATGTGAAGTTCTCATCTAGGGCTGCGGGTCCAGGCTTGAGGGTGGAGTCCTTGCCATGGACCCTGCCCTCTTCTACCCAGTATTTCCCTTCCTCCTGTCCTTATCAGTACAAACCCAGACCTTTAAGTTGTTACAAGAAGTAATGATACTCACTAAGCCAAAACCATAGTGTCAGGTACTATGCTGATGCTTTATATACACTAGCTTATTTTATACCTAAAACAATCTTACAAGGAAGACATATTATAATCCCCATTGATATCTGAGAAAAATGAGGCACAGAGAGAACAAGTAAGTTGATATCAAAAATGGCAGGGCAGGGATAATAAGATACATCTAGTATAAGATTTGGTTGAGATTATGAGTATGAGATCTTAGCCCATTGCCTGCCCACAGCAGTACTCAGCAAATGCTAGGCTATTATTATTACTGTTATTTTTTGTTAATTCCATTACTGTTATTATTTGACCAGGGGAATCATCTTAGGCTTTATGGAGGAGTTGACATTTTCAATCAGCTTTGAGGGTGGGTAGGCTTTGGACAGACAGGGATGGGGCAGAAGAACATTCTGGACTATGGGCACAACAAGAGCTAAGGCTAGGAGGTGGGACTGTGTAACTTTGAGATGGAGAATAGGGAGGAGACCTCAAAGCAGAACCTTAGGCTCTAAGGGAAACAAGACAGAAGGATTCTGCTGACAAGACAGTAAAGTAGCCTGCTCATCTGGTGGTAGGCACTGTGTCAGCGTTCTAGGTTGTAAATGTAGGAAGTAAGCAGATCAGAGGTTTGCTCAACAACCTGCCTAGTGAGCCAAACTGCTTGCTCTTGAGGCCATGTAGTCCTTCTGGGGCAGCTCTTCAAACCCTAGTCCACAGAGGCAGGTACCCAGTTCTTTCAGTGATGCCCCAAGCCAGATAAGAAAATGATGTTATGGAGATCTGGAATCCTCACCCAAAAGTCCAGCTTTCATTCTAAATGCATCCGTCCATCAGGACAGTCTTGTGTGTGTTCAGAGGTGAGGGATGAAAGAGAAACTTCACAGCAGAAGACCCTCTCAAAGTCATGTGCGGATCTGCACTGAGTCTCCTGTTTCTCCCTCTTCCCTAGCTATACCTCTTTTTAAGATCCAAAAGGGCAGGGCTGACTTAAGCCTTCTCTAGGGCCAGATATTCCTAGACGAAAACAAGGGGCTTCTTGAGAGGAAATGAAAGGAGACGGAGATGCGGTTTTGCCTTAAGGTTTTTAATGTGAGCCACTGAGAAGATTCATTTTGAAATAGAAGGATGTGTCTGACAGTGTGATGTAAATGCAGGCATTTTGGAGTCCCTGCTGGAGAACACACAGAGGTGAGTAGGGGTTCTCCAGTGACCTTGTGGGAGTCTTTGGCTGGGAAGCTAGCTGCTGGAGCTGAAAGGGCACAGGAATAGAAACCACACCACCTGGGGTCTTCTGATCCAGTGTTTTCCAAAGGGCAAGTGCCATGTGAGCTGGTTTTAGACTGCAAAGGAGCAACTGATTCAACAGTAACAAATTACAAATGAAAACTTTTCCCATTTCAAAGTTACTTTTCAGTTCTTCTGATGCTAAGGAGAAAGTGTCGGTTTTAGGCTATTGTCTCTCTTTTTTTTTTTTTTTGAGTCAGAGTCTTGCTCTGTCGCCCAGGCTGGAGTGCAGTGGTGCGATCTCGGCTCACTGCAAGCTCCGGCTCCTGAGTTCACACCATTCTCCTGCCTCAGCCTCCCAAGTAGCTGGGACTACAGGTGCCCGCCACCACGCCCAGCTAATTTTTTGTATTTTTAGTAGCGATGGGGTTTCACCGTGTTAGCCAGGATGGTCTCAATCTCCTGACCTTGTGATCCTCCCGCCTCGGCCTCCCAAAGTGCTGGGATTACAGGCATGAGGCACCGCGCCAGGCCTATTGTCTCTTTAATACCTCTCTATCACTTGTTGATCTCTCTTCTTAAGGAGGGCAAGCACTCTTCAGCCTTAGAGGCATTAGCAGGCAACAGCATCTATTCTAGTGGATCTCATCCTTGGCTGCATGATGCTATTTCCTGGGGAGAGCTTTAACAAATTACTTATGCCTAATTGCTTCCTCCCCAGAGGAATTCCAGTTTAATAGCTCTAAGGTCTGGCTTGGGCATTAGGATTTTTAGAAGCTCTCCAGACAACGGTTTCTAATTAGAATTGTTTTGTATTATATTTATTAACCTTCTATTAATGGCACGTGATACTAGTTTTCTACTGAAGGCATTGAAGTAAAATTTCCTTTCAACATCAGTTGACTTACATAAAAACAGTAAGTGCCTGTTAAAGGAAAATAAAAACTAAAGGCAGGAGGATTACTTGAGGCCAGGAGTTTGAGACCAGTCTGGGCAACGTAGTGAGACCCCGTCTCTTAAAAATAAAAGCCAGGCATAGCGGTACGTACCTGTAGTCCCAGCTGCTGAGGAGGCCGAGGTGGGAGGAGTGGGACGATCACTTGAGACAGGGTGTTTGAGGCTGCAGTGAGCTATGATCATACTACTGCACTGGTGTGACAGAGCAGAAAAAAAGAAGAAGAAAAAGAAAGATAACTAAATAATGCAGGTGGTATTTGCATATGGCAAAAACAAAATATGCATTCAGTGAACTTTGCCAAACTCTCTTCTGGTCCTGGCTTAGCTCTCCCATTCCTGTCTTCTTTAGGCCCAGTTTCCTCAACAATGAAATGGGACTAATTATCCCAGGTCACACTTCTCTCTGGGCTTACCCTGGGAATCAGATGATTGAGCTTTGGTAAGTATTATTTGATAAACAAGTATGAGGAAGGAAATAAAAGGGAGATCAGTGCTGCAGAGATGGCTAATTGGCAGATTTACACAGAACTGGATTTTTTGCGTATGTTAAACCAGGCTATTTGGAACTTCTGAGTTCCAAGTACCATCTTCTCTCCCTCTGCATCAGAATGATCCACTGGTCTCCATTAAAGGTATCATGATTGCCAATAATGATTTAGTTCTCCAGTGGCAATAAACTAAAGAACACTGGAAGTCCCACCAAGACTCCCAAGGATAGCGTGTTAGCATACAAGCTGAATAGCCTGTGTTGCAGTCCCTGCTAGTCAGGGTCTTCTGGATAATGCATTGCCTGTGTGAGGACTGGCCTGGTCCTCTGCAGGCTGAATTCTGCATTTAGCAGCTCAGTGTCCCTTCCACGGGCCCCAGTTTCTTCATCAGGAAGGTGAGGGGCTTGGACTAGTGTAGGATCAGGTATAAATGCAAATACCTCCAATACCAAGGAAGTAACTCAGGTGTGAGGCTCTGCTAAGGGAACAGGGAGTGGTCAGGCTTACAGCAAAGTAGAGAGCGCAGTCCCACAATAAAGATACTCAGATTCAAGTTTTGAAAACCAGGGGGTTGTTAAACAACAGTTTGGCAAGGTGACAGTTAGTGATTACTGGATGTGATGGTTTCTAAGATTCATTTCTAAAAATAATTTTATAATAGTAAAATAAATCCAAGGTGTCTACTGGGGTTTTTTTATATCACTGCTGTACTCAATGGTACCCAGAGGCTTCTCTGATAATAAGAACTAACACTTAGAATAAAAGCTAACATCCAAATGCTAAGTTCTTTAAAACCATTTAATCCTCACCATAACTGTGTGAAGCCAGTACTATTATTACAGCCTTATAACATATAAGGAAGTTAGGGTTCAGAGTGTTTTTTTACACACATTTTACAAATGTGTGTAAAATCTCTAGAGCAGCGTTATCCAATAGAAATATAAAATGAGCCATATATGTAATTTTGAATTTTTTTAGTAGCCATATTAAAAAATAAAAAGAAACATGACATTAATTTTAATTATATATTTTATGTAAACCAATATATATAAAATATTATCATCTTAATATGTAATCAGTGTAAAAATTAATGAGATGCCTTGTGTATTTTTTGCATTGTCTTTAAAATTTAGAGTTTCTTCTTTTTTTTAAACAAATAGCCTTATTGAGATATAATTCACATACTATACAGTTTGCCCATTTAAAGTATACAATTCAATGGCTTTTAATATATTTACATATGTGTAACAATTTTAAATTAAAATTGTGTAAAATTTAATATATTCACATGGTTACACACAAATGGTTACACATATGTTAATATACTAAATTTTACACAATTTTATATTTATTATTTATTTGATATATAAATATTATTTATTTGAGGCAGGGTCTTGCTCTGTTGGCCAGGCTGGAGTGCAGCATTGCAATCATAACTCACTGAAGCCTAGACCTCCTGGCTTCAAGCAATCCTCCTGCCTCAGCCTCTTGAGTAGATGGGACTGCAGGCATCTACCACCACACTCGGTATTAACTTTTTAATTTTTTGTAGAGACAGGGTCTCACTCTGTTGCCCAGGCTGGTCTTAAATTCCTGGGCTCAAGTGATCCTCCTGCCTCAGCCTCCCAAAATGTTGGGATTATAGGTGTGAGCCACCGCAATTTTAGAAAGTTTTCATCCCCTTGAGATGAAATCTCCTATCTTTTGGCTAGCACTCACCTACCACCCTGACCCCATCCTCAGCCATAAACTACCCCTAATCTAATTTAAATCTCTATAGACGTCCCTATTCTTTTTCATGTGACTATTCTGTTATCCCAGCACCATTTGTTGGAAAGACCATTTTCCCCCACTGAAGGGTCTTGGTACCCTTGCCAAAATCAGTTGACCATAGACATATGGGTTTATTTCTGTGCTCTCAATGTTCTGTTCCATTGATCTGTATGCCTATCCTTATGCCAGTACCATACTGTCTTGACTATTGTTGTTTTGTAGTTAAGTTTTGAAATAGAGAAGTTTGAGTCCTCATACTTTATTCTTCTTTTTAAGGATTATTATGGCTATTCCAGATCTCTTTTAATTCCATATAAGTTTCTAAATCAACTTGTTAATTTGTACAAAGAAGTCAGTTTGGATTCTGATAGGGAATGTGTTGAATTTACACATCAGTTTGGGGAGTATAACAATGTTAAGGATTGGAAAACCCGTGATTATAGGGTTTTCTCCATTTATTTAGACCTTCTTTATTTTCTCAACAATGTTTTGCAGTTCTCAGCATATAACTTTCATTTCTTTTGTTCAATTTATTCCTAAGTATTTAATACTTTTTGGTGCTATTGCAGATGAATTTTCCTATTAATTTTCATATTGGTCATTGCAATTGTATAAAAATACAATTATTTTTGTATATTGATCTTGTTTCATGCAATCTTGCTGTGATGGTTAATTTTTTGTGTCAACTTCACTGGGACATGAGGTGCCCACATATTTAGTCAAACATTATTCTATGTGCTTCTGGGAGGATGTTTTGGATTAGTTTGACATTTAAATTGATAGAAATTGATAGACTGAGTAAAGTAGATTTCCCTTCGTAATGTAGCTTAGCCTCATTTAATCAGTTAAAAGTCTGAATAGAAAAAAAGGCTGACCCTGCCCACAAATAAAAAGGAATTTCTTCTGCCTGACTACCTCTGAGCTGCAACATCTGTTTTTTCTTGCCTTTGAACTTGAATTGAAACATTAGCTCTTTCTGAGTCTTGAGTCTGCTGGCTTTCAAACTAGAACTACAACATTAGCTTTCCTGAATGCAAATCAAAACCACAATGAGATGCCATCTCACACCAGTTAGAATGGCGATCATTAAAAAGTCAGCAAACAACAGGTGCTAGAGAGGATGTGGAGAAATAGGAACACTTTTACACTGTTGGTGGGACTGTAAACTAGTTCAACCATTGTGGAAGACAGTGTGGCGATTCCTCAAGGATCTAGAACTAGAAATACTATTTGTCCCAGCCAACCCATTACTGGGTATATACCCAAAGAATTATAAATCATGCTACTATAAAGACACATGCACATGTATGTTTATTGTGGCACTATTCACAATAGCAAAGACTTGGAACCAACCCAAATGTCCATCAATGATAGACTGGATTAAGAAAATGTGGCACATATATGCCATGGAATACTATGCAGCCATAAAAAAGGATGAGTTCATGTCCTTTGTAAGGACATGGATGAAGCTGGAAACCATCATTCTGAGCAAACTATCACAAGGACAGAAAACCAAACACTGCATGTTGTCACTCATAGGTGGGAATTGAACAATGAGAACACTTGGACACAGGATGGGGAACATCACACACTGGGGCCTGTCATGGGGTGGGGGGAGAGGGGAGGGACAGCATTAGGAGATATACCTAAAGTAAATGATGAGTTAATGGGTGCAGCACACCAACGTGGCACACATATACATATGTAACAAACCTGCACATTGTCTTCATGTACCTTAGAACTTAAAGTTATTTTAAAAAAAGCCACAGAACTCTTTTGTAAGTAAATAAAAAATTAGCTTTCCTGGTTCTCAGACATTTGGACTAGGACTAGAACTAAGCCATTAGCTCCCCTGGGCCCCCAGCTTGTAGGCTTCAGATTTTAGGACTAGTCAGCTTCCATAATCACATGAGCGAATTTCTTATAATAAATCTCTGTGTGTGTGTGTGTATATGTGTGCAATATATATACATTCTCTTGGTTCTGTTTCTCTGGAAACCCTGATAAATTATACTTGTTGACTCAAATAATTTCTCGCTGGTCTTAGAATTTTTTATATTCAATATTATGTCATGTTTGAATAGAGATAATTTTACTTCTCTTTTCCCCAATCTGAATACCTTTAAATTCCTTTTTTTTTGTTGTCTAATTGCACTGGCTAATACTTTCAGTATAATGTTAAATAGAAGTGGTGAGAATAGATATTCTTGTCTCATTTCTGATCTTAGGAGAAAACATCCAGTTTTTCATCACTAAGTATGATGTTAGCTGTGAGTTTTTTCACAGATTCTCTTTATTAGGTTGAGGAAATTCCCTTCCATTCCTAGGTTTTTTGAGTTCTTATTCTTTTTAATATTATAGAAGAGTTTGGGTTTCATAAAATCTTTTTAAAGCATCTATTGAGAAGATTATGTGGCTTTTGTTTTTTATTCTATTGATATGGTGTATTATATTAATTGATTTTTTGATGTTAAACCAACCAATCTTTCATTCCAGGGATGAGTCTCACTTAGTCATGAAATGCAGTCTCTTTGTATGTTGCTGGATTTAGTTTGCTAGTACTTTGTTGAGAATTTGTGCCTCCATATTCTTAAGTAATTTTGGTCTGCAGTTTTTTTTTTGAGATGTGTTTGTCTGGTTTTGATATCAGGGTAATACTAATTTCATAGAATAAGTTAAGAAGTGTTTCCTCCTCTTTTATTTTCTTGGAAGAGCTTGTGAAAAATTGACATTACTTCTTTAAACGTTTGGTACAATTCAGCAGTGAAGCCATTTGGTCTTGAGCTTTTCTTTGTGGGTAATTTTTTTATCACAAATTCAATTTCTTTGGTTGTTAGAGGTCTACTGAGATTGTTGGTCTAAGATGGTCTAAGTTATTTAATTTATTGACATATAATTGTTCATAAGAATATTATAATTATTTTGAATCCTTTTTAATCCTTTTTATTTCTATAAGGTTGGTAGTAATGTTCCATCTTTTGTTTCTGGTTCTAGTAATTTGAGTTGTCTCCCTTTTTTCTCAGCAGTCTAATTAAAGGTTCGCCAATTTTGTTGATCATTACAAAGAACCAGTTTTTGATTTCATCAATTTTTGGAATGGTTTCTTTTTCCTCTATTTTATCATTTTCCACTCTAATCTTTATAATGTCCATCCTTATGCTCACTTTAAGTTTCATTTGCTTTTCTTCTTCCAATGTTTTACGGTTAGGTTATTGCTTAGAGGTCTTTCTTCTTTTTCTAATATATGCATTACAGCTCTAAATTGTCTTCTGAGCGGTGATCCAGCTACATTTCTTAGGTTTTGGTATGCCATATCTTTATTTTCTTCTATCTCAAAGTACTTTTAATTTCTCTTTTGATTATTTCTTTGACCCATTGGTTATTTAGGAGCATGGTATTTAGCACCTCTTAAACTGGAATAGTTACATTTCAAGTGCCTAATAGCCACTATGGCTGGTTGTTAGCATATTGAACAGTGCAACTTTATAGAGTTATTCAGTGATGCAAGTTGGGAGTTGAACCTGGTTTATCTGATTCCAAGGAAATAATCTTTGCAAACTGTCTCTCCAATATGTTAAATGTGTAAAATAGCAAGCCTTGCTAATTAGCCACTTTAGGAAGTTTAATTACTTTATTTTGGGAAAGTAATTTTAAACATTTTACCTTTTAAATTATTAAATAATTTTTTATTTGTGTATACTTTAGGCATACAACATAATATTTTAATATCCTTATATATAGTGAAATGATTACTACAGTCAAATAAATTAGCATATCTGTCACCTTTTATAGTTACCTTTTAAGCTTTAAAAAAATTTTAAACATAGCACACATGTAGAAAAATGCACAAAGTATAAATGTACAGCTCAATAAATTATCACAAAACAAACACACATGCATCCACTGCTTAGTTCAAGAAATGGAACATTGCCAATCACTTCAGATGTCCCCTCTGTGCCACTGCCCAATCTGTATCCTTCTCTTCCTTCCAAAAGTGATCATCTCACTTCTAACCAGAGTTGGATTTACCATTAAGACAATAGAGCCTAAGCTATAGGGGCCCTCATTTACACAGACCTCTTCCAAAGCCCTAAGGTGGGGTGGAGCGCTCAGTAAAGTGTTCATATGGTCATTTGTCATCATTTTTATGTGTTTTTGTAAATTTTACATAAGGAGAATATTTTGACCATAGTCACTTAAGGTGGTGGTGCTTTCTACTCTGACTTTCCTGCCTTCACATTTTGCCTTTTGTTGAGTGGTAATGAGATAGCTATTGATGTTTTTGGGGTTTGTCCAAGCCTTAGACTCTGAGGGTAGGGGAGTTGAGGATATATTTTATTGAGGTCAGCAAGATTTATTTATGTGACTCCAAGTCACTTCCATATTCAAACAGTTAAGTTCATGTAGGATTATATATCATAAGTTATTTATATATTGTCCTGCTGATGAACGTTGGGCTTATTTTGAGTTTTTTGTTATAACAAATTATACTGACACATCATTTTTGTATATTTCTTTTGGCAAATATACGTATGCATTTCTTTTTCCTTTTCTTTCTTTTTGTTTTTTGAGACAGGATCTCACTCTGTTGCCCAGGCTGGAATGCAGTGATACGATCATGACTCACTGCAGCCTCAAACTCCTGGGTTCAAGTAACCCTCCCACCTCAGCTTTCTGAGTAACTGGGACTACAGGTATGTGCATCCCCACTCAGTTAATTTTTAAATTTTTTATAGAGACGGAGGTATCCCTTTATTGCCCAGGCTTGTCATAAACTCCTGGGCTCAAATGATTCTGCTGCCTTGGCCTCCCAAAATGCTGGGGTTACAGGCTATGCATTTCTTTTTGCTATACCTCTCTATGTATGAAACAACCAGCTCATAGGGTCATTTGTATGTTCAACTTTGGTAGACATAGCAAACTGGTTTCCAAAGTGGGTATAAACACATATGTTCCTACAAGTAAGCACATGAGGGTTTCCTTTGCTTTACACCTTTGCCAAAAAAAAAAAAAAAAGAATAAGTAGTTTTTACGTTTCAGCAATTCTGATGAGGTTGTAATGTTATTTCATTCTCATTTAAATTTGTATATCCCTGATTATTTTTGAGGCCAGGCACCTTCTCAGTCTATCAGTTATCTGTTAAGTTTTGAATCGATTTGTCCATTGGTTGTCTTACCTTATTGATTGGTAGAAGCCCTTAATTTTGGCATGAGCTCTTTATTAGTTACATGTGTGGCAAATATTTTCTCCCACTCAGGGACTTGCTGTTTCACTCTCTTCATGGTAGGTTTTGATGACCAGAAGTTCTTAAATTTAATTTAGGCTAATTTATTAATCCTTTTGTTTCAGGTTAGTATTGTTTTATTTAAAAACTGTTTCCTGGGCTGGCTCACATCCCAGCACATTTGCAGACTGAGGCAGGAGGACTGCTTGAGCCCAGGAGCTTGAGACCAGCCTGGGCAACATAGGGAGACCCCATCTCTACAAAAAATTAAAAAATTATCCAGGCATGGTGGCTCGTGCTAGCTACTCGGGAGGCTGAGGTGGGAGGATCTGCTTGAGCCTAAGAGGTTGAAGCTACAGTGAGCCGTGATGGCACTACTGCACCCCAGCCTGGGCAACAGAGCAAGAACCTGTCTCAAAAAATACAAAATAATAAAAAATAAAAACTATTTTCACACTGCAATATTATGAAGATATTCTCCTATTACCATAGGATAATGCTTCCTTTCTAAAGCATTATTGGTTTGTCTTTCACATTTAGATATATAATTCACATAGAGTTGATTTTTATGTATGATGTGAAGTAAAGGTCAAGTTTCATTTTTCTTATGTGGATATGCAGTTAACTTAGTACCACTTATTGAAAAGATTGTTTTTTCTCCACTAGTTTGCAGTGACTCATCATTAGACAAGTATCTATATATTCATGAGTTATCTCTTCTTCTTCATTGATCTACTGGTCTACTCTTGTGCCAATACTGTGTTATCTTAAAATAAATCTTTTTTTTTTTTTTTTTTTTGAGATGAAGTCTCACTCTGTCACCCAAGCTGGAGTTCAGTGGCACGATCTCGGCTCACTGCAAACTCCACCTCCTGGGCTCAAGCAATTCTTCTCCCTCAGCCTCCAGATTAGCTGGGATTACAGGCATGTGCCACCACACTGGGCTAATTTTTGTATTTTTAATAGAGACGGGGTTTCACTATGTTGGCCAGACTGGCCTCAAACTCCTGACCTCAGGTGATCCGCCCGCCTCAGCCTCCCAAAGTGCTGGGATTACAGGGGTGAGCCACCGCACCTGGCCTAAAATAAATCTTTTAATGAGTAGAAGCAGTCATTCTATCTTATTTTTTCTGTTTCAGAATGTCTTGATTATCGTTGGTCCTTCACATTTCCATATCAATTTTAGAGTCAGCCTGTCAATTTTCATACAAGTCCTGTTGAAATTTTATTAGGATTACATTGTATCAGTAGATCAATTTGGACAGAATTGGTACATGGATGATACCCAATATCATAAATTTATTATATTTGGTATTTACTAACCGATACATGTGATCTACCACATGCTTAATTTATTTGTCTATTCCTGACTTCTTGAGATGAAAGCATAGATGATTGTTTTTTCCCCAGCCTTTCTTGTTTCTTAACATATTCATTTTAAGGTTGCCCGATGAGCATGCTTAGTTGGATTCCCCAAAATAATTAGTTAGTTAATTTGTTGACTGATTGATTGACACATTGCTAGCTCCTCTCAGACTGCCCAGTCTTCCTCATGCCCAAAGGGCTCTCATTCTGTTCATGATAACGCCCAAAATCTTTACCTTGGCACACTCGTTTCTCCATGATCTGCCCCTACTCCCTAATCGCTGTCACCTCCTACAATTTGTCCCCTTATCCACCTTGCTCCAACCACACTGGCCTCCTTACTGTTCCTCAACAACATCAAACACACTCCTGTCTCAGAGCCTTTGCCCTTGCTGCCACCCCTATCTGGAAGGTTTATACTTTAAATAGCCAAAAGGCTTTTCCTCTTCCTTCATTCAGGTTTCAGCTGAAATGCACCTTTTTTTGGAAAGACCTTCCATGACTACGTTATATAAAATGGCATTCTCTAGCACCCACTATCACCCATACTTTGATTTTATTTTTCTTCATAATGATACTTCCCAACTGACACAAAATAAATTTACATGTTTATTTATTGTTTGGCTACCATTTTCTTCTCTCTCTAGAATATAAACTTCATGAGGATAAGGATTTTTTTTTCTGTTTTATTTACTTCTGTATCTCCAAAGCCCACAAAATGTGTGGTACATGGTAGATGATTTATAAATACTTGGGTGATGGATTCTGTACTTGGCGTCAGAAGATCTGGATTAAATAGTTCTGAATCTGCCTCTTATTAGCCACGTGACCTTGAGCAACCAAATGAAACTTTCTAAGCCTCGATTCCTTTAATGGTGTAGTGGAATAATAATTATTGCCCCTGAGATACTGAGTGTAAAAGTACTTTATGAAGTATACAAAATCATCATAGACATTTTTCGATATTATTGTCAGAAAATGTCTTGCTTGTCCCAAATTTCTTTCTATTTGAACTTCCTTGGTGATAAAAATTCTCCTGTGGGAGAATTTTTGTTGTGAACATTTTGGACATTTTGTTGTGTTTGCCTCTAGCTAAAACATGAGCATTTGTTCCTAGAAGGGATAACATTTTTACACTTCTGTTGCCATTAGTATGTGAGCAAGAATTAATATATGAACTCATTGTCACTGATGACATGTGATATGGGTGGGTAGGTTTTGGTGGAGAAAGCACTAAGCAAAATGTCTAGAGCATTGTGGGGAGGGGAGTGCTGAAAAGGCCATTCTAAGTGGGTGCCTGGGGGAAAGATTAAAAAGTTCTTTATTAGTCAGGTTAGGCTATGTTATATTGCAGCACAACAACGTCAAATTCTCAGAAGCGTATCAGGAAAGGTTAATTTCTTATCCAAATAGTCTTCTGTGGTTTCATACTACTCTCCAGGGGTTGGGAGGAGATAGTTGTATTATTTCACATGCCTGTGTGGGGACTTTTTAGGGAATCTTAGTTAAACAACTTGGATAAATTTAATAAAGTTTTATAAGACTACCACAGTACAAATCTATCTTGGCAAAAGATTTTACAGTTTACATAGGAATATGCTTGAAAATACTATTGTTATTTTCTAGCCCTTTTGGCATAGAGTTTAGGTATAATTATCACATTTTCAACTGCAAGTTGTATCATGTGTTTTGATGGATACGTATGTTTTTGGGGAAATGGGACTCATTATTTGAATTAGAACCTTTAAAAGAATGCTACCATTTATTGAGCAATTATTGTGTACCAAGTAGCACAGTAAAAGCTTTGAATACCTTATCTCATTTGATGTTCAAAACAGCTTCCTGAGGGAGATACTATTACTGTATTCACCTTATAGTGAGGAAACTGATGTTCAGAGATGTGGAGTAATTTGTCTCCAGTCACACAAATAAGTGGAAGAACTCAGGCCAAATTCAGGTCTGTCTGGCTTCAGAACTTGTGGTCTTTACCGCAACACAATGCTATCTACCTCTCCCCAGATAATATATTCTGCATGTATGATTGCCATAGGTCTATCAGCAGCCCAAAATAGATGATGACAATGAATATATTAATATAATAGGGTTATATTAATGATTTCACAGCATTTGGGCCTGAGTGTAGAATCCCAAAGATGTTCTGTTGTGTATGTTTAACATTCCCAGTGTCACAATCACTCCTTTGGGTTAAGACTTTGCCTGTGATAGACCCAGGTAAAATGCAAATATCCTTCATGGGAGCAAAAATAAATTAACACAATCACTATGACCAGCAAGAAATAGCTGATTTCTATCATCAGGGAATAACCAAATGAAGAAGACAAATTTAAAATAGTTTGTTAGAAAGCAATTTAATATAACATATAATCAAATGAAAACTTAAATATAACTGAGTGGAAGTTATATTTTGCAGAACTATAATGGGTATGCCAATGAGGGAAGGGTTTTATAATTGAAAATAGTTATCAGGAAAGGATTCTTGGAGTAGTTGGCACTTGGTGTGAGTCTTGAGTCACTTGGAAACCATGTACTATATGTGTCTAATAATCCTGATTTTAAAAACCTATAATAAGTCTCTCTTTTTTTTCTGCCCATAAGAGTCCACCTGTTTCCATCTTCTGTTTCTCTGCAAAAATGCTGGTGCTTTTCACTCTAATCATGTGACTTGAATGGGAGCTGCCATCTTTTTAGAGCTCTTTCTCCTAGACAGTGTTGATTGGCTCAGAGATAGGCACTTGATTTAGTCCAGGCTAATCAGAATACTCAAACTTATGTCCACAGTTGGTGAGTTCAGTGATAAGTACCTGACCCAAGATTGGTCAATTCTATCAATTTGTAGGATATTTGCATTTGAGACTAGAAAAAGTGAATCTCAATTCTTCTATGGGTTTTGCTTCTGTGTTGTAAGATTTGAGGTACTAGAGCTCTGGGTGGCCATGTTCCTGGTTGGTCTATTCTAAGAAAGAATGAGGTGCCCTGTGGGGTTAAACAGAAATGAGAGATGCAAAGAGTGTAAGGTGGCATTTCCATTTCTGGTCTCTGAGCTCTACCTTTATGCACTGTTTTAGCTGTTCAGTCTTTATCTAAATAACTTCTAATAACTCCACTGCCACCGCCATCTAGCTATGCTCTTGGGTAATTTGAGTTGAATTTTTGTCACATGCAACTGAGAGTCCTGACTAGTATTTCATTGTGACTTTATATTGAAATAGGCAGAATAAAAATTATCTTTATTTTACAGAGAGAAAATGAGGCTCAGAAAAAATATGTAACCAAGATACTAAAAAAAGTATAGGAGTTAATCCAAGACAAACATTAGATCTTCTCTCACTGGAGAAAACATTGGTAGGTACAAGGAGCTAGGTCATGAAAAGTCTACTGGCTTAGGAGACTCAGTATATGAACTATGAATAAAATAGCTTCCCACCTCTTAGGGTATTCTGAATGTTCTGACACTAGATTTTGGTATCATTTTAGGTTGGGTTTTTTTATTGTTGTTGTTTTTGTCAGTAAAATCCTGGCTTTTGAGGAAAAAGGAGGAAGTCCAATTCCACCACAGAACCCACTTCCCTTTTGACTTTAGGTCCATGGGGTTGCCCAGGTCTGAAATAAGTTAATAACTATCTCTTTTGTACTGTAGTGATGTAACCCTGAAAAGAATGGGCTTTTGGTAAGGATTAATTTTAAAATGATACCAAATGATTGATCGTTCCACTCTTATCAAAGCATACTCGAATCTGTACTAACCCAGGGATACAGAAAGATTCAGAAAGCACAATCCTTTGAATTTTAGGACAAACTTTACTTAGAGAAGTATCTCCTTAATAAACAAAAAAAGAAAATAAACTTGGGACGTTTAAAACTTTACATTTTGCCATATTTCAAATAAGATTTAAGATAGCTTAAAAGAATATAAACATATAAGAGACAATTTAAGTTAAAAGTGGAAGAGAGGCCGGGTGCGGTGACTCATGCCTGTAATCCCAGCACTTTGGGAGGCTGAGGTGGGTGGATCACTTGAGGCCAGGGGTTCGTTCAAGACCAGCCTGGCCAACATGGTGAAACCCCACCTCCACTAAAAATACAAAAGTCGGGCATGGTGGCACATGCCTGTAAGTCCCAGCTACTTGGGTGGCTGTGGCAGGCAAATCGTTTGAGCCCAGGAGATGGAGGTTGCAGTGAGTCAAGATCGCACCACTACATTCCAGCCTGGGTGACAGAGTGAGACTCTGTTTCAAAAATAAATAAAATAAAATAAAGTAGAAAAGAAACAAAAATTATAAGATAGGGACATTAAATGGAGTTAGAAATGAGGCTAATAAATAATGAATATGCTGCACCGTGGAATACTACTCAGCCATAAAACAGAACAAAATAATGGACTTTGCAGCAACTTGGATGGAGCTGGAAGCCATTATCTTAAGTGAAATAATTCACAAATGGAAAACCAAAGATTGTATGTTCTCACTTGTAAATGGGAGCTAAGCTATGAGGATGCAAAGGCATAAGAATGACTTTGGGGACTCAGAGGGAAGAGTGGGAGGGAGGTGAGGAATAAAAGACTACACATATTGGGTACAGTGCATACTGCTTAGGTGATGGGTGCATCAAAATCTCAGAAATCCGGCCGGGCGTGGTGGCTCATGCCTGTAATCCCAGCACTTTGGGAGGCCGAGGCAGGTGGATCATGAGGTCAGGAGATCGAGACCATCCTGGCTAACACGGTGAAACCCTGTCTCTACTAAAAATACAAAAAATTAGCCGGGCGTGGTGGCAGGCACCTGTGGTCCCAGCTACTTCGGAGGCTGAGGCAGAATGGCGTGAACCCGGGAGGTGGAAGTTGCACTGAGTCAAGATCACGCCACTGCACTCCAGCCTGGGTGACAGAGCAAGACTCCGTCTCAAAAAAAAAAAAAAAAAAAATCTCAGAAATCCCCACTAAAGAATGGATCCATGTAATCAAAAACTATCTGTACCCCCAAAACTATTGAAATAAAAAAAAAATGAATGTGACACAGTCCTATATGTATTTGGCAACTAGCCCCAAGTTGGGTTGGGCTTTAAGCTTTCTTGTTGTCAGTGCAAATAGAGAAACTCAACCAACTACAGTTTTGCAATATCCACGAGACAAATGTTTAGGAAAAGTACAACTACATCTAACACTATGTCCAGAAACAATGTGTCCCTGGGTTCTTACAAAGAGAGCACTGTATTATAAAATACAGAAGGCCTGAAGATCCTCCTTCCAGGAGACCCAAGGATGAGGTTCACAGGCCTGGTTCTTATAGGTGGAAGCATTATTTCTCAAATTTCAATTGTCTTTATTATTTCTGCCATATATACTTACTAAATTTTAGAAATTATTATTATTATCATTATTATTATTTTTTGAGAGGGAATCTCACTCTGTCACCCAGACTGGACTGCAGTGGCATGATTTCAGCTCCCTGCAAGCTCTACCTCCTGGGTTCAAGTGATTCTTTTGCCTCAGCCTCCCACATAGCTGGGATTACAGGTGGGCGCCACCACACCCAGCTAATTTTTTATATTTTTTTGGTAGAAACGGGATTTCACCATGTTGGTCAGGCTGGTCCCAAACTCCTGACGTCAAGTGATCCGACCGCCTCGGCCTCCCAAAGTGCTGGGATTACAGTCATGAGCCCCTGTGCCCAGCTAGAAATTATTAACCTAATTTTTTTTAACGTAGATTTTATTTTGACTCAGTTTTAAACTTAATCTTAGCAAGGTAGAAAAGCTAGTTATGTTTTTTTCTAGTATCGTTTAAGTCAAGTTTATAAGGATTAAAATTAAAAAGTCTATTTTAATCTAAAATTTTCTTATGTACCATTAATAGTTTGTAGGCCACACCTTGGGAAACACTGACTTAAGGAAAAGGAAAAATCCAGTATTTGGATATCCATGACCTCATTGCATTTTAATATTTCTCGAGAGGTGTCATCTTAATATTTCCTGAGAGGTATTATTATCACCAACAGAGGTGGGGAAACAGGTTAAAGAACTTTTGTAAGGTTCCACAATAACTGAGCAGAGATGAAACTCAAGTCTTTTGATGAAAATCAAGTTCTGGCTTCTAGATGGGTGTAGAGAAGGCCTTTTTCCCAAACTGAAGTTCAGACTCTCTTTGACTGTTTACCCCTTTGCTTCCTGCCAGAATGCCCCACCCCACTTAGTCCATAGTGATGCCCACCTGTGGTTAATGGAGCTGAGGCTGCTGGACCAAAGGGAGGAAGTCTGTTAGGCATATGTGGAACCCAAAAGAGGAACTTCATCAACTGTCATGGACAGCTCTGCCACTTTGTGACCCTGTGGACTTTTTGGGAAGTGTTTTTGTGGTTCACCAGTCTCTCATTAGGCAAGGCCATTTGTCCTGGGTTGGTCTTCTTCATTGGTGGAAAGTACAGCTGGGAGATTTGGAATGGTTGCAGATTGACTTGACTCTCATAAGGAACTGCCACCATGAGCTTTTGGGGAAAGACCTCAAGCTGTGGTGTGTTGCTGAGGATTGTGGGATTCCTCCAAATCTTGGGGAACATTTTGAGTCATCACTGGCAGCAGATTTCTGTTGACAACTTGAGCAACTTCAGAATGAAGAAGCCATCTTCATCTCTCACATGAATATGACTTTGGGTAAATCATCTCGAAATCTGAACCCATGGTTGTGATCCACACTCCTCCTGAGTTCTGATTTTTAGTGTAACCTTTTTCTTCTCATTTTTTCTTCTTTGTGCATCTCTTAAGGAGGTTTTTAAAATCTCATAATTAAAAAATTTATTTCTTCAAAACTTTTTATTTTGAAATCACTGTAAATTCACATACATTTGTATAAAATGCCACAGAAAAATCCTGTGTGCCTTTTACTCAGTTTATTCTAATGATAACATCCTTAAAGAGATTTAAAAATTACTGAGATATAATTGAAATATGAGAAAATTCACTCTTTTATGCATTTAAATATCCTTTATGTTTTTTCATAGCTTATTAGCTCATTTCTTTTCAGTGCTGAATAATTCTTAATTGTCTGGATATACCATAGCTTATTTATCCATTCACGTATTGAAGGATGTTCTAGTTGCTTTTAAGTTTTGGCAATTATGAATAAAGCTGCTGTATACATTCATGTTTAGGTTTTTGTGTAGATATAAATTTTCAAGCTCTTTGGGTAAATATTCCAAGAGCACTTGCCGAGTTGAATGGTAAGAAACTACCCAACTGTCTTCTAAAGTAGTATACCGTTTTGCATTCCCACCAACAATGAATGGGAGTTCCTGTTTCTCCACATTTTTGTCAATATTTGGTGGTGCCTGTGTTTTGGTGCCATTCTAATAGGTATGTAGTGGTATCTCATTGTTTTATTATTCATATATATTCATTGGGTAAAGTGCAATTTTGCTGTTGACATATTGCACTGTGGTGAAGTCAGGGCCTTCAGTGCATCATTTATCACTAGAGCAAGGCACATTGTACCCACCAAGCAACCTACCATCACCCACCAACCTTCTATCCTTCTGAGTCTCCATTGTTCATTATCCCAGACTCCACATTCTGCTTTGTGTGTACACATTATTTAGTTTCCTCTTATAAGTGAGAACATGAGGAACATGTCTTTTTGTATATGGGTTGTTTCATGTCAGAAAATGGCCCCCAGTTCTATCCATGTTTCTGCACAAGATATAATTTCATTCTTTTTATGGTTGAATAGTATTCCATTGTGTATATACCCCACATTTTCTTTATCCAGTCCTCCATTGATGAACACTTAGATTGATTCCGTATCTTTGCTATTGTGAGTAATGCTGTGATAAACATATGAGTGCAGATATCTCTTTGATATAGTGATTTCTTATCCTTTGGGTAGATACTCAGCTGGGTAGGACTGCTGGATTGTATAGTGGTTCTATTTTTAGTTCCTTGAGAAATCTTCATACTGTTTTCCATAGAGGTTGTCCTAGTTTACATTCCCACCAACAGTGTGTAAGAGTTCCCTTTTCTCCAAATCCTCTCCAACATCTGTTATTTTTTTATCTTTTTAGTAATAGTCATTCTGATTGGTGTAAGATGATATTTCATTGTGGTTTTAATTTACATTTCTCTGATAATTAGTAATGTGTAACTTTTTTCATATACACGTTGGCTATTTGTTTATCTTGTTTTGAAAAATGTCTATTCATGTCTTTAGCCCACTTTTTAATGGGATTATTTTTTGTTGTTGAGTTGAGTTCCTTGTAAATTCTGGATATTAGTCCCCTCTTGGACGTATTGTTTGCAAATATTCTCTCCCATTCCACAGATTGTTTATCACTCTGTCGATTATTTCTTTTGCTATGCAGAAGCTTTTAACTTTAAGTCCCATTTGTCTATTTTTGTTTTCGTTGCTTGTGCTTTTGAGGTGTTCTTCACGAATTCTTGACTAGCCCAATGTCTACAAGAGTTTTCCCTATTTTTTTCTAGCATTTTTATAGTGTCAGGTCTTACATTCAAGTCTTTAATCTATTGTGAGTTGATTTTTGTATTTGGTGAGTGATAGGGGTCCAGTTTCATTCTTCCACATATGGCAATTCGATTTTTCCCAGCACAATTTATTGAAAAGGATGTTCTTTCTCCAGTATATGTTCTGGTCAATTTTGTCAAAGATCCGTTGGCTGTAAGTGTGTGGTTTTATTTCTGCATTCTGTATTTTGTTCTATTAATCTATGTGTTGATTTTTATATAAGTATCATGCTGTTTTGGTAACTATAGCCTTGTAATATAATTTGAAGTTAGGCAATGTGATACCTTCAGCTTTTTTTTTCCCCCCTTAGGATTACTTTGGCTATTTGGGCTCCTTTTTGGCTCCATATGAATTCATTTCTTCTAACTCTGAATCCTGAATTATTTACTCTAATTCTGTGAAAATTGACATTGGTACTTTTTTTAGACCTCCTGTGTGGACATGACATTGGCATTTTGATAGGGATTGCACTGAACTTGTAGATTACTTTGGGCTGTGTGGTCATTTTAAGACTATTAATTTGGCCAGGCACGGCAGCTCACACCCGTAATCCCAGCTCTTTGGGAGGCTGAGGCAGGTGGTTCCCCTGAGGTCAGGAGTTCGAGACCAGCCTGGCCAACATGGCAAAACTCTGTCTCTACTGAAAATACAAAAATTAGCCAGGCATGGTGGTGCATGTCTGTAGTCCCAGTTACTTAGGAGACTGAGACTGGAGAATCGCTTGAACCCAGGAGGTGGAGGTTGCAGTGAGCCAAGATCATGCCACTGTACTCTAGCCTGGGTGACAGAGCGAGACTCCATCTCAAAAAAAAAATTAATTTTTCCAATCCATAAGCATGGGATGTTTTTCCATTTTTTTGTGTCATCTATAATTTCTTTCACCAGTATTTTGTAATTCTCCTTTAAAAGACTTTTTACGTCCTTGGTTAAATATATCCCCAGATATTTTATTAATTTTTTGGTAGCTATTATAAGTGGGATTGCCTTCTTAATTTGGTCCATGGATAGACCATTATAGAAATGCTACTGCATATTAATTTTATATCCTGAAACTTTACTGAGTTCATTTATCAAATGCAAAAGGTTTTTGGTGGAGTCTTTAGGGTTTTCTAGATATAAGATTATATAATCAATAAGTGAACAAGAATAATATGACTTTCTCTTTTCCAGTTTAGATAGCTTTTATTATTTCTCTTGCTTGATTGCTCTGGCAAGGACTTGCAGTACTGTGTTAAATATGAGTGGTGAAAGTGGGCATCTTGTCTTCTTCCAGTTCTTAGAGGGAATGCTTTCAATGTTCCCCATTAAGTGTGATATTTGCTGTAGGTTTGTCATATATGGGCTTTATTATGTTGAGGTATGTTTCTTTATGCATAGTTGGTTGAAGATTTTTATAATGAAGGGGTACTGAATTTTATCAAATGCTTTTGCTGCATCTATTGAGATGATTACATGTTTTTTGTCCTTAATTCCGTTTATGTGTTGTATCACATTTATTGATTTGTGTATGTTGAACTATTCTTGCATCCTCTTTTTTTGTTGTTTTTTGGGTTTTTTTTTTTGAGACATGATCTTGCTTTGTTATTCATGATGGAGTGCAGTGACACAATCATAGCTGACTTTAAGCTCAAACTCCTGAGCTCAAGCTAAGGGAGGAGACCACCCCTCATATTGTCTTATGCCCAATTTCTGCCTCCAAAGAAAGAAGTAAAAACTAAAAGGCAGAGATGAAATCCACAGGCAGACAGCCTGGTGCCACATCCTGGGCCTAGTTAAAGATTGACCCCTGACCTAACCAGTTATGTTATCTAGATTCCAGACGTTGTATGGAAAAGTGTTGTGAAAATCCCTGTCTTGTTCTGTTCTAATTACCGGTGCATGCAGCCCCCAGTCATGTACCCACTGCTTGCTTAATTGATCATGACCCTCTCACACAGACCCCCTTAGAGTTGTGAGCCCTTAAAAGGGACAGGAATTGCTCACTCGGGGAGCTCGGTTGTTGGAGACGTGAGTTTTGCCAAAGCTCCCAGCCGAATAAAGCCCTTCCTTCTTTAACTCAGTGTCTGAGGGGTTTTGTCCGCGGCTCGTCCTGCTACATTTCTTGGTTCCCTGACTGGGAAGCAAGGTGATTAATGGACGGTCAAGGCAGCCACTTAGACGGCTTAGGCCTGCCCTGTGAAGTGTCCCTGCGGGGGACTCCAGCCAGCTTGGGCGACACGGATCCTGAGAGCACCCCTGGGTAGGCAATTGCCCTGGTGGAATGCCTCGCCAGAGCAGCACATGGCAGGCCCTCATGGAGGATCAATGCAGTGACTGAACACTGGGAAGGAACTGACACTTGGAGTCCGGACATCTGAAACTTCGTAAGACTAGTCTTTGGAACTTGCCCTCTCCATTTGAGTGGAAGCGTGGCCTGATCACCCACAGTGTGCCTATACCAGCACTTTGGTTTTTGTTTTGATTTGACTTGAATTGCTTAATACTTTGGTTTTGGTTTTGACCTGGCTTGGATTTCTTGATACTCTGATTTTGGTTTTGATTCTGCTTTGGTGTAAACTGTAAAAGTGTGTGTGTGCTCTTTTTACCCGTTCTTTGTTTTGTGGTGTGTGTGTGGTGTGAGTATGGTGTTTTGTCTCAAAGAAGCATGGGTCAGGCACAAAGTAAGCCCACCCCACTAGGAACTATGTTGAAAAATTTCAAGAAAGGATTTAAAGGAGATTATGGTGTTACTATGACACCAGGAAAACTTAGAACTTTGTGTAAATAGACTGGCCAGCATTAGAGGTAGGTTGGCCATCAGAAGGAAGCCTGGACAGGTCCTTTGTTTCAAAGGTATGGCACAAGGTAACCTGTAAGCCAGGTCACCCAGACCAGTTCCTGTATATAGACACTTGGTTACACTGATTTTAAACACCCCCCCAACAGTGGTTGAGAGAACAGCAGCATAAGCAGCTGGCAGAGGCAAGGAAAGACCAGCAGAGAGAGAGAGAAAGAGAGAGGCAAAGAGAGAGAAAGAGACAGAGGCAAAAGGAAAGTCAAAGAGAAAAAGAGACAGAAAATCAAAGAGAGAAAGAAAGAGATATACAAGTAGTTAAGAAAAAAAAAAAAAACAGTGCACCCTATTCCTTTAAAAGCCAAGGTAAATTTAAAACCTATAATTGATAATTAAAGGTATTCTCCGTAACCCTATAACACTCTAATACCACTTTGTTGTCAGTGTAAACAAGGGTGTATCCCAAAAGCACTGAGGCCTTCCTATCAAAAATCCTTAACCCAGTAACCCACAGATGGCCCAGATGCATTCAATCTGTAGTGGCAACTGCTTTGCTAACAGAAGAAAGTAAAAAAAATAACTTTGAGAGGAAACCTCATTGTGAGCACACCTCACCAGTTCAGAAGTATCCTAAAAAGAAAAAAAAAAGGATAATTTAACACTAACCAATGAAAATTCCCTTAACCCAGCAGGTTTCCTAACAGGGGATCTAAATCTTAATTACCATACAAAGGTCCAACCAGACCTAGGAGGAACTCCCTTCAGGACAGGACAATGGATGGTTCCTCCCAGGTAATTGAAGGAAAAAGAAAGCCATCTATACGAATTCTAAGTTAATTTGGACAAAACAAGGTCTTATTCATAGCAAAGGATAATTAAAATCCCAAGCTTACATGGTTTTCAACAAAAGTAAAGTTTGCTAAAAGTTAACAGTGTAACATGTATTATAGTAACTTCTAATCTTGTGGCCTTAGACAGTCTAGTCCACAGACATAAAGCAAAGAATGGTTACCGTCTTTGGAAAAAAAAAAGGAAAAAAAGTGGGGGCAGAATTTATGTAAAAAGAATGTTATATGGTAAATTCTTATCCTGAAATAAATTAACTGGTTGTTTAAAAAAAGAAATGTTTGTAATAAGTCAGAAAGTTGAGGCATGTCGAAGAATTGTCTGCTAAAGTCGTGAAAGAGAAAAATATTATAAAAAAAGAATTTATGCAAGAAATGTTGTATAATTTAAAAGTAACTAGGCCTCCTGAAGGTAAAAACTATTGAGAAAGAAAACAGTTTATGTGCATGGTGTATAAGGAAGGTAAAATATACCTTTAGTAAGAGGATTATAAAGAGGCATAAGAATGTAAATTTTTACCTACATTAAAACATTAAAAAAGTTATTGTTTTGAAGGTTTAAGCAAGTTTTAAAACATTAATTGTAAAGAAAATTCTGTGTGTAAACATATTTGCTGAAGTTAAAAAGCTATCATCCAGTTTTTCTGTGAACTGGACATTAAAGTAAAAATACAATGGGTTTTTCTTAAAGCACTAACCTGCTCTTTAACAAAGATTATAAAAGGTTAAAAAGAGTCTATAAAAATCTTACCTTATGGTCCAACATTAAAAATTGAATAAATATGTATACAAATTTTATTAAAACTAAGTTTAACATTAATAGCACACTAATATAAAGGTGAAATTTAGCTTATCTGGTATAAAAATCATACAAGAAGCATTATTAAATATAAAATGATGTTTGGCTTTCTTTGGTCTAAAAACTAATAAAAATAGGTGCTAAAAGAAATTTCTCAGTAAGAAGGCACCAAGGACTATAAAGTCCACTGATGTCCCCACATTTAAAACAAAAGGTCAGTTTCTTAGAAATTATGTACTTGGCCTATCTTCCACTTTCCTTTCCGTCAAAACTAAAAGTCTTTTAGCACAGGTACCACCCCTAGAATTTCCAGTAAACCATCACTAGCCTGAAGATCACCTTCTCATCAAAGGGTAGAAAGAAGAAAAACTCAAGCCAGCCTAGGAAGGACCCTACCTTGTGCTTCTGACCACCGAGACTGCTGTTCATAGAGTGAAAGAAGGATGGACTCATCACACCTGAGTCAAGAAAGCACCACCCCCTCCAGAGTCGTGGGCCATAGACCCAGGGGAAAACCTTATCAAACTAAAGCTAAGAAAAATTTAACTCTTTCATCTATTCTATTACTCTTTCTTCTTTCCTTGCTCTATTGCTGACCATCTAGTTATTAACATAACCAAGTCAATTTCGCCTCACACTATTGCATTTAATGCTTGCCTTGTTATACCCTGTGGGGACTTGCCAAGTCAAAGACAGCTCTCTACTTCAGAAAAGTACTTCTGTCCTTCCTGACTCTCCTCAGACTGGGCATTAGTAAATTAGGACCATTTAATCTGGGGAAATTTCGATAAAGACTCCAGTGTCAACCAGGAGTCTTGCCCCCCAATGTACAGCTTTTATGCCATAGTTGGTCCAACGTTCTGTGGACAACTAAAGAGCAAGGATGGACTGCCCTAACTGGTTTTTATAATTTCCTAAAATCACACATTCATTTTACTAGAGGATTATAGAAGTTAAAGACTTAAAACAAACTTTGGCAATTAAGACAGCATACCAAGTTGCAAATGCCTGGTTGGAATGGATCAAATATTCCATCTGCAGGTTAAACAAAAGCAATTGTTATGCTTGTGCACATGGCAGACCAGAGGCCCAGATTGTCCCCTTTCCTCTAGGGTGGTCCTCCAGTCGACCAGGCATGGGCTGCATGGTGGCTCTTTTCCAGGATTCTACAGCCTGGAGTAATAAGTTGTGCCAAGCTCTCTCTGCTATATCCCAAAGTTCAGCACCTTGCAGGTCAGCCCCTGAGGGCCATCCAGCCTCCGTCTCCCAACACTAAGTTCACTTCATGTCTCTCACCACAGGGAGGAAACTTAACATTCCTTGGAGACCTGAAGAGATGCAGTGAGCTTAAAAATTTTCAAGAGCTTATCAATCAGTCAGCCCTTATTCATCCCTGAGCAGATGTGTGGTGTTATTGTGGTGGACCTTTATTGGGCACTCTGCTGAATAACTGGAGTGGCACTTGTACTTTAGTCCAATTGGCTATCCCTTTCACCCTGGCATTTCATCAACCAGAGGGAGGAAAAATAAGACATCATGAAGCGAGAGACACCCCTTATTGGTCTTTAGACTCTCACATCCATTTAGATGCAATTAGATTTCCACGGGAAATACCAGATCAATTTAAAGCTTGAAATCAAATAGCTGCAGGATTTGAGTCAATATTTTGGTGGGTGACAGTTAATAAAAATGTAAATTGGATAAACTACATCTATTACGACCAGCAGCAATGAGCTTTTCATGAGTTAAAAGAAAAACTCATGTCGGCCACAGCCCTGGGGCTACCTGACCTAACAAAACCCTTTACACCCTATGCATCAGAAAGAAAAAAAATGGCAGTTGGAGTTTTAACCCAGACTGTGGGGCCCTGGCCAAGGCCAGTGGTCTAGCTCTCAAAACAACTAGATGGGGTTTCCAAAGGCTGGCCCCCATGTCTAAGGGCCTGGCAGCAATAGCCATGTTAGCACAAGAAGCAGATAAACTAACCCTTAGGCAAAACCTGAATATAAAGGCCCCCCATGCTGTGGTAACTTTAATGACTACCGAAGGACGTCACTGGTTAACAAATGCTAGATTAACCAAGTACCAAAGCTTGCTATGTGAAAATCTCTGCATAACCATTGAAGTTTGCAACACCCTAAACCCCACCACCTTGCTCCCTGTATCAGAGAGTCCAGTTGAACATAACTGTGTAGAGGTGTTGGACTCAGTTTATTCTAGCAGGCCCAACCTCTGAAACCATCCTTGAACATCAGTAGACTGTGAGCAGTACGTGGATGGGAGCAGCTTCACCAATCCCTGCAAAGTGACTCTGAAGAAGATGACTAGCCCTGCTCCAGAAGCTGACTGGTCCACACATGGCAGAAGCATGAGAAAACTCATCATGGGACTCATTTTCCTTAAAATTTGGACTTGTACAGTAAGGATTTTAACTGACCTTTCTCAGACTGAGGACTGTTCCCAGTGTATACATCAAGTCACTGATGTAGGACAAAAAGTTGCTACAGTCCTATTATTTTATGATTATTATAAGTGTACTGGGACTCTAAAAAAAAAAAAAACTTGTTTGTATAATGCTATTCTATTAACAGTATGTAGCCCAGGAAATGACCAACCTGATGTGTGTTATGACCCATCCGAGCCTCCCATGAACACAGTTTTTGAAATAAGATTAAGGACTGAGGACTGGTAAAGGCTCATAAATGATACGAGTAAAGTGTTAGCCAAAACAAAAGAAAAAGGGGTGCCCAAACAAGTCACCTTGAAGTTTGATGCCTGTGCTGTCATTAATAGTAATAAGTTAGAAATAAGATGTGGTTCTCTTAATTAAAAAAGAGGCTATATGGCAGAAAATAAGTACATTTGTCATGAACTAGGACTGTGTAAAAATAAATGTGGATACTGGTTTTATGTCGTTTAGGCTACTTACATAAAAAATAAAAAGGATCCTGTCCATCCTCAGAAAAAAAAAAGTGGCCCTTCCTATACCAGTGGTCAGTTTAACCCCTTAGAACTAGTAATAACCAACCCCCTTGATCCTTGCTGGAAAAAAGGGGAGTGTGTAACCCTAGGAATCGATAGGGCTGGACTGGATCCTCGAGTAAATATCATGGTTTGAGAAGTTTATAAACGCTCTCTTGAGCCAGTATTTCAAACCTTCTGTGATAAACTGAATGTGCCAGTACCAGAAATTCCAGGAAAAACAAGAAATTTGTTTTTGCAATTAGCTGAGCATGTAGCCCAGTCTCTCAATGTCATTTCATGTTATGTATGTAGAACTGTAATAGGAGATCAATGGCCATGGAAAGCCCGAGGATTAGTACCTACAGATCCAGTTCCTGATGAATTCCCAGCTCAGAAGAATCACCCTGATAACTTCTGGGTCCTAAAAGCCTCAATCAGTAGACAATACTTTATAGCAAAAGTGAGGAAGGACTTCACCCTTCCTGTAGGAAGACTCAGCTGCCTTAGGCAAAAACTATAATAATACTACAAAAACAGCCACCTAGTGGAGTTCAAAGCATGCTAAGAAAAATCCATTTAGTAAATTCCCAAAGTTGCAAACTGTGTGAACCCACCCGGAGTCCCACCAGGACTGGACAGCCCCTACTGGATTACAGTGGATATGGGGGTCTAGGGCTTACACCAAATTACCCAACCAGTAGGCAGGTAGTTGTGTTATTGGCACTATTAAACCATCTTTCTTCCTACTGCCCATAAAGACAGGTGAACTCCTAGGCTTTCCTGTCTGTGCTTCCCACAAAAAGAAAAGCATAGCTATAAAAAATTAAAAAGATGATAAATGGCCCCCTGAGAGGATCATACAATATTATATGCCTGGTACTTGGGCACAAGACAGCTTGTGAGGATACCTGACCCCCATTTACATGCTCAACTGAATCATACGGTTACAAGCTGTCTTAGAAATAATCACTATTAAGACCGGCAAAGCCTTGACTATTCTGGCCTGGCAAGAAACTCAGATGAGAAACGCTATCTATCAAAATAGATTAGCTCTCAACTACTTGCTAGCAGCTGAAAGAAGGGTCTGTAGAAAATTTAACCTTACTAATTGCTGTCTACATATAGGTGATCAAAGGCAAGTAGTTGAAGACATAGTTAGAAATATGGCAAAACTGGCACATGTGCCCGTGCAAGTGTAGCATGGATTTGATCCTAAGGCTATGTTTGGAAAATGGTTCCCAGCACTAAAAAGATTTAAAACTCTTATAATAAGAGTTATAATAGTAATAAAAACCTGCTTATTGCTCCCTTGTTTGCTACCTGTACTTCTTCAAATGATAAAAAGCTTCATTGCTACCTTAGTTCACCAAAATGCTTCAGCACAAGTGTGCTATATGAATCACTATTGATCTGTCTTGCAAGAAGACATAGATAGTGAAAATGAAAATGAGAACTCCCACTATTGAGTGAGATTCTCAAAGGGGGGGAATAAGGGAGGAGACCACCCCTCATATTGTCTTATGCCCAATTTCTGCCTCCAAAGAAAGAAGTAAAAACTAAAAGACAGAGATGAAATCCACAGGCAGACAGCCCGGTGCCGCACCTGGGCCTGGTCAAAGATCAACCCCTGACCTAACTGGTTATATTAGCTATGGATTCCAGACATTGTATGGAAAAGTGTTGTGAAAATCCCTGTCTTGTTCCGTTCCGTTCTAATTACTGGTGCATGCAGCCCCCAGTCATGTACCCACTGCTTGCTCAATTGATCATGACCCTCTTACGTGGACCCCCTTAGAATTGTGAGCCTTTAAAGGGACAGGAATTGCTCACTCGGGGAGCTCGGTTTTTGGAGACTTGAGTTTTGCCAAAGCTCCCAGCCGAATAAAGCCCTTCCTTCTTTAACTCGGTGTCTGAGGGGTTTTGTCTGCAGCTCGTCCTGCTACAAAACAGTCTTTCTGCCTCAGCCTCCTGAGTAGCTGGGACTATAGGTGTGCACTGCCATACCCAACTGATTTTGAAACTTTTAGTAGAGACAAGGTCTCACTATGTTGCCCAGGCTGGTCTCAAACTCCTGGCCCCAAGCACTTCTCCTGCTTTAGCTTCCCAAAGTGCTGGGATTACATGTGTAAGCTGCAATGCCTGGTGAGTATTATCTTTGTAATGTGCTATTGAATTTGATTTGCTAGTATTTTGTTGAGGATTTTTGCATCTATGTTCATCAGGAATATTGATCTATAGTTTTATTTTTTTGCTGTGTCCTTGTCTGGTTTTGGTATTAGGGTGATATTGATCTCATAGCATGAATTAGGGATAATTCCTTCCTCCTCAATTTTTTTTTAATAGTTTCAGGAAGACTGACATTAATTCTTCTTTGTATAGTTGGTAGAATTTGAGTGTGAATCCATCTGGTTCTGGGCTTTTTTGTTGGGGGAAGATTTTTTAAATTATTGACTAAATTTTGCTATTCATTATTGGTCTGTTTAGGAGTTTTATTTCTTCCCGGATCAATCTTGGAAGGTTATATGTTTCCAGGAATTTATCCATTTCCTCTAGGTTTTCTAGTTTGTTAACATATAGTCGTTCATAATAGTCTCTGATGATCTTTTGTATTTCTGTGGTATCAGTTGTGATGTCTCCTTTTTCATTTCTGATTGTGTTTATTTGGATCCTCTCTCTTTTTGATTAATCTAGATAGTGGTTTATCAATTTTGTTTATCTTTTTGAACAACCACCTTTTTATTTCATTGATCTTTTTTTCTGGTCTCATTTTATTTAGTTCTGCTCTGATCTTTGTTATTTGTTTCCTTCAGCTAACTTTGGGTTTGGTTTGTTCTTGTTTTTCTAGTTCTGTGAGGTGTGCCATTAGGTTGTTAATTTGTGATCTTTCTGCTTTTTTGATGTAGGCATTTAATACTGCAAAATTTACTCAGCATTGCTTTTGTAGTGTCCCATGGGTTTTGGTATGTTGTCTTTTCATTTTCATTAGTTTTAATTTTTTTAAATTTTCCATTTAAATTTCTTTATTGACCCAGTAATCATTCAGGAGCATGCTGTTCAATTTTCATATATTTGAATAGTTTCTGAAGTTCCTCTTGGTATTGATTTCTAGGTTTATTCCACTGTAGTCTGAGAAGATACTTGGTATGATTTTTATTTTTAAAAAATTGTTAAGACTTGCTTTGTGGCCTAAACATGGTCTATCTTGAAGAATATTCCATTTGCTGATAAAAAGAAGGTACATTTTATAGTTGTTGGGTAGCATGTCATATAAATAATTGATAAGTCCATTTTGTCTAAAGTCCAATTTAAGTTCAATGTTTCTTTGTTAATTTTATGTCTCAATTACCTATCTAGTGCTATGAGTGGAGTGCTAAAATCTCCCACTATTATTATAGTGTTGTCTATTTCTTTAGATCTAGTAACATTTGTTTTGTGAATTTGGGTGCTCTGATGTTGGGTGCCTATATATTTAGGTTTGTTATATCCTCCTGCTGATTTGATCCCTTTATCTTTATATAATTACCTTCTTTGTCTTTTATTACCATTTTTTATTTATAACTTGTTTTATTTGATATAAGTATAGCTACTTCTGTTCACTTTTGGTTTCTGTTTGTGTGGAATATCTTTTTCCATACCTTTACTTTTATCAGTCTATGTGTGTCTTTATGGATAAGATGACTTTCTTGTAGACAGCATATTCTTGGATCATTAAAAAAACCCATTCTGTTTTTTTTCAAGATAGTGGATAGGAGGTAGTGTTAGTGTCCTTCTCCCACTTGAAAGGACAGAATAGTGGGTGGAGATTCATACTGTTAATTTTTTTTCCATGAATTACCACAGGAACTTGTCAGGAAAACTGAAAGAATTCACAGAGCCTTTGAAAGAAGCAGCAGGCCTACTCCATGAGATAGGTGAAAAATTAAAAGTTCCCAGAGTGTGCGAGGGGGAGAACCTGCATCTAAACACACATCCCTACTGGGGAATCTGAAAACCCAGATCATGGGAGAAGGCCTTAACCCTACTGAGAGCTGGAACAAATTTAGGGAGAAAAGTGAGATATTAAAGTAGAAGCAGCAGTGGGAAGTGCCTTGTAGGCATTCACAATCTGCAGCATGAGCCCAGGGAAGCTATTCCTGATTATTTCCCACAGGTACCCTTGCGGAAGTTAGCCAATGAACCCAGGGAGGGGTCACAGAGTGAAAGAAGCTCCCAACTGAATTTTGTGATATAATTTTGAGTGGGAACAAACTCTCTTGAACAGAATCCAGGAGTGAGCAGGAAGTATGCTGCAGACGCAAACACAGAAGCTGGGTGCCTGCCTTCCGGGCAGATGGGGAAGGGAATGGCCTTAAAGCTGTTATTGCTGTCTCTCTGGGGGAGCTTATGGCTTGGGTCAGGTCTGAGTTCTGTGTGCAGACTGCCTGGATCTAAACCTGGTGCTGTTAGCGGGACACTGTGGGAGTGAGACCAGCCTCACCAACTGTGTGGGAGCTGGGTGGGACCTACTGCTGTCAGCTAATCCTCACTCCCTTTGTGAACTCTTCTGCACAGTAGAGACAGTTATACTTTCTTCTGGAACATTATCCTGGTGGCCTGGGAACCACCCTCTGTTCCCCACAGTGGCTGAGGCAGGCCCCGGACAAGGAGAGTCTGAGCTCAGACCTGCCTAATCCTGACCCTACCTGATGGTATTTCTCTACCTGCCCTGGTAACTTAACACAAAGACATAAACTTTTGGGAGCTTTATAGCCCTATCCATTGCCTGAGAAGCTAGAATACTTCCCCTGGACAATTTAGGAAAAGCTTAAATCCTACTGCTAGTAATGCAGCTGGTACTCTTTTGCAAGTGCTACCTCCCAGCTGGAGGCCAACCAACTCAGGCCATTACAGCACCTCTCAACAGAATAACACTGCACCCAGGGAAGAGAAAATGATGCCTGCAACATGCTGGCTAACCAGAGGTCCTGAGTCTGTCCATGTCACAAATTCACTGCTAGCATAACTGGCATTTGAGAAATCCAGCATGCTAAACCTATTTACAACCAAGGAGTCTCATAGAGTCTACGTCACTCCCCTGCTGTCACTATCAGAGCAGATGCTGGGTATCCACTGCTGGGAGACCTGAAATATTCCTCAGCACCAGCCCAAAGCCTGGTAGTCCCACTGGTGGGCTAGACCCAGAAGAGCAATAATTACCACTGCAGTCCAGCTCTCAGGAAGCCCTAGTCCTGGCGGAAGTGGGAGAGCACCACATCAATGGATCACCCTATGGGACAAAATAATCCAAATGGTGGGCCTTTAGTCCCAGATCTTTCTACTGGTGGGAAGTTTCTTATAGCAGAGACACAGTTGCAGAGCTGGGCACAGTAGGGAAAATCTGTATGCCTATGTCAACCGGCAGGCAGCCTCTGTGATCATAAAGGGCCTTGGAGAAGGGGTCCTTGTTCCCCCGGCACACTACTGCAGACACAGCTGGGGCTTCTCCCATGGGAATGAAGCATGGATGCATCTGTAGGCAGCCTTCCTGGTACAATTTAGGGTGATTGTAGCCCCATAGGAGGAGCACTCCCTAGATTCAGGCCTGCATGAGAAGCAGAGTCACAATTCCTCCATAGTTGGAAGATTAACATTTCTACAATGAAAAGAGGTGCTTATATGATCTGAATAGCTGGAACACTGGGACAGGAGTGAGGCTGTGAGGTGAATAGCCTACCTGCTGGCCTGGCAGGGGAATTGAGGTATCTCCCACTCTTCATTTTGATAAAATCTCTGAACATCTAATTGAGAGCTTCCCTAGCCACATTCATCAAGGGTGGGACTTCTGCTCTCCAGTGGGTATTATATCTACAAACCTGCTTTAGCTACAACCAGTGCCTACCTAAGGATACCTCCCTTATTGGCCTGAAGCCTGAATCATCAACTCAGTAAATAAAATACTGGGAACAATTAAACAAATAAAGTGAATACTATGAGAGAATGAGATAAGCCTCAAGAGATTGCTACCATTCCAGCCCCATAGGACACAGTGAACTGGCCCACACTCCAAGTACCTAACTACTACAACCAGAGCACAAAGACTCTCTATGATAAAGGAACTCATACAGTGTTTTCCCCCTAAAAGCACCAGGAATCAAATTATGTTAAAATAAACTGTAAACATTAAAGTCAGAAAGTCTGATCCTTAAAAGGGGGAAAAACAGAAATAGAAAAAAACCCCACAGTCAAAACAAAAAAAATTAAGAATAATTTGAAGAAATAGTCTACCTAAATAAGAAGGAACCAGAAAAGTAATTCTTTGAATATGAAAAAACAGGGTTCTATAACACCCCCAAAAGATCATTCTAGTTCCCCAGAAATGGATCCAAACCAAGAAGAAATTTCTGAAATGCCAGATAAATAATCAGAAGGTTGATTATTAAGCTACTCAAGGATATACCAGAGAAAGGTGAAAACCAACTTAAAGAATTTTTAAAAATTCAGAATATGAATGAAAACTTTTTCAGAGAAATAGATATCATAAAGAAACAATCAGAACTTCTGGAAATGAAAGATACACTTAGGGAAATACAAAATGCGGTGGAAAGTTTCAACAATAGACTAGAATAGGTAGCAAAAAGAATTTCAGAACTCGAAGATAAGGCTTTTGAATTAACCCAATTAAACAAAGACAGAGAAAGAAAATAAAAATAGGACAAAGTCTCTAAAAATATGGGATTATGTAAAATGGCCAAACCTAAGAATAATTGGTGTTCCTGAGGGAGAAGAGAAATCTAAAAGTTTGGAAAACTTATTTGAGGGAATAACTGAGGAAAACTTCCCTGGCCTTTCTAGAGAGCTAGACATCCAGACACAAGAAACTCAATAACACCTGGGAAATTCATTGTAAAAAGATTATCCCCAAGGCACATAGTCATCAGACTATCTAGTGTGAAAATGAAGGAAAGAATCTTAAGAGCAGTGAGAAAAAAATATCAAGTAACCTACAGAGGAAAACCTATTACATTAACAGCAAATTTCTCAGCAGAAACCTTACCAGCCAGAAGGGATTTGGGTACTATCTTTAGCTTCCTTAAACAAAATAATTGTCAGCCAAGAATTTTGTATGCAGCAAAACTAAGCTTCATAATTGAAGGAGAGACAAAGTCTTTTTCAGACAAACAGATGCTGAGAGAATTTGCCACTACCAAACCAGCACTACAAGAAATGCTAAAGAGTTCTAATTCACTAAACAAAACCTCAGTATACACCAAAATAGAACCTCCTTAAAGCATAAATCTCACATGCCCTGCAAAACAGTAACGCAATGAAAAAAACAAAGTATCTAGGCAACAACTAACATGATGAATAGAACAGCACCTCACATCTCCATATTAACTTTGAATGTAAATGGCCCAAATGCTCCACTTGAGAGATAAAGAATGGCAGAATGGATAAAAATGCACCAACTAAATATTTACTGTCTTCAAGAGACCCACCTAACACATAAAGACTCACATAAACTTAAGGTAAAGGGGTGGAAAAAAACATTTTACGCAAATGGAAAAACCAAAAGCAAGCAGGAGTAGCTATTCTTATATCAGACAAAACAGACTTTAAAGCAACAATAGTGAAAAAAGACAATGAAAGACATTATATAATAATAAAAGGATTGGTCTGACAGGAAGATATTACAATCCTAAGTTTATATGCACCTAATACCAGAGCTCCCAAATTTATAAAGCAATTACTATTATACCTGAGAAATTAGATAGGCAACAACAGAACAATGGTGGAGGACTTCAGTATTCCACTGACAGCAATAAACAGATCATCAAAACAGAAAGTCAAAAAGAAACTATTGTGGGAACCAGCCCCCAATATTTCAACATAGGTTCTTTCTATTTTCCCTAAGTGTTGGCCGGTCTGAGAAATAAAGAGAAAGAGTGCAAAGAGATAAATTTTACTGCTGGGCCTCCGGGGGTGTCATCATATAATGGTAGGACCATGATGGCGACCCTGAGCTGCAAAACCAGCAAGTTTTTATTGGGGATTTTAAAAAGGGAGGAGGTGTATGAACAGGGAGTAAGTCACAAAGATCACATGCTTCAAAGGGCAATAAGGATCACAAGGCTGAGGCAAAATTAGAATTACTGATGAGGGTCTGTGTCCTGCTGTGCACGCATTGTCTTGATAAGCATCTTAACAGGAAACAGGGTTCTAGAGCAGAGAACCAGTCTGACTAGAATTTACCAGGCTGGAATTTCCCAATCCTAGTAAGCCTGAGGATACTGCAGGAGACCAGGGCATATTTCAGTCCTTATCTCAACTGCATAAGACAGACACTCCCAGAGTGGCCGTCTATAGACCTACCCCCAGGAATGCATTCCTTCCCCAGGGTTATTCCTTGCTGGGAAAAGAATTCAGTGATATTTCTCCTACTTGCACATCTGTCTATAGGCTTTCTGCAAGAAGAAAAATATGGCTGTATTCTGCTCGACCCCACAGGTAGTCAAACCTTATGGTTATCTTTCCTTGTTCCCTGCAAATTGCTGTTATTCTGTTTTTTTTTTTTTTGCAAGGTGCACTGATTTCATATTGTTCAAACACCCATGTTTTACAATCACATTTAATATTGTTCAAACACACATGTTCTGCAATCCATTTGTACACTAGTGGTCCTGAGGTGACATACATTCTCAGTTTACGAAGATAACAGGATTAAGAGATTAAAGTAAAGACAGGCATAAGAAATTATAAGAGTATTATTAGGGAAGTGATAAATGTCCATGAAATCTTCACAATTTATGTTCAGAGATGGCAGTAAAGACAGGCATAAGAAATTATAAAAGTATTCATTTTGGGAACTGATAAATGTCCATGAAATCTTCACAATTTATGTTCTTCTGCTTCGGCTCCAGCTGGTCCCTCCATTAGGGGTCCATAACTTCCCACAACAAGAAGCAATGGACTAAAACTATACCCTAGAACAAATGGACTTAACAGATATTTGTAAAACATTCTTCTTATCAGCACATGGAACATTCTCCAAGTTATACCATATGGTAGGCCACAAAACAAGTTTCAATAAATTTAAGAAAACCAGCATCCAATTGAGTATCTTCTCAGACCACAGTGGAATAAAACTGTAAATCAACTCCAAAAGGAACCCCCAAAACTATACAAATATATGGAAATTAAATAATCTGCTCTTGAGTGATTTTTGGGTTAGCAATGAATTCAATGTGGAAATTAAAAAATTATTTGAAATTAGTAATAGTAGTGACACAACTTATCAAAACCTCTGGGATACAGCAAAAGCAGTTCTAAGAGAAAGGTTCATAGCATTGAATGCCTACATCAAGAAGTCTGAAAGGCACAAATAAACAATCTAAGGTTGCACCTCAAGGAACTAGAGAAACAGGAGAAAACTGAACCCAAACACAGCAGAAGAAAAGAAATAACAAAGGTCAGAGCAGAACTAAATGAAATTGAAACAAACAAACAAAATACAAAAGATAAATGAAATAAAAAGCTGGTTCTTTGAAACAATAAACAAAATTGATAGACTGTTAGTGAGATTAACCAAGAAAAGAAGAGAGAATATTGAAATAACTTCAAATAGAAATGAAATGGGAGATATTACAACTGGTACCACAGAAATACAGAGGATCATTCAAGACTACTATGAACACATACACACATTCAAACTAGAAAATCTAGAGGAGATGGATAAATTCCTGAAAATATACCACTCTCCTAGATTAAATCAGGAAAAAATAGAAACCCCGAACAGACCAATCAATAACAAGCAGAGAGATTAAATCATTAATTTAAAAATTTCCAACAAAAAAAATCCAGAACCAGATGGATTAACAGCTGCATTCTATTAGGCATTCAAAGAAGAATTGGTACCAATCCTACTGAAACTATTCCAAAAGGTAAAGAAAGAATTCTCCCGAAATCATTCTATGAAGCCAGTATCACCCTAACACCAAAACCAGGAAAAGATATATCAGAAAAAGAAAACTACAGAACAATATTCCTGATAAACATTCATGCAAAAATCCTCAACAAAATACTAGCTAACTGAATTCATCAATATATCAAAAAGATAATCCACCATGATGAGGTGGGTTTTATACCAGAAATGCAGGGATGGTTTAACATACACTAGTCAATAAATGTGATGCATTACATAAACAGAATTAAAAACAAAAATCATATGATCATCACAATAGACACAGAAAAAGCATTTGATAAAATCCAGCATCCCTTTATCATAAAAACCCTTTGTGATAGAAAGGACATACCACAAAGTAATAAAAGCCATGTATGATAAACCCACAGCCAACATCATACTGAATAGGGAAAAATTGAAAGCATTGCCGCTGAGAACTGGAACAAGACAAGGTTGAATAGGTATTCAACACAGTACTGGTAGCTCTAGCTAGAGCAATCAGACAAGAGAAAGAAATAAAGGGCATCCAAATTGGAAAAGAGGAAGTCAAACTGTTGCTGTTTGCTGATGATATGATTGTATACCTAGAAAACCCTTAAGATTCATCCAAAGAGCCCCTAAATCTGATAAATGAATTCAGGAAAGTCTCAGGATACAAAATCAATGTATACAAATCAGTAGCACTGCTATACACCAACAGTGACCAAGCTGAGAATCAAATAAAGAACTAAATCCCTTTTACAACAGCTACAAACAAACAAACAAACAAACACCACCACCAACAAAAAACCCTTAGGAATATACTTAACCAAGGAGGTGAAAGATCTCTAAAAGGAAAACTACAAAACACTACTGAGAGAAATCATAGATGATGCAAACAAATGGAAACATCCTGTGCTCATGGATGGGTAGAATCAATATTGTGAAAATGACCATACTACTCAAAGAAATCTACAGATTCAACTCAATTCTCATCTAAATGCCATCATCATTCTTCACAGAACTAGAAAAAACAATCCTAAAATTCATTTGGAACCAAAAAACCTGCATAGCCAAAGCAATACTAAGTAAAAAGAACAAATCTGGAGGCATCACATCACCTGACTTCAAATTATACTACAAGGCTATAGTTACCCAAACAGCATGATACTGGTATAAAAATAGGCATGTAAGCTGGGCACAGTGGCTCACGCCTGAAATCCCAGCACTTTGGGAGGTCAAAGTGGGTGGATCACTTGAGGTCAGGAGTTTGATACCAGCCTGGCCAACATGGTGAAACCTTGTCTCTACTAAAAACACAAGTTAGCCGGGTGTGGTGGCAGGCCCCCGTAGTCCCAGCTACTAGGGAGGCTGTGGCAGGCCCCCGTAGTCCCAGCTACTAGGGAGGCTGTGGCAGGAGAATTGCTTGAACCCAGGAGGCGGAGGTTGCAGTGAGCCAAGGTTGCGCCACTGCACTCCAGCATGGGCTACAGAGCGAGACCCTGTCTCAACAAACAAACAAACAAACAAAAATAGGCATGTAGATCAATGGAGCAGAATAGAGAATCCAGAAATAAAGCCAAACACAGCCAACTGATCTTCAACAAAGCATACGAAAAACAAAAACACAAACTGGGGAAAGAACACCCTATTCAATAAATGGTGCTGGGAAATCTGCCAAGCCATATGTAGAAGAATAAAACTGGAACCTCATCTCTCATCTTATACAAAATTCAACTCAAGATGGATCAACCAGTCTGGCCAACATGGTGAAACTGTGTATCCACTAAAAATATAAAAATTACCTGGGCATGGTGGTGTGTGCCTGTAGTCCTATCTACTTGGGAGGCTGAGGCAGGAGAATCTCTTGAACCTGGGAAGCAGAGGCTGCAGTGAGCCAAGATCACGCCATTGCACTCCAGCCAGACAGAGTGAGACTCTGTTTCAAAAAAAAAAAAAAAAAAAAAGATGGATCGAAGACTTAAATCTAAGACCTGAAACCATAAAAATTCTAGAAGATAACATCAGAAAAACTGTTCTAGATATTGGCTTAGGCTAAGAATTCATGACTAAAACCCCAAAAGCAAATGCAATGAAAACCGAAATAAATAAATGGGTCCTAATTAAACTAAAAAGCTTCTGCACGGCAAAAGAAATAATCAGCAGAGTAAACAGACCACCCATAGCATGGAAAAAAATTTTCCTTTGCATCTGACAAAGGACTAATATTCAGAATCACAAGGAATTCAAACAAATTAGCAAGAAAAAAAACAAATAATTGCATCAAAAAGTGGGCAAGAGACATGAATAGCGAATTCTCAAAAGAAAATATACAAACAGCCACCAAACATATGAAAAAATGCTCGACATCACTAATTATCAGGGAACTGCAAATTAAAACCACAATGAGATACCACCTTACTCATGCAAGAATGGCCATAATTAAAAAGTCAAAAAATAATAGATGTTGGAGTGGACGTGGTGAAAAGGGAACACCTTTACACTGCTGGTGGGAATGTAAATAGTACAACCACTATGGAAAACAGTATGGAGCTTCCTTAAAAAACTAAAAGTAGAACTACCATTTGATCCAGATATCCTGCTACTGGGTATCTACCTAAAGGAAAATAAGTCATTGTATGAAAAAGACACATGCACATGCATGTTTATAGCAGCACAATTTGCAATTGCAAGGATATAAAACCAACCTATGTGCCCATCAACCAACGAGTGGATAAAGAACATGTGGTACATATGTACCATGGAATATTATTCAGTCATAAAAAGGAATAAAATAATCTCTTTTGCAGAAACATGGATGGAGCTGGAAGCCATTATTCTAAGTAGGGTAACTTGGGAATGGAAAATCAAATATTGTATGTTCTCACTTATAAGTGTGAGCTAAGCTATAAGGATGCAAAGGCGTAAGAATGATGTAATGGACTTTGGGGATTCAGGGGGTAAGATTAGGAGAGGGGTGTGGGATAAAAGACTACATATTGGGTACAGTGTACACTGCTTGCGTGATGGATGCACCAAAATCTCATAAATCATCACTAAAGAACTTATCCATGTAAGCAAAAACAACCCATACTCCCAGAACTATTGAAATAAATGACAACAAATGATTCTGCCAATCTGTATCTTCTATGTGGAGTATTATTTAATCCATTTACACTCAAAGTTAGTCTTGATATGGGAAGTTTTTTCTGTTATATTGTGAATTGTTTTCAAGTTGTTTTATAAATTATTTCTCCTATTTCTGTTTTTGACTTTATGATTTGATGAAATTCTATTGTGTTGCCGTTTGAGTCCTTTTTTTTTTTTTTTTTTTTTGAGATGGAGTCTCACTCTGTTACCTAGGCTGGAGTGCAGTGGTGTGATCTTGGCTCACTGCAAACTCTGCCTCCTGGGTATAAGCAATTCTCTTGCCTCAGCCTTCCACGTAGCTGGGATTACAGATGTGTGTCACCACACCTAGCTAATTTTTTTTGTATTTTTAGTAGAGACTGGGTTTCGCCATGTTGGCCAGGCTTATCTTGAACTCCTGACCTCAAGTGATCCGCCCGCCTCAGCCTCCCAAAATTCTGGGATTACAGGTGTGAACCACCATGGCTGGCTGGTTTTTTTTTGTTTTTTTTTTTTTTTGAGATAGGGTCTCATGCTGTCACCCAGGCTGGAGTGCAGTTGTATGATCATGGCTCACTATAGCCTCAACCTCCCAGGCTCAAGCCATCCTTCCACCTCAGCCTCCCAAGTAGCTGGGACTACAGGTGTGTGTCACTATGCCAGGCTAATTTTTTTATTTTTTGTCATGTTGCCTGAGCTGGTCTCAAACTTCTGAGCTCAAGTGATTCACCCACCTTGGCCTCCCAAAGTGCTGAAATTACATGAGTGCACTACTGTGCCTAGCCTAATTCCTTTCACTTCCTCCTTTGTGTGATTGTTTTTATAAGATCTATGAGTTTTATATTTCCATGTGTTTTCATGATGGTGAATATTGACCTTTCATTTTTATGTTTAAGACCCCTTTCAACATTTTGTGTAGGACCAGTCTAGTGGTGACAAATTTCCTTAGCATTTGCTTGTCTGCAGAAGACTTTATTTTTCCTTAATTTATGAAGCTTATTCTGGCAGGATGTAAAATTCTTGACTAATAGGTGTTTTTATTTTTTCCCCAGCACTTTGAAAATACCATCTCATTCTCTTCTAGCCTGTAAAGATTTTACTGAAAAGTCTATTGTTAGTCTGATGTGATTCCCTTTTATAGGTAATTAGCCACTTTTCTCTCACTAATTTTAAAATTCTTTCTTTCACTTTCACTTTAGATATTCTGAATATAATACACTGAGGTAAAGTTCTTTTTTCAAAGGGGATTTGCCTGGGGATTGCTGAGTCTTCTGTATCTGGATGTGTGACTCTCTTGCTCAACTTGGGAAGTTCTCATCAATTACTTCCTTAAATAGGTTTTCTAAACTTTTTTTTTAAATCTCTCTTCTCTCTTTGGAATAGAGATAATTCATAACTTTGGGTCACTTTATGTAGCCCCACTCTCTCAGAGGCTTTGCTCATTCTTTTTTATTCTTTTTCCTTACTTTTGCCTGACTGGATTATTTCAAAAGACATGTCTTTAAGTTCTGAGAGTCTTTCTTCTTTCTTCTGCTTGGTTTATGGTACTGTTGGAGCTTTCTAATGCACTTTGTATTTCTCTCAGTAAATTTTTTATTTTCAGAATTTTTAAAAAATGATATCTGTCTCCTTGGTAAATTTTTCATTCATATACTCAATTGATTTTCTGATTTCTTTGCATTCATTTTCAGATTTCTCTTGCATCTCATAGAACTTCTTTAAAATTAATATTTTGAGTTTTTATCTGGCTTTTCAAGGAATCCTTTTTGATTGGGATCTATGACTACAATTGTTGTGGTCCTTACTTTTTCATGTTTCCTGTGTCCTTCCACTAATATCTGAATATCTGTTGTAGTAGTTGCCTGTTCCAATTTTTTGAAATTGCTTTTGCAGGGGAGGATTTTTTTTCTGCAGATGTATATATGTTGGTGGTTGAGTAGGATACTTTGGCTTTGATTTTAGATGCCTGTGGTGGTTTGATCTTTGTTTGACTTCTTGGCAGGAAAAAGGGTCAATAGTACCTGTGATTTTCTCAGTATCTTAGAGTACAGTTATTAGTTGAGGTTGTGGTAATGTTTTGCTGGGGACCTGGACACCAACTGAGTCAGTCTTTGGGCCCCAGTGGTGGCAGCAGTTGCCTGAGTGTGCTTGTTTTTAAACCCCAGAGCAGCTTACCTTGGCTCTTGTGTTAGTGGGCCCTGGAGGGTTGATTCTTTGGCCTCCACGTGGCTTGTTTAGAAGTTAGTAGTGGGAACAGTGGGCTGGGTGTGTAAGCAGGTTCTCAGACCCCTGGGCAGCTTGTGTGGTGTGCTTTATGGCAGTAGCAGTGGTGGAGCAACCAACCCACTTAGACCCAGTTAGTCCATGTTGGTGTTGCTGGTGGCTGCCATGGATTGGTTGAAATAGTTCTCAGTCCCCCAGCTGCCTGTAGCAGGGTAGTGGGTATTGTCCTAAGTATGCTTAGGAGAGCTTGGTCCATCTTGTTCCTCTTCTGGCTGGGTGGCAGCTGCAGCTGTGTCACCTTCAACTTGGCCTGAGGGCAGGCACAGCCCAGAATTAAACTCTCAAATTGATGCCTTGGCCTTGAGACTAGAGAGGTTGGGGCCCCTCCCAGGCAAGCAGCATGAACAAGAAGCTGTGGCGGGTGCAGTCTGTTCATGTCTCAATCTCAACAGCAGGCTGCACAGAGTGGTAGGCATTTTCTCATGGGGTACGTGGGAGTGCCTGATCTCGCCTCTCCCTCCTTGAAGAAGTGCAACAGCAGCAGCCATGTCTGTAGATCTGTGGTATCTAGCTTCTCAAAATGGTGTCCAGCTGAAGCTGCTCTAGGCTTGGATGTCTGTGGAACTCTGTGTGTGTTCCCTTCCTGGCGCAATGCCTCTGTGCAATCTCTAGGCAGCTCTCTATGTCAGGCCTGAGGCCCTGATGGGTTGGAGGATTCTCCCATAGCCAAGATTGTAATAGTCTGTTTTGGAGTGTGAAGCCCTGGGGGTTACTCTCTTACTGTTTCCCCACATCCAGGAGCCTCTCCCAGCTCTCAGCTAGTCCCTTGCCTGGCAAGCTGCCTTGAACCCTCTCCTCACTTACTTCTGGTGATTCCCATCACTTCTCTGGTGAATCCTAGTATTCTCTCCTAGATGATCTGTTTGAAATGTGAGTATCTACTTTACTATCCTGGTTCTGCTCTATGGACAAAGACCTATGTCTAGTCAGTCGTCTTGATCACACTACCCTCATTGTTTTTGTTTGCATTTCCCAGATGATATATGATATGAAGCATCTTTTCATATGCTTATTTGCCATTTGTATGTTTTCTTATTTGCGATCTGTATATCTTGTGTCTGTTGAGGGCTTCAGCCCATTTTGTAGTTGGGTTGTTTCCTTATTTTTGAGTTTTAAGGGTTATTTTAATATTTTAGATAACAGTCCTTTATCAAATATGACCTTTGCAGGTATATTCTCCCAGTTTGTGGATTGTCTTTGAATTCTCTTGACAGAGCTTTTGCAGAACAGAAAAGTTTAATTTTAATAAAGTCCATCTTATCAATTCTTCATTTCATGGATTGTGTCTTTGGTGTTATATCTAAAAAGTCATCACCAAACGCTAGATCATCTAGATTTTATTCTATGTTATGATCTAGGAGTTTTATAGGTTCACATTTTATATTTAGGTCTGTGAATTAGTTTTTGTGAAAACTGTAAGGTCTGTGTCTAGTTGATGTTCAGTTATTCTAATATCATTTGTTAAAAAGACATTCTTCACCTTTGCTCCTTTGTCAAACATTAGTTGATCTATATTTATGTGGCTCTATTTCTTGCTCCCTAGTCTGTTTCATTGATCTATTCTTTCACCAATACCACACTGTCTTAATTACTGTAGCTTTATATTAAGTTATGAAGTTGGGTAGTGTCAGTCCTCCAACTTTGTTCTTCTCATTCAATGTTGTGTTGGATATTCTGGGTCTTTTGCCTCTCCGTGTAAATCTTAGAATCCAATTGCCAATATCCACAAAATAACTTGCTGTGGTTTTGATTGGGGTTATACTGAATCTATAGATCAAGTTGGGAAGAACTCACATCTTGACAATAGTGAGTATTCCCATCCATGAACACAGAATATCTCTCCACTTACTTAGTTCTTTTTTTATTTCTTTCATCAGAGTTTTGTGGTTTTCCTCATCTAGATCTTGTACAAATACTTATACCTAAGTATTTCATTCATTGGATGATAATGTGAATAATGTATTAGGTTTTTAATTTCAAATTTTTCTTGTTCATTGGTGGTAGATAAGAAAGCAATTGACTTTTGTACAAGATTAACCTTGTATCCTGAAACTTTGCTATAACTGGTCATCCTGAGTTTTATTCTTTTGCCTACTTTATTTCTTGACAAGAGGATTTTTTTTTTTCTCGCTGCTTTGTGTGTCTTGTTATTTTTAATGGAATGCTGAACATTATGGGTAAAATAACATTAGAAACTAAGTTAAATAGTGACTAATGTCCAGAATGGGCATATCTCTTCTTCTGTCAAACTTTTAGTATGGGGAGTTGGGTCAGTTGACTCAGTTCTTGAGCTGAGTTTCTTTTATTGTTGTTGCTATTATTACATTTAGTGCACTACAATTGTTTAGTATAAATTCTGAAGTCCTGTAGAGTTTTTCTCTTGTCGTTTGCCCCATCCTCAACTTTCACCATGCCTTTTTTCCTCTTTTGCCCTCTTCCACTGAAAGATTGTCACTGCTTATTACTCAGTGCAAAGCTTATGGTACTCAGTACAAGGCTTATGGTAGACATTTTTTGAATCTCTTGCTCCAGCTTCATTCTTAGGCAGACCTTGTGCACCTAAGCCTCAGGAGTTGGGCTTTCTCCGTATTCCTCCTCCTTCTAGTTGCAGGTAGCCTTGGCACCTACTCAGTTCAGGATTGAGTGCAGTGCATTTACTGACTGTTATAGGCTGAATTGTGTCACTCTCCACTCCCCTAATTCGTATGTTGAGGTCTCAACCCCCAGTACCTCAGAATATGACTGTGTTTGGATATATGGTCTTTAAAGAGGTGATTAAGTTAAAATGAGGCCATTAGTGTTTGGGCCCCAATTCAATATGACTAGTATCCTTATAAGAAGAGATTGGGACACAGACATGCACAGAGGGACAACCATTTGAAGTCGCAGCAGGAGGGCAGCCATTTGTGAGCCAAGGAGGGAGGCTTCAGAGGAAAGCAACCCTACTAGGACCTTGATCTTGGACTTCAAGCATTCAGGACTGTGAGAAAATAAATTCCAGTTGTTTATGCCGCCCAGTCTGTGGTATTTTGTAATGGCAGCCCAGAAAACTAATATAATAACTTTTTCTCCTGTGGCAGATGAACTCTACCTTGTATCAGTGGGGGATATTGGGTATGAGTGAATTTCCAGTCTCTCCCCTGGCAGCTTTTGCTTAGTGTCAAAACAGAGGCACAAGTAAGTTTCTTCTTACCCTTCCCCGGCCAGTAGGCAGCTTTCATTCCATATCAGAGAAGACTCTGGGGTGTGAGTGGGTTTCATGCTTATCCTCTAGGCTAATTATTACCTTGTACTCATAGAGCGCCCAGAAATGAATGAGCTTCTCTGGATACTCCTGCTATTTTCTCAAACCTTGGCAGGCTCAGAACTCCCACACCACTGAGGAGGGTCTCTCAGGTCTTCTACCTGTCCCCAGTGTTTCTCATGAGTACCCAATTAAGGCTCATGGAGAAGAACTATGAAGTGGGTGTGGTCTTCTTTCATGTCTGTGTCTCCCAGGGATTCAACACTTCATGCCAGCAGACATTTAACCTTTAAGAATTCATGAATGTTTCAGTTTTTTCTTTTTACCTGCCTTTATAGCTTCCACCTCTTTTTCTCATGCTCTGCCAAAATTAAAATTATTCATGAGTCCCTCAGTTCAACTAGTTCTCTAATGACCTCATCACTCTGATAAGATTTTTTTTTAAAATCACTTTTTAGATTACAGTTAATTCTTGAACAGTGTGGGTTTGAACTGCACAGGGGCACTTAGACATGGATTTTCTCCTGCCTCCATCACCCCTGAGACAAGCAAGACCAATGCCTCCTCTTCCTCCTTCTCAGCCTACTTGTATTAGCCCATTTTCGTACTGCTATGAAGAAATATCCAAGACTGGATGATTTATGAAGAAAAAGAGGTTTAATGGACTCACAGTTCCACGTGGCTGGAGAGAGCTTACAATCATGGTGGAAGGTGAAGGAGGAGCAAAGCCATGTCGTACATGGAGGCAGGCAAGAGAGTGTGTGCAGGGGAACTTCCCTTTATAAAGCCATCGGATCTCGTGAGACTTATTCGCTATCACGAGAAGAGCATTGGAAAAACCCACCCCCATGATTCAATTACCTCCTATCAGGTCACTCCTACAACATATGGGGATTATGGGAATTACAATTCAAGATGAGATTTGGGTGGGGACACAACCAAACCATATCACTACTCAATATGAAGATGATGAAGATAAAGACCTTTATGATGATCCACTTCCACTTAATAAATAGTAAATATGTTTCTCTTTTTATGATTTTCTTAATAACATTTTTTTCTCTAGCTACTTTATTGTAAGAATACAGTATATAATACATATAATACAGAAAATATCTGTTAATTGGCTATACTATTCATAAGGCTTCCAGTCAATAGAAGGCTGTTATTAGTTAAGTTCTGGCTGAGTCAAAAGTGATACATAAATTTTCAACTGCATGGTGGGGTCAACATTACTAAACCCCTCACCCTTCATGGGTGAACTGTATTTTTATATCTATATCTAATCTATATATCTATATATCTCTCTATATATATTTAGTTTGGGTGGCCTCAGCTTCCTTTTTTTTTTCTTTGTATATTCTAAGTGGATGCTTGAAGTCATTTCATTTATTGACATTGTCAGAATCAAAATGTGGTGATATGAAATCAGTCAGGGCCAAAGTTGTTGTACTCAGAAACGTAGTATAAATCATGCAAACACTATATAAAGCACATTTCAAATGAATCAGGTATTTAAAACTTGCTATGGTATTCTCCCATCAAAACTTTTAGTGACTGTTTTAATATTTAATGGGCTGGACATTTGAAGGCAATTATTGTTCAGTGAATTTAGTAGATAATCAAAGTCTAATTGGTTACTTTTGTATTTTTTTCTTTTTTTTGAGACAGAGTCTCGCTCTGTTGCCAGGCTGGAGTGCAGTGGCACGAGCTTGGCTCACTGCAACCCCTGCCTCCCGGGTTCAAGTGATTCTCCTACCTCAGCCTCCTGAGTAGCTGGGATTGCAGGCATGCGCCACCACGCCCAGCTAATTTTTGTATTTTTAGTAGAGACAGGGTTTCACCATGTTGGTCAGGATAGTCTCGATCTCTTGACCTTGTGATCCATCTGCCTCGGCCTCCCATAATGCTGGGATTACAGGCGTGAGCCACCGCCCCTGGCCACTTTTGTATTTTTAAATCCAATATTAAAGTAAACTTTATCTGGAATTCTAACTGTAATTATCTCCCACTAATATGAGAACAATCTCTTTAGGACTGGAAACCACGAAGTCAATTGAATTGAATGCACCACAACCCAGTGAGTTAAATCTTTGTGGAAAGATTCCACAAATGCCTCTAAAGTTGCATCTATAAGCTTAATGATCTTATGTCTGTGTCTCCATGGATGCCAAGTGATATGATTTGGATCTCTATCCCCACCCAAATCTCATGTTCAGTTGTAATCCGCCATGTCAGAGGCAGGGCCTGGTGGGAGGTGATTGGATCATAGAGGTGGAACCTTAATGAATGGTTTAGCACCATTCATCTCTTTGGTGCTGTTCTTATGATAGAGTTCTCATGAGATCTGGTTGTTTAAAAGCATGTGGCACCTCCCTGCTCTCTCTCTTCCTCCTGCTCCTGCCATGTGAAGTGCCAGCTCTCCCTTTGCCTTACACCATGATTGTAAGTTCCCTGGGGCCTCCCTAGAAGCTGATGCCACAATGCTTCCTGTACAGCCTGCAGAACTGTAAGCCAATTAAACCCCTTTTCTTTACCAATTACCCAGTCTCAGGTATTTCTTTGTAGCAATGTGAGAATGAACTAATACATCAAGTAATGTGGCAATACTGGTTAAATGTCCTGGGAATGATGAGAGAGCAGAAGTGGTAGTGATTCACAAGATAGATACCACATGGAAGGGCCTGAAAGCCAAACTGAGAGGTTTGGACATGAACGGTTCTTATTGATTGACGGATTGATTGATTTCCTATTAAGGGAATAACATGATACAGAGAAACGTGTTATAAGGAAACTACTATTGAGATCTCAAATCCATGTGACTTGGATTTTAGTCCTGATTTTACTGATACAAAGCACAGTGAGGTGAAAAGAGCTAACTCTAGGTCCAGACAAGACTGAGTATAAATCTTTGGTTCTGCCAATTAAGATTTTGTGACTTTGAGTTATATAAGCCTTAAGAGCTGTAACTTACTTATTAGCTAAATGACATAATTGTACCTACCTTGCAGCACTCTGGAGAGAACATAAGATCATATATTTCCATAGTGCTTGGAATTCATCATTAGAACTCCATAAATAATTGACATTGGGATGATTCCAATTGTAAAAATCATCCTCTCTGAGCCTCATTTTCCTTGTGTGTAAAATGGGATGGTAACACATTTCATTGAGCCATTGATCAGATTAAAAGACATGATGTATTATATGAAAAACTTCCTAGAATGCAAAATCAAATGTTATTTTTTCTTCTTACAAAAGTTGTTATTCAAGGATTATTAGCAGCCACCATTAATTAGGCACTTCATTATACTGTTTTACTTACCTCATACTCACCCAATTATTGAAGCAGGGATTCCTGCCCTAGGATTATAGGGATGGCCGACACTTGACACTTGACACTGAACAGATGAGATTGACAGCAGCTTGTCAGTCACACATACTGCACTCACATCCAGGGAAGGAGGACACCACGTGGTAGGTAGCACTTATGCTTTGGAGCAGAGTAAACTAGCAGGGATTGTATGTAGAAGGCAGGCTTTGTAGTATCACAAGGCTGTGGTGCTCCTTGGTTCCTGTGGGAGGATGTGATTGGCTCGTTTGAATAATTTTGTGGACTGACACAGAATGAAAACCCGCTACTAAGAGATAAGCAGGCACCACACCTGGTCCCTTTGAAAAGAAGGCTTCTTTGGCAGGGAGTCCTTATCTGCTATAGCAGCGTAGGGAGGGGAACTTGTGGTTATGCCATTTGAGGTCCTCCCAGCTTCTCCCAGATGTCAAGGCAACATATAACATTGGGGTTTTAAATTTAGGTCTTCTGTCACACATATTCCAAGAAATTTATAAGTCTTTAAAATCTTCATTAGCCCTCCAAGGTAGATGCTGTGGTCTGAACGTTTATGTCTCCCTAAAATTCATATGTTGAATTCCTAACCCCCAAGGTGAGAGTGTTGGGAGGTGGAGCCTTTTAGTCTCCTGGCTGGGATTAGTGGCCTGATAACATAGACTCCAGAGAGCTGGCTTATTCCTTCCACTATGTGAGGACACAGCAAGAAGCCGCTGTCTGTGGGGAAACAGAGGCTTACTAGACATGGAATCTGTCAGAGCCTTGATCTTGTACTTCCCAGACTCTAGAACTGTAAATAATACATTTCTGCTATTTATAAACCACCCGGTATATAGTAATTTGTTATAGTAGCAGGGACAAATGAAGATGGTGGATATTATTATTATTATTCTCCTCATTTTATAGATGAGGAAACTGAGGTGGAAAGGACAAGCCACATAGCAAGTGGCAGTGCCAAGGATGAGCTCAAGTTTGAGTTCTGGTGAGGTGGCTGGGATCATGCTGGAATCTGATGGCGTTATGAAGGATGATGCTGTAGCCATGTGAGACTCAAGGCAGGAGGCCCATCAGAGCAGTCCCGGGGTGCAGGGGTGTGGCAATGAACGCCCACCAGACATCACGAGCTCAAACGTCCAGGCTCGACACAGCACATGTAAACAAATACACATAGACAGGGAGGCAAGGCTCAGGACTGAGGACAAACTAGGGAGTGGTGGGGACCACAGTGAACCCATGGCGCATGCTCTTTCCCAGAGGCAGGTCGCTCCTCAGATCCAGCTGACTGTGCCAGATGTGAAAGCAAGATGGGCATCACAGTTCTTGTGATGTTTAGAGAAGAGCTGGAAAACTGAACTTAAATGTGAAGTAGCTATTTTAAAGGCTGGCCACAATTATAATAAAAAATATATATGATATAGGCCACATTGTGAGTATGAAGCAAACTGTGTCTGTAGGTTGGGTCTGGCTCTCAGGCTCTGAGCTTCAGGGGTGGAAATGGAGACAGAGGGACTGCCTGAGGCACTGCTGCAGCTGTGGGCCTGGAATTTAACCAGAGGTGTTTTTTGCTGGAGGGCTAAGTGGCAGACTCCAGAGCATTTTCCTTTCAGCGTGAGACCATTCATGATGTATGCCCTGGGCTTCAGGCTTCACCAGTCTGGAGGTACCTCTGTGTTCACACTGATATCAATACCTGACTTGCTTCATACTTCTTCCTGCCTCCGCTAGCCTCCACCCAGGGAAGGTGTGCTTCTCGGTAAGTCAGTTTGAGAGAAGCAGTGTAGTGTAGTGGTGAATAGTCTGGATTTACATCTTTGATCTTCCATTTACTACGCTTGTGACCTAGGGGGTGTTGCTTCCCCTCTCTGTTCCAATTATTTATCCATAAAATAGAAATAATAATTTGACCTCGCTTCAGGGGTGGCTGCAAGAATTATAAAAGATAATAAACATTGAGGACTTGGAAAAAATCTCTGCATGTAATAAATGTTCTATAAATGTCAGCTGTCATCATTCACACTTCTTTCTTTCTTCCTGATGCATTGATTTGAAGCATCTGTCTGCTGCCTCTGATGCATCAACTTCTGGGAAAATTCACTTGGTATTGCCCAGAGCCCTCAGGATGCCAAGGCTGCATAATACATATTCATAATTTCATAATATTAATAATATTCATTCAGAAAATATTTATCAAGGGCCAGCTGTGTGCCAGGTTTTGTTCTAGGCATTGGGGAATCATCAGCTGCAAACAACATAGAGAAAGAGTTTATATTAGAATGTCCAAGACTGACAATGATAATGAAGCCACATAAATGAACAAAATCATTCCTGAGTGCTTAACGCTCTGAAGAAAAAGAAAATGGCGGTGTGATCACAAATGAATAGACAGTGACTTTAGGTGCTCAAGAAAGGCCTCTGTGAAGAGGTGTCATTTGACTGGAGGCATGAATAATAAGAAAGTATCTTTTCATTTAAAGATCTGGGGGAAGAGTGTTCCAGGCTAATGGAACAGCAAGTGCAAAGGCCATGAGGCAGGAATGAGCTCGGCTTGTCCAGGGAACAAGCAAAAGATTACAGTGGCTGGAGTATAGAGAATGAAGGGATGAGGGCCAGGGAGGGGCCACTGAGCTAGCTGGGACCACATCACACAGGCAAAGGCTTTGGTTACATCTTAAGTCCTAAGCTGAAGATTTGAAGCAGGGGAATGAGAAGACCTGATTTACATTTTATATTTATATTTATATTTTGAATTGATCACTCTTGCTGCAGTGGAGGTTGGATTTGTCAACAGGAGGGCAAGCAGAGAGGCCATCAGCTCCAATGTGGACTACTGTGGAATAGGTATTGGGGGAGGCAGGGAGAATGGCTCTTCTCCAGATAATTTTTTCATTCACTGATTTATTCATCCAACAGCTCTTTCTTGTGTGTCTTAGCATGTGCCTAGTATGGAGAATGCTTTGTCAGATTCGATTCACGATGTGTCAGCAATGTGTTGGGCACTGGGAATACACTGACCCATGACGTTGTCATGAGCTCTGAGCTCTGCTGTCTTGGAGCTTTCAATCAAACATCCCTCTTGGTTTCCTGGGTCCTGAGGCAGCTCTGTGTGTACGTCATCTTTCATGAACATTTATCCTATAGCAGCTTACCCCAACCACACTCACTTTCACGTGGGCTCACAACCAGGGCGATGGAGGGATCGAGGAGCCTCCATCTTAGTTGCCCTTCTCTTTTCTTTTCTCTCTTCTTCCTAGGCCCCTTCCGTATAACTCCCCACCTCCCTCAGTAAAATATTAGAGATGTAAATGGGGAATGCAAAATGCATATGGAGCAGGAAAGAGGCATCTGAACGTCCCTGCCAAAAGCACAGAATCTCACTGAACTCTGTGTACACATTTGTGTACACAGAGCGGGTGAATGTATGGGGGATTGGGGGTGAGTCTACCTCTAGGTGACCCTTGAGAGAATAAAGGCAATATTTATTTCTGATCTGTTTTCAATAAGGTCAGACTCTTTTTTTAATTTTTAATTTTTTTTTTTGAAATGGAGTTTCACTCTCATTGCCCAGGCTGGAGTGCAATGGCGCGATCTCAGCTCACTGCAACCTCCACCTCCCAGGTTCAAGTGATTCTTCTGCCTCAGCCTCCCGAGTAGCTGGGATTACAGACATGCGCCACCAGGCCCCTCTAATTTTGTATTTTTAGTAGAGACGGGGTTTCTCCATGTTGGTCAGGCTGGTCTCAAACTCCCGACCGACCTCCGGTGATCCGTCTGCCTTGGCCTCCCAAAGTGCTGGGATTACAGGTGGGAGCCACCGCGCCCTGCCTTTTTGTTTTTTTAAGAT